>NC_000016.10:50017045-50320075 GCF_000001405.40 Homo sapiens
TCCTGGGCACCACTGATCCTCCCACCTCAGCCTCCTGAATAGCTGTGGTTATAAGCACGTGCCACCGTGCCTGGCTAATTTTTGTATTTTTAGTAGAGACAGGGTTTCACCATGTTGGCCAGGCTGGTCTTGAACTCTTGACCTCAAGTGATCCGCCCACCTGGGGCTCCCAAAGTGCTGGGATTACAGGCGTGAGCCACCACGCCCGGCCCTTTGTCCATTTTTAAATTGGGTTACTTATATTTTTGGTTTTTTGTTGTACTTTTTTGTGGGTTTTTTTGTTTGTTTTTTGAGATGGAGTCTCACTTTGTCGCTCAGGCTAGAGGCAGTGGCATAATGTTGGCTCACTGCAACCTCTGCTTCCCAGGTTCAAGCAATTCTCCTGCCTCAGCCTTCTGAGTAGCTGGAACTACAGGCACGCGCCACCACACCCAGCGAATTTTTGTATTTTTAGTAGAGATGGGTGTTCACCATGTTGGCCAGGCTAGTCTCAAATCCCTGACCTCAAGTGATCTGCCCGCCTCAGCCTCCCAAATGCTGGCATTACAGACGTGAGCAACCTGGTTACTTATATTTTTATTGTTGAGATATAAGAGGTTTTTTCTTTCAAAAAATAAATTCTGCCTCCTGTCAGATCAGCAGGGGCATTACATTCTCATAGGAGTGCAAACCCTATTGTGAATTGCGCATGCGAGGGATCTAGGATGCACACTCCTTATGAGAATCTAACTAATGCCTGATGATCTGAGGTGGAACGGTTTCATCCGGAAACCATCCCCCCACCACCTCCCCAGTCCGTGGAAAAATTGTCTTCCATAAAACTGGTCCCAGGCGGTAATGCTGCAATGCTTGCTTGCCTGTTAGTGACCTCCTGCTATGTGGCCCGGTTCCTAACAAGCATTAGACCAGTACAGGTCCTTGGCCTGGGGTTTGGTGGCCCCCTGCTCTAAAAGACTAACATGGTCTCCATCTTGTTACATTTTGTAGACACAGAAAACTTTTTTGGTATGTTTGTTTAATTTTACAAAAAAAATAAAAGGATAAAACTAAAAAATAAATAAATAAATAAATAAATTCTGGATACAAGTCCCTTACCAGATATATGATTTGCAAATATTTCATTAAACTCTGTGTGTTGTCTTTTCACTTTCTCAGTGTTATGCTTTGATGCACAGAAGTTAATGATATATTTTAAAATTAAGATATAATTTACGTGCCATAAAATTAACCATTTTAGAGCTAAGCTATGAGGATGCAAAGGCATAAGAATGACACGATGGACTTCAGGGACTTCAGGGAAAGGGTGGAGCTGGTGAGGGATAAAAGACTACACATTGGGTACAGTGTACACCGCTCAGGTGATGGGTGCACCAAAATCTCAGAAATCACCACTAAAGAACTTATTTGCGTAACCAAACACCACCCGTTCCCCCAAAAACCTATTGAAATATTTTTTTAAGTAAAAATATTAACCCTTTCAAAGTATACAATTCAGGCCAGGCTTGGTGGCTCATACCTGTAATCCCAGAACAGTCGGAGGCCAAGGCGGCTGGATCACCTGAGGCCAGGAGTTTGAGACCAGCCTGGCCAACATGGAGAAACTTTGTCTCTATTAAAAATACAAAAATTAGCTGGATGTGGTGGTGCATGCCTGTAATCCCAGTTACTTGGGAGGCTGAGGCAGGAGAATCACCCGAACCTAGGAGGTGGAGGTTGCAGTGAGCCAAGATCACACCAGTGCGCTCCAGCCTGGGTGACAGAGTGAGATTCCATCTCAAAAAAAAAAAATAAAATAAAAAAATAAAAAAAAAAATATATATATATATATATACATATACACAATTCAGTGTTTTAATTATATTTACAAAGTCATGCAACCATCATCCCCATCTAATTCCACAACATTTTCATCACCCTCATAAAGTATCCTGTATCTATTGTTAGTCACTCCTGATTTTCTTTTTCCCTGGCAACCAGAATTCTACTTTCTGCCTCTATGGATTTACCTACTCTGAATATTTCATATGAATGGAAACATAGGGTTTATTCATTTTGTAACATTTCAGTACTTAATTCTTTTTCATTGTTGCAAAATAGAGTAATAGCCCATTGTGTATTTACCTCACATTTTGTTTATCCATTCATTATTTGATGGACATTTGAATTGTTTCCACTCTTAGGCTATTAGGAATAATGCTGCTATGCACATTCATGCATAAGGTTTTACTTAAATGTATGTTTTCAATTCTCTTGGATATATACCTAAGAGAAGAATTGCTGGTTCATATAGCAACTGTATGTTTATCTGATGTTCACCTTTTTGAGGAACTGCCAAACTATTCTCCAAAGTGGCTGCACCATTTTAAATTCCTACTAGCAATATATGAGTGCATCCTTATGAAATTGTGTGTTTTCTGTCCTTTTTTCTACTGATACGACATATTATATGAACGCATTTTCTGATGCTAAACTAACTTTGCATTCCTGGGATAAATCACATTTCATCGTGGTGTATAATACTTTTGATATGTTGCTGAATTTGATTTGCTAATTTTTTTGAGAATTTTTTGTCTATGTTCATAAGAGATACTCATTTTTTTTTCTTTTCTTTTTTGAGACAGGGTCTCACACTGTCACCCAGGCTGGAGTGCAGTGGTGCAATCTCGGCTCACTGCAACCTCCTCCTCCTGGGTTCAAGTGATTCTTGTGTGTCAGCCTCCCGAGTAGCTGGGACTACAGGCACACCCCACCACACCTGGCTAACTTTTATATTTTTTGGTAGAGACAGGATTTTGCCATTTTGGCCAGGCTGGTCTCAAACTCCTGACTCCAAGTGATCTGCCCACCTTGGCCTCTCAAACTGCAGGGATTACAGGTGTGAGCCACCATGCCCAGCTGAGATATTCATATATTTTTTAAAGGATGGTGGTGAATATCAACCTGCCATGGTATTTCTATTCCATTGAATACATTTAAAAGAATGATGCAATGGGCCAGGTGCAGTGGCTCACGCCTGTAATCCCAGCACTTTGGGAGGCCAAGGTGGGCAGATCACCTGAGTTCAGAAGTTGGAGACCAGACTGGCCAACATGGCAAAACCCCATCTCTAGTAAAAATGGAAAAATTAGCCGGGCATGGTGGCATGTGCCTGTAGTCCCACTACTCAGGGAGGCCGAGGCAGGAGAATCGCTTGAACCGGGGAGGGAGAGGTTGTAGTGAGCCGAGGTCATGCCACTGCACTCCAGCCTGGGTGACAAAGTGAGACTCCATCTCAAAAAAAAAAAGAATGACGAAATAGCTTTCTTTCCAAATGTCAATACCTACAACTTACCAGAAATTACATCTTTTACAAGTATTTAAACCCATGATGAAAATTTGTGATATCATTTTACAAACATGTGACATGGCATATAATCTTGTCAAAATTATTTTACAAGGTACAGCAAGAGAAACTGTATGAAGATCACTGTCACTGTTATAATCATTTTAGGGAGCCACCAGAGGGTTCTGAGCAGGAGAGCCATGCTATCTTTTAGTGTTTTACAAAGCACTGTTGGAGACGGAGTAGAAGCTGGAAGCCAGTTAGAGGCCACTGCAGTAATCAAGCCCAAATGGTGCTGTGGACCAGGTAGTAGTGAAGGTGGTGGGAAGTGATTCTTTGGTGTTGTTTTTGTTGTTTTTCAGACAAGGTCTTGCTGTCACCCAGGCTAGAGTGCAATGGTGTGATCATAGCTTACTGCAACTTCAACCTCCCAGGCTCAAGTAAGCCTCCTACCTCAGCCTTCCCAGTAGCTGGGACCACGTCCAAATATTATTTTTTTCAGAGACAGAGTCTCACTGTGTTGTCCAAACTGAAATATTTAATATATGTTGAGGGTAGAGCTAATAGGGTTTGCTATCTGATCTGATGTACCACGTGGAAAGAGAGAACGAGAGAGAAGGAATATATCTCCAGCTACAGGGTTCAGGGTTGATCAACTCATCTACTCATCTATAAACTCATCTCTGAAATGAATTTGATAGCACCCCTTGGCTCATAGAGCTGTTGTTGTGACGTTTAAAGAAGATTCAATGCTCCTGAACTAATAAAAGGCAGAGTGGCAACCCCCTAGTAAAAGATAACCAACTTTAACTATTTTATAGGTGATCTCTCTTAGCAGCTGATCTTCATCTTATCATTGCTGTTTTAAGGGTCATTAGTGTTTTGTCTTCTTTTGTTTTTACACTAAACTCTACCTTCATAGACAGTAGGAGTGAGTCTTACAGATCTTTGCATCTTCAGCTCATACTCTAGTGCCTGGAACACGTCTTCCTTAAATATGTGTTACTATCTCCTCCTTGCCAAGTCCCATGGATATGAAGTTCCGAAATCTGTTCCTTTTCATCTCCCCAACTACCTCATGGTCCAAATTCCTTAACCTGACTATGAGACCCTATTTTCCTGTCTCCCTCCCCTATGTCCCCCAATCCCTCTATCCATAAATGTAGACACCAATGACAGGCAAATAACATGCACCCTTTCAAAAGCATGTTCAATATTTATTTTAACACAGTTGAGAGTGAAGGATAGCGAGGCAACACCCCAGGAGGTAGCCCTTACTGTTCCCTCTGTTGTCCCAAGCTCTTGCTAGAAACTTGCACACCCCCCTCAGGCAAACAAAAGCCCTGCAGTTAACAGAACTGTCCCTTTTGAAGGCAAGTCAGCAAAGCCTCCACTCACCACAATGCTTTGCAATGCCCTATTCATCAGTCTGTCTTCACTCCTCACCTCCCCAGGATCTAGCCCAGGAGAGCCTGTCATATAACAGATGTTCAATAGCCATTCTCTAAGCACTGCTGTGTGCCGAAGGGAAATGTGATGAATTAGACTTGGAGATGGAGAAATGGAACATTGAGCAAGAAGTCAAAATGGGTAGTTTGACTTAGGGCTTAAAATCAGGCTATGACAATAATTGTGAGATCCGGGCAAACTGATTTTTACTTTCTCTGTTGTGAAATGGGCCGTGATGACTTTCGAACTTTCAAACTTTTTTTTAAAGTGGAACTCTCGGGTATATGCTTTGTACTGTGATGAGAACACGGTGAGCATGCACACACATCCACACACAACGGAAACAATAGGCCATGAAACCCCACATCCTTACTTCCAATTAGGTTTCTTTTTAGTTTTTTTTTTTTTTTTTTTTTTTTTTTTAGACAGGGTCTCACTCTGTCACCCAAGCTGAAGTGCAGTGGTGTGATCTCGGCTCATTGCAACCTCTGCCTCCTGGACTCAAATGATTCACCCAGCACAGCCTCCCAAATAGCTGGGACCATAGGCACACACCACCATGCCCAGCTAATTTTTTGTATATTTTGTAGAGAGAGGGTCTCACCGTGTTGCCCAGGCTGGTCTCAAACTCCTGACCTGAAGCAATCCATCCGTCCCAGCCTCCCAAAATGTTGGGATCACAGGCGTGAGCCACAGTGCCTGGCCTTAATTCATTAAAAAAAAAATAGTCATCATGTGCCCCATAAATATATACAGCTACCATGAACCCACAAAAAAATTAAAAATAATAATAATAGTCATGAATCAGTACATAGATTTTACAAACCTCTCTAGATTTTGACCCACGGTTTAAAAAATATCACCTGAAAGGGTTAAGGGTGATAACACATGGAAAGGGTTTGGTCCCAAGGAAGGCTCCCTAAGTGGAAAACTGAAAAGTGCTATAGTAGAGGAACCTTCAAAATGAAGTGGTGGGTGGGGGTGTCAATTAATTCTGCTGACAAATGGGAAGGAGGAAGGTTGAGGATGAATTAAATACACAAAATACCAATAGGGGAAAAACTGCAGTGCTGCTTAGAACCTTCTTAGCCCTCATCTTTGCATGGCTGGATTCTTCTCATCCATCTTTTCATTCTCAGCTCAAATGCCTGTGCCTCATGAAGCCCTCCCAAAGCATGAGATCCTGCTAACCTTCCTTTTTCTCACTGTATCCTATTACTGTTACTCCCTCCATAGAACTGTCAACTAAAGGATCATGAGGTTCATAAATCTGGGGAGGAGAGCTTTATTTCTGCTTGTTTGTTTGTTTGTTTGTTTGTTTGTTTGTTGAGACAGGGTCTTGCTCTGTTGCCCCAGCTGGAGTGCAGTGGTGCAATCATAACTCACTGCAGCGCCGAACTCCTGGGTTCAAGCAATCTTCCTGCCTCAGCCTCCTGAGTATCTGGGACCACAGCCACATGCCACCATGCCCAGCTAATTTTTAAATGTTTTTTGTTTGTTTGTTTGTTTTTTGTAGAGACAGAATCTCACTATGTTGCCCAGGTTGGTCTGGAACTCCTGGACTCAAGTGATCCTCCCACTTCAGCCTCCCAAAGTGTTGGAATTACAGGCATCAGCCACTGTGCCTGGCCTAAAGAGGTTTATTTCTGAAGGGTTGGAGCCTGCAGGCTGGCCATCCTTATAGGCTGGGAAGTATGGTCTCTGGCAGAGACCAAAAGCAGGCACTTTGAAGGAGGAAGGGTGAAGCAGGAATTTATGCCAAATGGGTTGGCCAAGTATACATATTTAACAGGTTATAGGAGAAGCTATTCAGGAAAGAGGGGTGCACACATGCATAATAAACAATCATGCATGTTACATGGGTCACATGTTCACTTTGGGGTAGAGACTTAACATTTAAATGCATTACAGTTAGACCCTTTACGTCAAAAGGCGAAGCAGAGAACATAAAGGCACTCATTGTGCAGCCTCTGTAGACTGGCTAGGGCCAATCTATGGTGGGTGGTCTCTTATCAGGAGAAAGTTACTGAAATCAGTCTCTTGTCTAATGAAAGCAGGAGTTATGGCTTGTGGAACAAAGGGATCAGTTAGTCAGTGACTGGTACTTGGTAAGCTGCAATTGTTTTAATATTGCTTGTTTAGCTGCTAGAGGAAAAAAACGAACATTGTGGCAGTTAGAACATCGTTTATTCTTTAAGTGTCTGGGTCTTGAGTGATTTAACCCTTGCCTGGCAGGGCCTTAGGTCTTGTTTATAAGTTGGTATGTTACTGCCACAAAAAAATCTAGCCCATCAGTCTTAGATTCTTTTTTTTTTCTTTTTCTTTTTTGACAGTCTCACGCTGTCACCCAGGCTGGAGTGCAGTGGCTCACTGCAACCTCCGTCTCCTGGGTTCAAGTGACTCTCGTGCCTCAGCCTCCCAAAGAGCTGGGATTACAGGCATGCACCACCACGTCTGGATAATTTTTTTGTATTTTCAGTAGAAACAGGGTTTTGTCATGTTGCCCAGGCTGGTCTCAACTCCTGACCTCAAGTGATCCACGCGCCTCAGCCTCCCAGAGTGTTGGGATTAACAGGCGTGAGCCACCGCGCCCGGCCAGGATCTCTATTTTAACACAACTATTCTTATTTGAAATCAATTACTTATTTGCATGTTTGTTGCCTGCTGTAGCCCTTCCTCTTTGCGGGCAGGAATCCTGTCTACCTGGCTCACACGCGTATCAATACAGTGTCTAGCATGTTAGGCAATAAAATGATTTTGAATGAAAGAATGCCACCAATAAATGAACAAGAAGGCCTTGTGATCAAATACAAATGTAGTCAATCCCTTACAGATCTCTTCTTAAGTTATAGGTATTTGGGCTTACACTTTGCCTCATTTAGGAATTATGAAAGCTGGGTGATGTGAGAGGAAAGTAACCAAGAGAGAAGTGTTTACTTAAGGGGTTGGTTATCTAGGATACCATAATTAAGGAAACTGGTTATTTAGGGTTCTAGTTAGTTCTGTACAGATTTCATTACTCCTTGAGATCCTTGAGGACAGAACCAGCTCTTTGATTTCTGTATCCCTCGCTAGCGACCAGAATAATGCCTGGAAGGTAGTGGGCGCTCAATCAACATTTGACGAATGAAAGAACCAAGCGGGGAACGGGGGATAAATGAATGAACGAACTGGCTCCGGAGGGCTGCAGTTCCTCCCCGGGGCAGCAGGCGACGCCAGCGTTACGCCCGCCTGGCCGCCGGCAGTTCTTGGTCCCTCCGGCTGACCGTCCAACGCTAGGCGCCGAGGCCGGTGCAAGAGACAGCCAATAGAAAGCTGTCTTAGTTGGAGGTCTAGTAGAGGAATCCAATGAGCGTAGCGGGTCTAGGCAAGGGGCGGTGCGACGGGGAGGGGCAGCGGGGAGCGGTTAGAGGTGGGAGTTGGCGCTGCGGGCCGGGCGGGGGCCGCGGAAGCTGCGATGCGGACAGGGCAGCGGCGGTGACCCGAGCTGCCGCCCGACATGAACTCGCTGGAGCAGGCGGAAGGTAGGGTGGGCCGCCCGGGCCCGTCCCCCGTCTCCCCTCGGAAGCTGGCGGTGCTCCGGAGGAGCCGGCGTCGTGAAGACCCCCGCCCCGGGAGGAGGCCGCAGAGGATGGAGCTAGGGGCCCGGAGCTTGGGGGCGCGTAGGCGGCCGTACCTGGCCAGACGCGGGGGGCGGTGCCTCAGCTCCCTGAGTCCCCACAAACCTAGAGGGTCGACCTCCTCGCCAGCTTCTATTTTTATTTTCTTTTCACTGGCAGACACTTGCACTTCGTGCATTGCAGCCTGCTAATTCATTTCATTTCATTCTCACAGCCCCGCGAGTTGTATCCCTGATTCCTGCGGTGGTTTCCGGTAACTGCCAAGGTTAGGAAGTGCTGCTCGGTGTTTTAAAGTTTAAAGCACACCACTGCGGAAAGGATACCCCACCACTCACTCGGAGCAGCTTAGACGCCCCTGTCTTCTAGAACTAGGCGCTGCCTGGGTGCCACGAAGATCACCTGTACCCCTTCGGAGGGGGCAAGGGGAATGTCTTTCCACACCCACTCGCTATCAGTGTCAAGAAGTCTAGTAAGGCCAGACGGCGTAGCCATTAATTAAATATAAGAGCTGGAAACCGGAGGCGGGTAATTGCAGTCAGGTAGACCTCGAAGACTTTGATGTTAGGCACTACGTGGTTCTAATAGGAAGTTCTTGGTTCCCAGAGAGCTAAAACTCGACCTGATTTTAATTTTATTTGCAACCCTGAAAATGTTCGCTTTTGGCGCTGGCCGAGGCTGCTGCTTATTTCTCCCAATACCATTTATGAAGCTTCTAAAAGTAAATCAGCAAGTTTTCTTATATGAGAAATTGGAATTAAAGAGCCCTAATTTTTTGTCAAGTGCTTAAAAAGCTGTCATAGTAAATGAAATAAACAGTGCAGTGATACATGGAAGTTAGTGTGTAAGACCTGAAGCAGTTAAGAGTATCTCACATGTCGTCTTAATGTTAGGTAAATACTCTGACATTTCGTCAGACGAGTAAGAGTGGCTAATTAGAAAATTGACATCTTTATACCTAGATCTCAAGGCTTTTGAGAGGAGACTTACTGAATATATTCATTGTTTGCAACCTGCTACTGGACGCTGGAGAAGTAAGTTCCTGAATGTTATTTTAAGGGAAAACTAACAATTGATACTTTTATCCTAATATAGGAATGATTTGCTTTTATGTAAAATGTTTGTTTAAATTTATTTAACATTGTAGACAATGCCTTATGAAGAAATTTTTAAGAAAAGGAAATTATAACTGGCCTTCTCAAAAGAACAGTCTATTTCGTGTGGTTGTTTTTGTTTTTCCATTAAAAAACATATTTTTTGGCCAGGCGCCGTAGCTCACGCCTGTAATCCCAGCACTTTAGGAAGCCCAGGCAGGCGGATCACCTAAGGTCAGAAGTTCAAGACTAGCGTGGCCAACACGGTGAAACGCCGTCTCTACTAAAAATACGAAATTAGCCGGTCGTGGTGACGCTGCCTGTGATCCCAGCTACTCAGGAGGCTGAGGTGGGAGAATCGCTTGAACCCGGGAGGCGGGGATTGCAGTGAGCCGAGATTGCGCCATTGCACTCCAGCCTGGGCGACAAGAGTAAAACCCGGTCTCAATAAATAAATAATAAAAATATTTAAATTTTTGAATTATTACAGTTTTGATAAAGACATACCTAATAAAAATTTCAGTAGCCCGTTTAGCAGTTTTATAATTTGCCTACAAACTATTGGAATAAAATTTTAGTAAGAAGAGTCATATTAATAGGGCTCAGTGAGTCACGCATATAATCCCAGCACTTTGGGAGGCCGAGGCTGGAGTATTGCTTGAGCATGGGAGTTTGAGACCAGCCTGGGTAACATGGAGAGACCCCATCGCGGTGGCTCACGTCTGTAATCCCAACACTTTGGTAGGCCGAGGCGGACGGATCACGAGGTCAGGAGAGCGAGACCATCCTGGCTAATACGGTGAAACCCCGTCTCTACTAAAAATAAAAAAATTAGCCGGGCGTGGTGGCGGGCGCCTGTAGTCCCAGCTACTCTGGAGGCTGAGGCAGGAGAATGGAGTGAACCCAGGAGGCAGAGCTTGCAGTGAGCCGAGATTGCACCACTGCACTCCAACCTGGGCGACAGAGCGAGACTCTGTCTCAAAAAAAAAAAAAAAAAAATTTAGCCAGGCATGGTGGCACACCCCGAGGTCCCAGCAACTTGGGAGGATCACTTGAGCCCAGGAGGTCGAGGCTGTAGTGAGCTATGTAGTGAGCTAAGTGAGCTATGTTCACTGCACTCCAGCTTAGGGAACAGAGGGAGACCCTGTGTTTAAAAAAAAAAAAAAGTAAAGTCATGTTATTTAATGTATACTTGGAAAAGTTACAAAATTACCCTTAGTTGATTTTTAACAAAGCATAATTGTGCTGCTTTGAAGTCTGACCTAGAAAATTCACATTATTACTATCTATTCATAAGTATCATGAGTGCTACAAAATATAATTTGAACAGTGCTTACTTGCCCATGGAAATACATAGGAAATGTGGACAAATATATGAGCCATGAGATCATCAAACAAAATGCTTTGTTAATATGTGTTTGGAATAGTTTTTATTTGTTTTTGTTTTGGAAATGGAGTCTAGCTCTGTTGCCCAGGCTGGAGTGCAGTGGCGCCATCTTCGCTCACTGCAACCTCTGCCTCCCGGGTTCAAGTGATTCTCCTGCCTCATCCTCCCTAGTAGCTGAGATTACAGGTGCCCGCCACCACGGCAGCTAATTTTTTTGTGTATTTTTAGTAGAGATAGGGTTTCTGCATTTTGGCCAGGCTGGTGTCAAACTCCTCACCTCAGGTGATCCTCCCATCCTGGCTTCCCAAAGTGCTAGGATTACAGGTGTGAGCCACCACGCTGGGCCAAATAGTTTTAATTTCCTAGATGGTCATTATTTAGATTTAATTCCTATCAAGAAGGAAGTGTAGTAGCACACATTGAGGATTTACTTTATTTCAAAGTGTAAATCAGTTTGCTGGACCAAAAAAGCACTATTGAAGCTAAGGATCTAAGGATCTGGCAAGATTTTTTTGTATAATTTTTATTAAATCTATTTGCAAAGTTTTATTAGTATGCTGTGAGAATTCTGGTTGGTCAGAATTTACAGGTAATGATTTTCCTAGGTTCTCTGGTTTACCTAGGAATTATCCCCAAAACCTATGTTTCACTGTTACTTGAAAATCTTTTAAAATGTATATGATACTGCCCTATCTTATAAAATGTGATATAAATATACTTTACTTTTTCTCTGACTCATGGTCTTAGCACTTACTTGGTTAATGAACCAGTCAAATAAAGCATGTGTATGAGGTCCTTTCTAGTGTATTGATTTTGCTTTTTCTTATTTTTTTAAAACATACATGTGTAATATAGTGCATTTCTGGAAATACAGAATTGTAAGAAATTGAGTTCAGTCTGTTCTGAGTTCAGAACATAGTTTTGATATTTTGATCCTATTTAATACCTAAAACAAGATTTTTTTTCTTTAGTTTACGTCTTCTAAAAGTACATCAAGGAATTCTAGATAATTAAGGTTTTACTATATTTGTATATTTGCTATATTTCTGTTGTTCTTGGAAACTGAATTTCCACATTTGAAAAATGTATGCATCCTAGCTGAAAGACAGGCAACGGTCATCATCTCCAGAATATTAACTGGGTCTTGATGCCCCTTTATTATTTTTTACTAATACCATTCTTAAGTTTTACTTATGATTTATTTAGAATTTCTAAAATCATTCTAGCTTAGTGGAGAGAAAGACCTTTTCTAAGTTTTACTGGCAGTAATTTCTACCCTACCTTTCTTTAAGTCTCTTAAAGAAAATCCGATACTAACTGGTGTGCTCCATACTTCCTGCACTGACTTTAATGTAACCATGGCAGTCATCTGCAAAGCAAAATCCTTTAGTCAGTCTTCTCAGTACATTCAAAAAGGAGTCTTTGATGGTTTGTTTACAGTAGAAAATGAGTTTGTTTTTTTAATTTGAGTTTACAAGATCTGCAAAATCTTCACTAAGCACAGTGAACGTTACATAGCGTAGACTCTTCTACTGAAGTGTCACCATCGAATTGCTTTTTATTTCATTGATCATCATAAGTTCTGACCAAATCATAAGAGAAACAGTATCCTTAATTACTAAGGTTCACAATGTTTAAGAGAATTCCTCGAAGCCAGATGGCAAGCCTTCTAATTCCTGAGTCTAGTTAGTGCATTTTCCATTTAATAAAGTGCTATATTCTTTGGTTGTCATTTAGTAGGAACTGGTGGTGATAGTATCACATATTAAGTATGTATTTGCTTACTAATTTCGTGTTTATCTTTCATCAGTGCTTCTTATAGTGGTATCTGTCTGTACAGCTACTGGTGCCTGGAACTGGTTAATAGACCCTGAGACACAAAAGGTAGAAGTTTTGTTTTAAAATCATTAGCATAATTAAATGAGATAATGGATATTGTAGTGCTTTGTTAATGATAAAGTATTCAAACACTACCTATTAACTACTACTAGTGATATTGTCATATTAAAAATATGCCTTTTATTAATTTGCTCAAGGAAGATTTTGGCTGGCTATTGTGAATTAAGTATGTCTACAGGGAAAAGGTCTAAGAGATGCTATTATTTCTTAGACATTTATTTGTTATTTGTCATTCACTTCTGAATTTATCATTTTTACATTTTTTTTATATCTCTCATTTTTACTTCAGTGTGAGTATTATCTTCATTCTGCTTTGTTCATTGAGTGTCATCAGTGCCAGCTTTTAAAAGTTCTAAAATAGGCCAGGCATGGTGGCTCATACCTGGAATCCCAACACTTTGGGAGGCCAAGGGAGGAGTTCAAGACCAGCCTGGGCAATGTCATATAGCAAGACCCCATCTCTACAAAAAATTTAAAAATCAGCCAAGTGTAGCATGCTGTACCCAGCTACTTGGGAGGCTGAGGTGGGAGGATCACTTGAGCTCAGGAGATCGAGGCTGCAGTGAGCTATGATTGTGCCACTACACTCCAGCCTGTGTGACAGAGCTAGACCCTGTCTCAGAAAAAAAGAGGGAGAGAAAAAAATTGTAAAATAACATTTTCTTCTATGAGTTATCTCTGTTAATACCTTTCTTCATCCCATAAAACACTGGAGATGACTTTACAGGAAACACACATGATAAAATAGCAAAATACACATATAATAAAAAGTCAGGACTAGATAAAAACAAGTTGGACCATGAGGTCAAAACCAGAAAGGAAACCAGCTCACTGATGTATAGGCCATGTTTCCCAACACACTTGCCAGAATTGGATTATAAATTAGTCTCTGAGTTACCTAATCAGTGAAGTCACAGTTAATTCTGTGATTTTCATTGCCTGTAAGATAACACATATATCAATTCCTTGGGCTAGCAAAGCTTTTCTTTCCCAACATTTATCTCTGAAAAAAAATTTCTTGCCTGAAGTTTAATACAGGAAACACTGAGGGATCTCCCACTGGGCACTGTGCAAGAATATCCCTATACCAAATGCAATAACTGATTTCATAATGTTATTCCTTGAAGCATCCTTTGATGAAAGCTGATAGCATGTTTCTCAAATTTCCACCTCTTTCTACTAATTTGTGCTTTAATTTCAAACTCAGGGCTTTTTTTTATTAGAGAAGTAGTTAGTCTCCAATTTTTTAGTGAAGTTTCTTTCCCCCAGTGCAGTTTTATTTAGGGAGTAATGATGTAATTTTCACAAATCTTAAAAATCCCCTCCCCGCTTTAAGCTGCAATTAAGTAGACTACTTTCAGTAGCTCTATTTGTACCTTTTAGGTTTTACAGAAGAAAAGCCTAAGAGAAGGCTTTTGTCATCAGTCTCCATGGCAATTCAGACAGCCAGAGAAGTTTATTTCGCATATAGTCTCCCTAACTTTATCTGCTGAGGTGGAGATATTTAAAAGGATAGGAAGCAAGGGGAGATTGGTGATGGAATTTTATGTTAATAGAGGATTTTTATGGCAGACAGGAAACTCTCTTGTGTGTTCATTTATAAAAATCTGATCTTAAGGCTGCACTTGGTAGTCATCTTTAGGGGAAGAGTGGAAAGAGGCTGGCAAGAAGATTGAAAAAGATCCATCTTGGGAAATGAGTCTGACTTCTAATTGGGAAAAATATAAGCTGATCTCAGCTAGTTGAGATCTTAATAAAACACAGAATTAAATGTAATTTGAAATAGGCCCAAAACTATGTAGTTAATATAATTTTCTAAATTAGGTGAGAATATAACTATTCGCCTAAGGGTTGGCTCTTTATATTTCAGTATTTAATAACCCCAAACCTGACAGGAGTTTTAACCAGCAATTGTATCTGTAGCAAGAGTTGCAAACTCAGGAGCAGTGGCTAGGTAGAAGAACCTAGGGAGAGAAAGAATATGGCAGACAGGAAGTACCTGACTGCCTGGCCTGGAGAGAACTGCTGTTTCAATGCATTGGAGTGTTGCCATGGAGGGAGGAAGGCTGAAACTGATGGCCTAATTAAAATGAAGACATAAAGCACTGTATATGCTAACCTGGTGCAGGCCACACACAACAGAGCTGGCTTATGAGAAACTCCTCGGAGGTTTGAAGAAGACGTTCTTCTGGAATATTAACTTTTCCTTGGGTCATCATCTTTCTGGGAGCTTCTTTCCTGGTATTTTCAGCCTCTCATTTCTTCATCTGACAAACTTCTGTAACCAGTACCATGCTGAGCCATCTACCTGGTGCTTCTGTCTTGAAACACGTGCCTGCGCGTCTCCTGCTGTGAGAGTGGAGTGGGGATGTGCTTAACTTGATTCTCTTGCTCCCATCTAGTTACTAATCCACTTGATTTCTTTCTACACAGGCTCTAAATGCTTGTCTTCTCTGTGTCTCCAGTCAACGTTTCCATTTCGGTGCCTATTCTTATTCCAGTCATGGATCCTGGACCCTTGTCCCTCTACATATTCTTAGACTTGTGGATTGTCCTGTTTTCTGCTATCATTTGATATGTCCAGATCTGAAATCAGCCCTTTCTTTCTCCTTCGTTCTAGTTCTTTATGGATAGCTACTAATCGTTTTTCCCTACTTGAATGTCCTGTGGTCATTTAGATCTCAGTAGCTTCAAAACCAAATTTGTTTTTTGCCTCTGCAGGGAGGAAGGGGTGATGCTGGAATTGAGTGTTATGAGGATATGTAAGAGTTAGCCAGGTGGAGGGAGAGAGGTGAACAAGGCAGCATATGTGTGGAAATATGGCAGGAGATGAAAATTAGACTGGGATCAGGTTATGAATGGCAGAGTTTGCTCAACTCTTTTAAGGAAGCTTTTTAACAGTAAAGGTAGGCTGAGCGTGGTGGTTCACGCCTGTAATCCCAGCACTTTGGGAGGCCGAGGCGGGCAGATCACCTGAGGTCAAGAGTTCAAGACCAGCCTGGCCAACATAGTGAAACCCCGTCTCTACTAAAAGTACAAAAATTAGCCGGGTGTGGTGGTGGGCGCCTGTAATCCCAGCTACTTGGGAGGGTGAGGCAGGAGAATTGCTTGAATCCTGGAGGTGGAGGTTGCAGTGACCTGAGAATGTGTCATTGCACTCCAGCCTGGGTGACAAGAGTGAAACTCTGTCTCAAAAAAAAAAAAAACAGGGAAGGTAACTAAATCAAGTTTGATTTGTGTTTTCATTGAGACCAGAGGCCTCATCTTCACTCATTCAATGCAGAGTTCAGTAAATATTTTTGATAGGGTTGTTTTTTGATTATAGGAATGAATTTGTAATAGTTCAAGTATTTGAAATGAATGGAGGGAATACTGCTATATTTATCTTGCTTTATAGAAGATAGCCTATACATTTTTATTTTTACAACGCAGCAATACAGAGAACTAAGATTATTAGAAGTCTTCAAATCCTCATGGTTTATATGATAAAAAATATTATATATATTTATGTACAAGTGGGGAGGTAGGAATCAGCCATCCTAAGATTTTTAACATTTTTATATTTTCATCTCTTCTTTTACAGGTGTCCTTCTTCACATCATTATGGAATCACCCATTTTTCACCATTAGCTGTATCACTCTAATAGGCTTGTTCTTTGCTGGAATACACAAGAGAGTAGTTGCACCATCAATGTATCCTTTACCAAGGATTAAATTCCATTCTCTGAAGTGCTTTGTTGATCTAGGTAATGGTTAAAAGCTTACTCTTGCCGGGCGTGGTGGCTCACGCCTGTAATCCCAGCACTTTGGGAGGCTGAGGTGGGTGGATTTCCTGAGCTCAGGAGTTTGAGACCAGCCTGGGCAACATGGTGAAACCCCATCTCTACTAAAATACAAAAAATTAGCCAGGTGTGGTGGTCTGTGCCTGTAGTCCCAGCTACTCGGGAGGCTGAGGTGGGAGAATCGCTTGAACCCGGGAGGCAGAGGTTGCAGTGAGCTGAAATCACGCCACTGCACTCCAGCCTGGGCGACAGAGCAAGACTGCGTCTCAAAAAAAAAAAAAAGAGTACGCTTTGTGTTTTTTTTTTGAGACAGAGTCTTGCTCTGTCGCCCAGGCTGGAGTGCAGTGGCGCGATCTCGGATTAGCCAGGATGGTCTCGATCTCCTGACCTTGTGATCCGACCGCCTCGGCCTCCCAAAGTGCTGGGATTACAGGCTTGAGCCACCGCACCCGGCCTAAAAGCATACTCTTGAAATGAGAAATTTTCCTTTGACCACATGTATTCAGTATAGCTGCTCGATGTCGAACGGTATTAGCAGAATACAATATGTCTTGTGATGATGTAAGTATTTTTTTGGTTAGAAAATTATAGACCTGCATGAAAACACTGAAATTTTTGGCTTTAGAAAGGTAGACATTTTATTAGCAATAAATTTTCTCTGTGGAATGAATAGTGAGAATATACTTAGAGCATTGATTCTAAGGTACTTTTACATTTAACATCTTTGGCATTGAGATCCATCTTACAGTCAATGAGATCTGACAAATTGGGAGAGTTGACAATTTAATCTTTCTTAATGACATAAAATCATGATGCATCTTATAACTGATGCATCTTAGATTCAGTGAAGTACAGTGGTTGTTTGTTATTGACCAAAAATGGCTCAGCGGATATTGGTTTTATAAACTACTGTTATTTATCAAGTGATATGCTATATATGTTATTTGTAAATATAGAGTCATAGATTAATTTGTGGACTATGGACATATGAACCTATTGTGTTTTTAAAAGTAGATGATGGGAGACTGGGCATGGTGGCTCATGCCTCTAATCCCAGCATTTTGGGAAGCTGAGGCAGGAGGATCTCTTGAGTCCAGGAGTTTGAGACCAGCCTGGGCAACATTAGCAAGACCCCATCTCTACAAAAAAATGTAAAAATTAGCCAGGCAGGTGGTGCACACCTGTAGTCCCAGCTGCTTGGGAGGCTGAGGCAGGAGGATTGCTTGAGCCCAGGAATTTGAGGCTGCAGTGAGCTGTGATCATACCACTGCAGTCTAGCCTGGACGACAGTGAGACCCTGTCTTTAAGTAAATTAAAAACTATCATGTACCAGTGTGTAATAAGGGTGTCTCACAATTTTGATAGGTAGCTTCTATTTTGATTTGCTTATTTTATTTATAAAAGTGTCTTAGCCTTCAATTTAAAAAGTCATTAAACAAGTAATACCTATTCATTACAGAAATTAGAATAAAGAGGCCAGGCATGGTGGTTCACACCTGTAATCCCAGCACTTTGGGAGGCCAAGGCAGGAGGATTGCTTGAGTCCAGGAGTTTGAGATGAACCTGGGCAACATAGCAAGACACCGTCTCTACAAAAAATGAAAAGAGGAGAAAAAAAGATGTATGTAGTATTTTAAAATAAAGAGCTCAGAAGGAAGCTCCACACAAAGGAAGCTCTGAAAGCATAACTATTAATTGTTTAATCTTGACTATAGAGAAGCGTTCTTATTCCTTGCACATACCCTTTAAGGTTTATAAATAAGCAGTGGTATTTTTACTAGAACTGTGTATTGAAAAAATTCTGTCTTTTCATTTTTGCAGACAGGAAAACTAATTTTGAAACCTAGGCCTCATGTTCAATGACAATCTTCACTCATTGTTATGGGACTTAAAATAGCCTTTCTTCGAATAAGTGATACAGCAAAAAGCCATAAAGGATTCCTTTTGCGGTTGGATATGTAAAGGTCATAGCAGCAACTGACAAGAAGTGTGCAATATTTACCTGGATTATCTTGATGATGGTGACTCATTATCAGTGCTTTGGTACTTTTGATTACCTGTGTTTCAGTATTAGTGTCACTTTAGTACTTCAGATCCTGCAAATATTTTTGCAGATGAAGTATGTATGTATGTTACTAAGTTAAACTTAGAAACAGAACCTCATTCAGTTTTTATAATGTATTTTTGCAAACTACTGTAAATAGCAAATCAATGCCAATGTTAAACAAAGAGGAAAACGTTGTGTGGACTTTGTTCTCTTGCACCAGTATTTCAGGAACATCTGCTTGCCATCCCCACAGCTCTTTAAAACTGGCTATTATGTGTGCCTTTCATTCTTACATTTCTAATCATACTGCAGGAAAAACATTGGATTCAGCTTAGACTGAGGAAAACTCTCCATTATGTTGTAAGAAATTATAGATGTTTTGAGAGACACTTTTTGTTAAACCAGATATTGAACTCCAGCAACTATTGTGGTTATATTTTTAGTTCATTGTTCTCATTTAATGCTAAATATCCTTTATATTGCTTTAATAATTTTCTTTTTTTTTTTTTTTTTTTTAGACGGAGTCTCGCTCTGTTGCCAGGCTGGAGGGCAGTGGCACGATCTTGGCTTTCTGCAACCTCTGCCTCCCAGGTTCAAGCGATTCTCCTGCTTCAGCCTTCTGAGTAGCTGGGACTACAGGCGCATGCCACCATGCCCAGCTAATTTTTTTGTATTTTTAGTAGAGACGGGGTTTCACCACGTTGGCCAGGATGGTTTCGATCTCCTGACCTCGTGATCCTCCTGCCTCATCCTCCCAAAATGCTGGGATTACAGGCATAAGCCACCGTGCCTGGCCTCTTTAATAATTTTTAAAATACCCTAAAGGCTTGTGAATATACAAGTCTACTGATAAATTATGTATTGTCTGGGAATTTGATAGTCATTGTTTTAGATAACTGGATTTTACGCTGTGGTAGACAGGCTGTGACACTAGTGTTGCACAGGTGTAATTGGTCATCCTATGCCTTCACCAGAATAACTTGGGAGTGGTGCCAGAAACTAGAGTCTACAATTCTCACTGTTTAGAGAGTGTTAATGACATACTGTGTATGCATAATAGCCGCATGTACTATAATAGCCCTTAAAATTAAACTATTGGGATTGCTGTAAATATTTTAAAGTACTGGAGGTGCCTTTTACCTGTTTATTAGATTTTGAAAAGGTTTAAATTATTTCATGAGCAATCTTTTAAATTTCATTTAACATAAAGCTGAAAATTCAATAACAGGATAAAAAAGCTTTTTAACAAGGCTGCCATTTAACTTAAATGTGTTCATCTTAGCTTTCACTTGTATAAAATTTGATTCTTTGAACTGCAGCAATAAAACCCTCAGCTCCTAAGAAGTCTTAAGAGGGTATTCTATATATTCTGCTTTGTTTTATTTTCTGTAAATTTTGTAGGTAAATATGTGCATTAAAAATAAATACTTTATATATAACTCGTGATTGGACTTTTTCTTTATTGTTAAGTTTGTAACTCTGAAAAAAATGTTAAAACATATTGTCTGTATCAGATATAAGCTAGTTCTAGATGAGATATTTTACTTTAGCTCTGTGTCCAAGACAGCAAATTTTAAGTAGCACGTGTAGGTACCCAGTTTATTAGGTTATGATTACTTTTAATATGTCTTATTCATCATAGTCTAATAACACTTGGCTGTTAATCAGGAAATACAGGTTTTGTCATATTGCTCTTTACAAACTTGGATTGCCAGTTTCCTCCAAGAGCATAAAGCTGAAGAAGTATTTTACAGGCCCTTCATCTTTTTTGGAGTCATGAATTCCTTTGAGTGTTTAATAAAAGACTTGACTCCTCCTCTAGGAAAACCCACCTGTGTCTTTGCATGCACTTGGAGGGGACTTCCAGATGCCACATTACTTGGATTCCATGGGCTTCAAAAGAAAACAATCTGTTATAGTCCAGAGATTTTTCATACCTTAACTTCTAGCAGAATAACTCATTTTCCTAAGGAGTATTTGTTCGGAATGGGCCAAGGATCCTTGTGATGTTAGTTTCTAACCACCATCTCTACCTTCTCATCTCCTCTCTCACGTTGTTAGGAGGTGACTGATTGAATCCAATCATCTAATTTTACAGGTGGAGTAGACAGTCTCAGATTTGCAAAGTGTCTACATGAAATCCCCACAACTTACTAAAGACAGAGCCAGCACCAAAATCCAAATCTCTGACTCAGATTGAATGGATCTTTATGTATGTGTGTGAAGTGAATTTATTCAAGAGCCATTATAATATTACTGTTAAGAATGTAGACTGTTAGGCCAAACTGCCTGGATTTGAATCTCAGATCTGCTCCTTGGTAGTTTTGTAACTTCAGCTAAATTATGCAACCTTAGTTTCCTCATTTATTAAGTGGGCATAATGCCAGTTTCTTTGGTACAGAGAGATAATATATAGGATACAGGCATAATGCTAATCTTCCAGGCTTATTTCAAGTCTTAAAGTGTTAATTCATGTAAAGCACTTAAATAGTGCCTAGCTGCAGAGTCAATACTCAGTAAGTGTGTTAACCCAAATCTTTAAGGGGGAAAAAAAAAACGTTGTTACAACTTTGCCCAAAGTCAACATCTTAGTTGAGATAACCATGAGGAAATTTTACCTAATCTTTTGAACCAAGCAAACTCCTGAAAACTGGACTAAAGGCAAAGAGAGGATATTTGGCCTCTCATTCTGAAAATGGTGTTTGGTGTTTTCCTGAAGAACCTCTCTGAAAACATTCAAGCTCGTGACTATCTGATAGTGCTGCTTTTTGAGACGCTCTTTTCTCCTTTAGAACTAGCCATCTTGATTGGCATTTTATAAAGATTTAACAATCCTTCTAACTGACAAATACCCTGCCCTCAGCAACTGAGGTTTCTCTCGCTTCCTGTCCTGTTGAAACCATAGAAGTTTGAGTCTTATTCTTCAGCTCTAAACTTTCTCTATGCTTTTACAAAGGGTAAGTATAATTTCTTTTTTTCCCACCAAAGCTAGGAAGTGCGTCTTGTCTGCTTCATCATGGAACACATTAAAATCTGATGTTTTTAGTGTACCACTGATACCTGCTATGCCAGTCTGACTGTATGAGAGACAGAGAAAAATAAAAAGATATTTGTTACCATATTTTAAAGGGACAGAGAAAAATAAAAAGATATTTGTTACCCTATTTTAAAGTGTGTTCATCACTTTATAGACTCACTTTTACATGGCAAGTGTTTTGCTGGGTATTAATGTGTAAGAAAATTAGCTGGGTGTAGCACACACCCACAGTCTCAGCTACTCAGGAGGCGAAGGTGGGAGGATTGCCTGAGCCTAGGAGTTCAAGGCTGCAGTGAGCTATGACTTGTGTGACTGGACTTCAGCCAGGGTGACAGAATAAGACTGTCTCCAAAAAAAAAAAAAAAAAAATCAAAATGAATTTCTGCCTCTCAGAACCTCAGAACTTGTTATCTGGTGGGGAGTACAGACCAGTGGTCAAGTGGTCAAGCAGTTACCATGCGGTTTAAGTGCTATGAAAAGTAAAAATGTAGGATGCTACAGGAGTCCATGGGAAGAGGATCCAGCCAGACCAGCTTTCCAAAGTAGGTGATTAGCAAACATCTGGTTGCCCTTAGAGGGAGAAGTTTTGCGGGGGAGGGGGCTGTGACAAGAGAAAACGGGAAGGAAGTAGGAACCAGAACATGGCATTTCACGAGGGCAATGGGAAGCCATCAGAGTGTTTTCAGTTAAGGAAGTGACAACTGGATTTGCATTTGTGATGACAGGGCAGGACCTGGGAGGCCAGTTGGGAGTGGCTGCTATAGCCCAGATGAGATATGTGGGCCCCAGAACTACAGTTCAGGGAGTGGAATCAGAACTAAAACCTTTAAAAAAAAAAAAAATCTTTGCCTGGGCTTACCCAAAAACCTCTTAGAGGGCAAATGATAGGTCAGCCTTGGCAAGTGGGGAATTTTTTTAATATTAAAAAAATAATCTGGGTGTGGTGGCTCATGCCTGTAATCCTGGCACTCTGGGAGGCCGAGGCAGGTGGATCACCTGAGGTCAGGAGTTCGAGACCAGCCTGACCAACATGGTGAAACCCCGTCTCTACTAAAATACAAAAATTAGCCAGGCATGGTGGCTAACACCTGTAATCCCAGCTACTCAGGAGGCTGAAGCAAGAGAATCGCTTGAACTTGGGAGGAAGAGGTTGCAGTGAGCCAAGATCGCGCCATTGGACTCTAGCCTGGGCAACAAGAGCAAAACTCTGTCTCAAAAAAAAGGAAAAAAAAAAAACTTTTAATGTCAAATGAATAGGACTTCGCAGAGGACAAAAGAAGAAGCAATTGAGCATAAAGCCTACCACCAGCACCACTTCTTCCATCATATTTAGCCTGTTACAGAAATAAAAGTTCCATGATCACCAATATTTGGGAACTACTACATCCTCCTCCTGGAGATTGTTCATGCTGTAAAGCATATTAAAAGCTCCATGTTGGCTGGGCACGATGGCTAATGCCTGTAATCCCAGCTGCTTGGGAAGCCAAGGCAGGCAGATCGCTTGAGCTCCGGAGGCCGGGGCTGCAGTGAGCTATGATTGTACCACTGCATTCCATCCTGAGCGACAGCGTGACACTCTGCCTCAAACGAATGAATGAATGCATGCATGAATGTCCCGAGTGGCCCTGCAGTAGAGAAACCTGTTAAACTGCCTGCTTTTCTGCCATTTCACCAAAGACTTGTTCACATTATTTGGGGGACAGAGAGTGTTTGTTGTGGTTTCTGTCTGTCCAGTTGCTCTTTTTTAATTGGAGAAGAGGCATGCAAATGTATTGAACATCCCACAGAGAGAATCACAGAGTGGTTGCCTTGCCCAGCTCCCTCTGAGCACCCGTGCTAGATTTGGGGAATGCTGGCTATGTCAGTCCATCCTCTCTCAGGACAACCCAGAAAACTTTGGACTCCTGCATTTGGGACCCAGGCATGCGAGGAGGTGGTAAAGCTGTGTTTCCGTGGCAGGGCACTCAGTGGGACTCAGTGGTGGTGGCATCAGTTTCCTCATCCGACCAGTTCCGTAAGATGGGTTTGGGCATTTTTTTTCTTCTGGAACTTTAGCCTTGAACCAGTCTCTCTAGACCACTCCAAAATCCTGAAGTACCCAATATCCTTTAAATAATTGGCTTTCAGTTTACTCAAAGTCAGCTTCTCTTGCTTGCTTGACTGCTAGAGTGGTACACAGCAGTTGTGTTCCAGGAGCATGCTGTGGAGAGTTGATCTAACAGATGAGAGTGCTTCCAATCAAGCCTCATGCCATCTGGCAGGTAAGAGAGCTCAGGGCCACGTGCAGTGGAAGGACCCAGACTTGGCAGATCAATGTGGATTACAGTCCCATTTCCTCCATTAGCCAGTGGGGCAAGTGACTTATTCTCTCTGAACCTTAATTTCATTTAGGCCTATTAGATAGCTATCTTGCAGAATAGCTAGAAGGATGAAATGAAATAATGTATGTAAAAGATAGCTTTCCAGCTTTTTTTTTAAAATCACAAACTAATTTTTGAGTCGCTATTCTGAGTACTTGTTATAGGTGTATCTTGAGTACCCAAGAGTGCTGGCATCTATGGAAGATGCTCAATTGCTGTTGAACAAATGGATGAATCTTGACTTTGGTATTGAAACTGAGTTTTTATATAAATACGTAAATACACTAAAACATAAATTTTATTTATTTATTTATTTTCAGTTGGGGTCTTGCTCTGTCACCCAGGCTGCCGTGCAGTGGCACAATCATGGCTCACTGCAGCCTCCAACTCCTGGGATCAAGCAATCCTCACACCTCAGCCTCCCAAAGTGCTGGGATTACAGGCTCTCACCATTCCTAGCTAACTTTTTAATTTTTTGTAGCGACAGGGTCTCACTTTGTTGCCTAAGCTGGTCTTGAACTCCTGAGCTCAAGTGATCGTCCCACTTTGGCCTCAGATTTGTAATTTAAGTAACGGTAGAGAAACTAAAATAACTAAGTCTATTGTAAGTTCATTAAGTAAATTAAAAAAGAAATATATCCTTGCTAGAAGATGAGTTTTAAATTCTGTCTCCTACAATTATCAGATTTATTTTTTTTCCTGACCTACCCTGAAAACCATTTAAAAACAAATTGTTCTGGAATGTTTTAAACACATGCAAACATAGAGAGAGTGGTATAATGAACTCCCATCACCCAACTTGAGCAATTATCAACATATAGCCAATCTTGTTTCTTATACAGGTTCAGAATCCTTTATCCAAAATGCTTAGGACAAGAAGTGTTTCAGATTTCACATTTTGGAATATTTGCTTTATGTTTACAGGTTGAGCATTCCAACTCCAAAACTCTCTAATCTGAGTGCTGCAAAACAAGCATTTCCTTTAAGTGTCCGGTTAGCACTCAAAACATTTTGGGCCAGGCATGGTGGCTCATGGCTGTAATCCCAGCACTTTGGGAGGCCGAGGCAAGCGGATCACCTGAAGTCAGGAGTTCAAGACCAGCCTGGCCAACATGGCAAAACCCCGTCTCTACTAAAAATACAAAAATTAGCCAGGCGTGGTGGCAGGTGCCTGTAATCCCAGCTACTTGGGAGGCTGAGGAAGGAGAATCACTTGAACCTGGGAGGCAGAGGTTGCAGTGAGCTGAGATTGTGCCACTGCACTCCAGCCTGGGCGACAGAGTGGACTCTGTCTCAAAACAAAAACGTTTTGAATTTTGGAGCTTTTCAGATTTTCGATTTTCAGTTTTGAGATGCTCAGCCTACCCTATTTCAACTTGCTCCCTCACCCCCACAAAGGATTATTTTGAAGCAAATCACAGACATCACTTGATATAGAAATCTTCCAGTAACTATCTCCAAAAGTTAAGAAAAATTTTACATATAACTACAATACTATATCATACCTGAAACGCTAATAATTTTGTAGCAATTTTATACCAAATATTCTGCTTAAACTCCTCCAACTGTCCCATAAATGTATCCTTTAGAGTTGGGTTATTTGAATTGAGATCCAGAAAAGGATACTTGAATAGTAGCAATTGCACAACCTAGGACCTAGGTTTCTGAAATCCCTGTTTCTGAATTCTATCTGATTACATATGTGAACTCAATTTATGCATATGGAATACACTTTCAATAAATGACATACAGTTAGTGGATGGATGGGTACAGACATTTTTTTTAAAAAAAGGAGAGAGATAACAAAATGACGTACAGTGACTTCTGCTGAGATCTTCCACAATAAACCAGCAGCATTATCATGGTGAACATCACTACCATCTCTTCACGTGCTAACAGCCACATGGGAAATGGGACTCCAGCATGCAAGGCACAACGCATCCTTAGAGAGCACCCAGTCCCGATGACAGCATGGGGTTAGGAAGGAGACCATGAGGAAGAAAGTGGAATGGGTATGTTTAAATGTATGCAGCGATAGACAAAGATGTTGGACATTAGGGGAAAAATAATGACAAATTGATGGAAAACCAGGATAAGAAAAAAAAGGCGATTACTAATTCCAAGAACAAAGAAAGGAATTGTGGTTTAGTGGGCTTCTTAGTTCAGCAGTGAGCAAAATTTGCATTGTCCTAGAAATTTAGAGTGATTTAATAGAGAATTCCGGTACAATTTTGTGGGGCAAAGGAGAAATGTGGGAGAGAGTTTTGGAGAGCTAAGTCCTTACCTATCAGGCCAGCAAATCAAAAGATAATATATGATACTGATAAATCAGAAAGCGTGATAGCTTATCATTTGGGAATACAGAGATAATAACAGGAGAAACAGAAGGGGTCGGAGTGTTTACTTCCCATAGAGGGCTTGGGATTCTAGAGAAGGCAAGAACCTGCTGTTCTGTTCTTTTCTTCTTTCTTTTCTTTTCTTTCTTTCCTTTCTTCCTTCTTTTTCTTCTTTCTTTTCTTTTCTTTCTTTCTTTCCTTTCTTTCTTCCTTCTTTTTCTTCTTTTTTTTCTTTCTTCCTTCCTTCCAGAATTTCTTTCCTTCTCTTCTCTTCTCTTCCTCTTCTCTTCGACTGCGTCTTGTTATATTGCCCAGGATGGTCTTCAACTCCTGGATTCAAACGGTCCTCCTGCCTCTGCCCCCCAAGTACTGTGATTAGAGGCATGAGGCACCACACCTGGCCCTTAACTTTTTAAATCATGTATGCACGTGAAATACTTTTTTCTCAGTGAGGTGCCTAAGTGTGAGTTTGCTAGGTGGAGTAGTTTATTTCACAAGTGGGGAAACAGGTATAGAAAGCATATTGCCCAATTTGGGAACCCTTCCCCTGCTCTCATATTTAGTCATTTTTCTATGTTCCTCCTTTTACCTGGTGTTATCTATTAATTAAAACTTTGATTTCCTTAATTTACTAGCTCTTAGTAGCTCTATCTGATAGTAGCTACTAGCTGATAGTAGCTCTATCAGCAAATTCAGTAGGAGACAGTGTATTGCAATTATTACAAACTAAACTCTGGAGCCTGACTATGTAGGTTAAATTCTGTTTGTCACTTACAAAAATCACGTGCTGTGCTCTTAGGCAAGAGGCTTGCCCTCTCTGTGCCTCAGTTCTCCCATCTCTAACACGGAGCTGTTGACATTGTGTGGCATGGTTGGTAGATTTAGTAGCTTAATATATGCAAAGCTCTTAGAGCAGCATTTGGCACATATCGAGGGATCAATAAATAGTGGCCGGCCGGGCGCGGTGGCTCACGCCTGTAATCCCAGCATTTTGGGAGGCCAAGGCAGGATCATCACTTGAGCCCAGGAGTTCCAGACCAGCCTGGGCAACATGGTGAGACCCCATTTCTACAAAAAAATACAAAAAAATTAGCCGAGTGTGGTGGTGCATGTCTGTAGTCCCAGCTACTCAGGAGGCTGAGGCCGGAGGATTGCTTGAGTCCAGGAAGCTGCAGCAAGCTGTGGACAACAAAGTGAGACCTGCTGTCAAAAAAATATACATACATACATACATACATACATACATACATATTGACCATCAGCAGGAAGCTCACTCTCCAAACAGGGAGTGCAACCCATTAAAATTAACAACGAATCTGGATGCCGGGCGCCGTGGCTCATGCCTGTAATCTCAGCACTTTGGGAGGCTGAGGCAGGCAAATCACCTGAGGTCAGGAATTCAAGACCAGCCTGGCCAACATGGTGAAACCCTGTCTTGACTAAAAATACAAAACTCAACCTGGAGTGGTGGCGGACGCCTGTAATCTCAGCTACTCCAGAGGCTGAGGCAGGAGAATTGCGTGAACCCAGGAGCCAGAGGTTGCAGTGAGCCGAGATCACACCATTGCACTCCAGCCTGGGTGACAAGAGCGAAACTCAAAAAAAGAAAAAAAACCAAAAACGAAAAAAAAAAACAACGAATCTGGGGAACTAATCAAAACAGAGACAGGTTCTGTGGGCTTTAAAAAAATCAACTTTAGGCTGGACGCAGTGGCTCACACCTGTAATCCCAACACTTTGGGGGGCCGAGGCAGGCAGATCACGATCACGAGGTCAGGAGTTTGAGACCAGCCTGACCAACATGGTGAAACCCCGTCTCTACTAAAAATAGAAAAATTAGCCGGGCATGGTGGCACACGCCTGTAATCCCACCTACTCAGGAGACTGAGGCAAAAGAATCGCTTGAACCCAGGAGGTGGAGGTTGCAATGAGCGGAGATCGTGCCACTGCACTCCAGCCTGGGTGACAGAGTGAGACTCTGTCTCAAAAAAAAAAAAAAAAAAAACTTTACATATAATAAAATGCATCCATTTAAGCTGTACAGTGTGAATTTTAGTAAATGTGGCACCTGTGTAACAATCACCATGAGCAAGATGCAGAATATTGTTATCCTCTTAAACGTTTCCTTTGCCAGGTCCCACCCCCAATTCCTGGCCTCGGGAAAATACTGTCCTGCTTCTATCACTGTAGATTTGTCTTTTCTAGATTTTCATGCAAATGACATCATAGTATAATAATGCAGTACAATAATCCTGTCTCTGGCTTCTTTTGTTCAACAGGCTTTTGATTTTTTTTTTTTGTCAACATGCTTTTGAGATTTTATCTATGTTAACACGCATGTTGGCAATTTGTTCCTTTCTTTGTTTATCCATTTACGGATTGATGGGCATTTGGGTTGTTTTCAGTTTGGGGCTATAATTCATAAAGGTTCTATGAATAATCATGTACAAGTCTGTGTGGATATATCACTTCCCTTGGGAATGCCATGGAGTGGAATTGCTGGGTCATGAGCTGCCTATGTATGTAGCTTCAACAGTGGATCATGCCTGTAATCCCAGCACTTTGAGAGGCCGAGGCAGGAGGATCGCTTGAGACCAGGAGTTGGAGACCAGCCTGGGCAGCACAGAGAGACCTCATCTCTACAAAAAATTTTTAAAAACATTAGCCAGGCATGGTGGTGTGCGCCTGTAGTCCTAGCTACTCAAGAGGCTGAGATGGAAGGATCACTTGGGCACAGGAGTTCAAGGCTATGGTGACTATGGTGAGTATGATGGCGCCACTGCTCTCCAGCCTGGGCGGCAGAGTGAGACCTTGTCTCAAAAACAAACAAACAAACAAACAAATAAAACCAAAAGAATGTCCTTCAAATGTTTCTTAGCACACTGGAGCAAAAGAAGTTAATGCCTGTTTTAATCACAACCACTTAAGGTGTGTCACTTTCCAAAGTTCGGATGAGTTAGATGGGATTTTGGGTAATATGTGTTAGGATTAAATCCTACCAAGCAGGGTGGTAGTGAGGGTGTGGAAAGGGTGAGTTGAGCGGGCGAGGCTGCGAGAGGGCAACTTAACTCTCCTCCTGTCACCCCAGTGTGGGACGGCGTGAATGTGGGGTGGAAGGGATGTCAGTCTTCTCTGAGGCGGCGCTGGAGAAGGAGCTGTCGGGGTTAAGCAATGCGCAGCAGAGCATGCAGACCTGGTCCCTGTGGCTCATTCATCACAGCAAGAAGCACCCGGGCCCGTGGTCACCGCATGGTAGCTGGAGCTGCAGAGAGCAAAGCCAAACAGGAAGCTTACTTTTCTTACCTTGCCAGTGAGACCACCTGGGCAACATGGTGAAACCTTGTCTCTACTAAAATACAAAGCAAAAGGAAGGGGCCGGAGCTTACAAAAGATTTGCACTGGTTATAGTGGAAGCTTTTAAGCATGTTTCAAGTGAAACTGATGAGAGTTGTAAGAAGCACAGAAGCACATTGGAAGAGTGTTGTCTATTTGGGAAGAAAGGTCTGTTTATGCAAATGATGTATTTAGAGGCCAGGCGTGGTGGCTCACGCCTATAATCTAAGCACTTTGGGAGGCCAAAGTGGGAGGATCACTCAAGCTCAGAAATTTGAGACCAGCCGGGGCAACATAGCTAGACTCCATCTCTAAAAAAAAAAAAAATCAGCTGGGCATGGTGGTGTGCTCCAGTGGTCCCAGCTACTCGGGAGGCTGAGGTGGGAGGATCACTTCCACCCAGGAGGTTGAGGCTTTAGTGAGCCATGATCGCACCACTGTACTCCAGCCTGGGCGACAGAGCAAGACCCTGTCTCAAAAAAACCACAAACAAGCAAACAAACAAGAAACAATGAAACAATGTATTAGAGCAACTTAAGCTCTGTGTGGTGATAAGAAGCCTAGGAAGCAAATTTATAAACAGATAAAGATGAATGAAAATAAAAACTGTTCTTCTCTGGGATCTGCAAATGAGCCACCACCACAGACTCTAAATCTCGTGACAGCATTACAAAATCTAGAAAATGCAGCCTTGGGTGATGCAGGAGTTCACTAGAGGATCACTTTTTTGCCTGCTGTAGACCAAGAAGTATCTCTACTAGATAAAATAGCAGATAAAGAACCTGGAGAAAGGCTTTCTAAAATGATGGATGCATGTATGTTGCCAGCAGATTACAATGGCAGAATGGCAGCAGAAATAGATGAGGGGAAGCAACTCACTCGAATGTTAGCAGATTTTCTTCATTGTCCAATGGAAGCCCTCGCAGAGAAAGCATAAATTGGAAGAATACAAGTGCAAGTGAGCCAGAGTTTCCCTGGTGTGCAAAGAATTCAGGTCCCCGATCCAGAGCCTGTCAGATTAATCTTGACTACCCAATGTCACTGGCAGCCGCATGCACCTGCCCTTTGCAGGGACATCTACAGTGAAGATTAATGGACCAGCCTCTTTCCCGGTCCCAAGACTGCAAGAGGTGGAGACAGGTGGATAGTCCTGTAGTGGTATTTTTGCATATTTTTGAGAGAGAAACACTAGCAAAATAAATGACAATTAGTAAAAATGTTTGAAATGTTGGTTTGTTTACTATTTTCTTTATAAGTTAACATGAATTAGTTTTGGGGTGGTGGGGTTTTGACACAGTGTCTTGTTGTGTCATCCAGGCTGGAGTACAGTGGCATGCACCTGACCTATGACTTCGTTTAAACAAAGTGATGGGCTGGGCCTGTAGTCCCAGAACTTTGAGAGGCCGAAGTGGGCAGATCACTTGTGGCCAGGAGTTAAAGACCAGCCTGGGAAACATGGCAAAACACCATCTCTACTAAAAATACAAAAATTTGCTGGGCATGGTGGCACACACCTGTAGTCCCAGTTACTTCAGAGGCTGAGGAAGGAGAATCTCTTGAACCCAGGAGGTGGAGGTTGCAGTGAGCCAAGATGAGCCACTGCACTCTAGCCTGGGCAACAGAGCGAGACTCTGCCAAAAAAAAAAAAAGATGATCTCTGTGTATTAATCAGCTCACAAATAGTGATTATTTTCAAAAGGTCTTTTGGTAATTTTTTTTTTATCCAGGGCCTTGTGAGAAATCTCATGTTTCTGTTTCCTCATATATTTTCAATTGTTTTTCTTTATTTTCTTCAGTGTCTAATCACTGTATACTATGTAATTCCTAAAGGGAAGGAACCAATCAGAGTTGGTTGAGACTCTATTTTGGTATCGTTAGGACTGGATTGTAGATGAGACTAAATGTCCCAACATAATCTTATGTTGGAACAAAGATTATCCCTCTTTTCCCCAAACAAAATATGGATTCTGTCTCCATGCCTTTGATTCCATAATTCCCTAGAGATTGGTCATGTAACATTAAACATGGAGGTCATTAGCCGGTCATGGCAGCACGCACCTGTAGTCCCAGCTACTTGGGAGTCTGAGGCAAGAGAATCACTTGACCCCAGGAAACAAAGGTTGCAGTGAGCCAAGATCATGCCACTGCACTCCTAGCCTGGGTGACAGAGGGAGACACTGTCTCAAAAAAATAAAAAATAAAAAAATAAAAAATAAATCCTACCAAGTAGGTGTGACTTGTTGTTGTTGAAACCTAGGTGGTTTTTGTTTTTGTTTGTTTGTTTGCTTTTCAGTGTTCATCTTGGCTAAACAGCCAACAAAGCAGGTAATAGATTTCAAAGGTAAAGATGTAAATATTCTACAACACAAAATTGATCTGGCTCAAGCAAAGCTATCAGCTTTGTAAAAAAAAAAAAAAACCTTTTACTATCATATTTTTATTTTTATTTTTTAGAGATGGAATTTCTGTTGCCCAGGTTGGAGTGCAGTGGCACAATCATAGCTCTCTGCAGCCTTGAAATCCTGGGTTCAAATGATCCTCCTGCCTCAGCCTCCTGAGTACTTGGGACAACAAGTATGTGCCACCACACTGGCCTCTTTTTTTTTTTTTTTTTTTTTTTTGCATAGATACAGGGTCTTGTCATATAACCCAGGCTGCTCTCAAACTCTTGGCTTCAGATGACCCTTCCACCTTGGCCACCAAAAGTGCTGGGATTACAGGCATGAGCCACCACACCTGGCCAAAAAATTTTTTAAATATTAGTTCTCTATTTGAAAAAAGTTTTAACCTCTTAGTACAAAATAAATAATTGAAAGGCTATATCAGCAATTGGTTTATTTTTGTCCCTTTTGCTATTGGTTAAATAAGTGAAATGAAAATTGTAAGTCTGAATGTTTTATAGAGAGGTTATCTGGTTACCTATTTCCTTTTCTCCTTTTTTTTTTTTTTTTTTTTTTGAGACAGAGTCTCACACTGTTGCCCGGGCTGGAGTGCAATGGCGCAACCTTGGCTCACTGCAACCTCTGCCTCCCCGGTTCACGTGATTCTCCTGCCTCAGCCTCCCGAGTAGCTGGGATTACAGGTACACACCACCACGCCTGGCTAATTTTTTGTATTTTTAGAAAAGACAAGGTTTCACTATGTTGGCCAGACTGGTCTCCAACTTCTGACCCTGTGATCGGACTGCCTTGGCCTCCCAAAGTGCTAGGATTACAGATGTGAGCCACCGCGCCCAGCCAAGGTTATCTATTTCTTTTGCAAGTATAATGTGGCATCAACAGACATGATTCTTTAGAGTTTACCTAACTTTGCATGTTTTATCACATTTGACACAGATTCCCTAAGTAATCAATTGTAAACATTTTATTTATTTATTTGAGATACGTAAAACAAGCCATCTGTTACTTTTTTTTTTTTTTTTTTTTTTTTTAGATAGAGTCTTACTCTGTTGCCCAGGCTGGAGTGCAGTGGCAGGATCTCAGCTCACTGCAACCTCTGCCTCCTGGCATCAAGTGACTCGCCTGCCTCAGCCTCCTAAGTAGCTAGGATTACAGGCGCTCAATACCACACCCGGCTAATTTTTTTGTATTTTTAGTAGAGATGGAGTTTCACCTTGTTGGTCAGGCTAGTCTCAAACTCCTGACCTCAAATGATCCACCCACCTTGGCCTCTCAAAGTGCTGGGATTACAGGTATGAGCCACCACGCCCGGTCACTCCATCAGTTACTTTTAAAAAATCCTTACTTCCAGGCTGGGTGTGGTGGTTCACGCCTGTAATCTCAGCACTTTGGGAGGCCAAGTTGGGAGGATCACTTGAGCCCAGGAGTTCGAGACCAGCCTGAGCAACATGGCAACACCCTGTCTCTACCAAAAATGCAAAAATTAGCCAGGCATGGTGGTGCCCACCTGTAGTTCCAGCTACTCAGGAGGGCTGAGGTGGAAGAATGGTTTCTGTCTGGCAGGTGGAAGCTGCAGTGAGCTGAGATCATGCCTTGCACTCCAGCCTGGGCAACAGAGTCAGACCCTGTCTCAAAAATATTAATTAAAAAGAAAAAATAAATAAAAATTTCTTACCTCCATTGTTACCTGAAAATTTGATAAATCCTGATTTTGATGTAGCATGGAAGATAATGCAAAAACAAAAATACATAATCACTAATATTAATAGTTACTTATTTAAAAACTGAAGTGATATTAGCCCATTGATCAGTTAAAAATAAATAAAACAAGTACAAAAATAGAGTAACCTTTAGAGGAATCAGGGCTTGCCTTGACATAATTAAAACCAGATGGGAATGCAAGCAGCTAAAGCAATATACAAAGAACAAAGTTTGGAGGCATCTATCTGACTTCAAAAGATTCTACGAGGCCATAATAAACGAAACAGCATGATATTGGCATAAAAACAGACACACAGACCAACTGAACAGAATAGAGAATTCAGAAGTAAATCCACATATTTACAGCCAACTGATTTTTTTTTCTGTGTGAATTCCGCCACAAACAGCCAACTGATTTTTGACAAAGGTGACAACAACATACACTGGTGAAAGGACACTCTCAATAAACGGTGCTGGGAAATCTAGATATCCCTATGCAGAAGAATGAATCTAGACCCCTCTCTCACCACGTACAAAAAATCAACTAAAAATGAATTAAAGGCTTAAATGCAAGACCTGAAACTATAAAACTACTAGAAAAAGCATAGGGAAAATGCTTCAGGACATTGGTCTAGGCAAAGATTTTATGCCTAAGACTTCAAAAGCACAGGCAACAAAAACAAAAACAGACAAAAGAGGCTATATTAAACTAAGAAGAAAAGGAAACAATCAACAGAGTAAAGAGACAACCTGTAAAATATGAGAAATTATTTCCAAACCATTCATCCAACAAGGGACTAATATCCAGAATATACAAGGGACTAATATCCAGAATATACAAGGAACTCAAGCAACTCAACAGCAAAAAAACAAATAATCCCATTAAAAAGTGGCAAAGGCTGGGTGTGGTGGCTCACACCTGTAATCCCAGCACTTTGGGAGACTGAGGCAGGCAGATCACAAGGTCAGGAGATTGAGTCCAGCATGGCCAACATGGTGAAACCCCATCTCTATTAAAAACACAAAAAAATTAGCCAGGCGTGGTGGCATGTGCCTTTAGTCCCAGCTACTCTGGAGGCTGAGGCAGGAGAATTGCTTGAACCTGGGAGGTGGAGGTTGCAGTGAGCCAAGATCATGCCACTGCACTCCAGCCTGGGTGACAGAGTGAGACTCCATCTCAAAAAAAAAAAAAAGGAGGGGTAAAGACCACATGAATAGGCACATCTCAAAAGAAGACACACAAATAGCCAACAGGTATATGCAAATATGCTTAACAGCACTAATCATCAGATAAATGTAAATCAAAACCACAATGAACTATCATCTCACTCCAGTTAGAATGGCTATTATCAAAAAGACAATAAATAAATAAATAAATAACAAATGCTGGCAAGGATGTGGAGAAAAGGGAACTCTTATATAATTTTGGTGGGAATGTAAATTAGTACAGCCATTATGGAAAACAGCATGAAGTTTCCTCAAAAAACTGAAAATAGAACTACTGTATAATCCAGCAATTTCACCACTGTGTATTTATCCAAAGGAAAGGAAATCAGCATATCAAAGGTATACCTGCTCCAGCCATGTTTATTGCAGGACTATTCACAATAGCCAAGTTACAGAATCAACCTAAGTATTCATCAACCAATGAGTGGATAAAGAAAATGTGGTATATATACACAGTGGAATACTATTCAGCCACAAAAAAGAATAAAATCCTATCACAGCAACGTGGATGGAATTGGAGGTCATTATTTTAAGTGAGATAAGCCAGGCACACAAAGACAAATATTGCATGTTCTCATTCACATGTGGAAGCTAAAAAAGTTGCTCTCATGGAAGTGGAGAGTAGAATGATGGTTACCAGGGGCTGGAAGGAAGTAGGGGAGGGAGCTTGGTTAATGGGTGCAAACACATAGTCAGATAGAAAAAACAAGCTCTAGTGTCCAGTATCACAATAGGGTAACTGTAATTAACAACAATTTATCGTACATTTCAAAATAGCTACAAGGAGAATATTGAACGTTCCCAATGCAAAGAAATAATAAATGTTTGAGATGATGAACATGCTAATTACCATGCTCTGAGCACTATACATTATATGTATTGAAACATCCCTATGTACCCCATGAATATACACAATTATTTCTTGTCAATATAAAAAATCAAAATTTAAAACAAAACAAATAAAAATTGCTAGAAGAGATTTCAAATATTCCCAACACAAAGAAATGATGAATGTTTGAGGTGATGGATATGCTAATTACCCCGATTTGATTATTACATTGTACGGATTATATGTATCAAAGTATCACATGTACCCCATAAATATGCACAATTATTATGTATCAATTTTTTTAAAAACTACATGGGAATGTACTAGCTCTTCAGCAGAGACTAGAAGTTCCTAGACGGAGAGTGGGGTCATTGATTGCTGAGCAAAGGAAACAAGAAACTACAAATAGAAAGGAAATGCTGCCCACCTGGGAGCAAAGAAAAGAAACTGCAATATTAAGTGAGTTTACCTGGAAAATGATAATTTTTAATTTAATTAATTAATTAATTTTTTGAGACAGGGTTTCATTCTTGTTGCCCAGGCTGGAGTGAAATGGCTCGATCTTGGCTCACTGCAACCTCTGCCTCCCAGGTTCAAGCGATCCTCCTGCCTCAGCCTCCCAAGTAGCTGGAATTACAGGTGCCCACCACCACACCCGGCTAATTTTTTAAAATATATTTTTAGTAGAGATGGGGTTTCACCATGCTGGCCAGGCTGGTCTGGAACTCCTGACCTCAAGTGACCCACCTGCCTCAGCCTCCCAAAGTGCTACGATTACAGGCGTGAGCCACCGTGCCTGGCAGAAAATCATAATTTTTTTAAAGTGGAAAATTTTATAAGAATACTACAAATGTTGGCTGGGTGCAGTGGCTTATGCCTGTAATCCCAGCACTTTGGGAGGCCGAGGCGGGTGGATCACAAGGTCAGGAGTTCGAGACCAGCCTGGTCAATATTGTGAAACCCTGTCTCTACAAAAAAATCAAAAACTTAGCCAGGTGTGGTGGTGCACACCTGTGATCCTAGCTACATGGGAGGCTGAAGCAGGAGAAGTGCTTGAACCTGGGAGGTGGAGGTTGCAGTGAGCCTAGATTGCGCCACTGCACTCCAGCTTGGGCAACAGAGCGAGACTCTTTCTCAAAAAAAAAAAAAAGAAAAAAAAAGAATTCTACAAATGTCATTTTGGGAGTCTGAGGCAGGAGGATTGCTTCAGGCCAGGAGTTCAAGACCAGCCTGGGCAATAAAGAGAGATTCTGTCTCTACAAAAAAATCAAAAACTTAGCCAGGCGTGGTGGCGCACACCTGTGGTCCTAGCTACATGGGAGGCTGAAGCAGGAGGATCACTTGAACCCAGGAGGTCAAGGCTGCAGTGAGCCATGTTTGCACCACTGCACTCCAACCTAGTCAACAGAGTGAGACCCTGTCTCAAAAAAAAAAAAAAAATGGTCCTAGTGTGGTGGCGTGGGCCTATAGCAAGGGGATTACTTGAGCCCAGGAGTTCAAGGCTGCAGTGAGCTATGATCACAGCACTGTACTCCAGCCTGGGTGACAGAGTGAGACCCTGTCTCTTAAAAAAAAAAAAAAAAAGTTCTACAAATGTAAGATCTTTGTACTACATGAAATACTTGTGCTGCAACTAACCTGGTGTCCAGATACCAAATGAGTCTTCTGAGAGCCAAAGGCAGCCACTGGGGGGTCACAGGTGGGCATGTGGGAAATAGAAAAGGATGGGGACTGTGTGGAGGAGGCCAGAATTGCATCGTATTTCTTCTAAAAAAATTTCATAATTTAAAAAATTATGTAAGTACTACCCAATCATTTTGGAAAACCCAGAAAATACAAACAGGGCAATAATCAGACTTTTTAAAAAGTATCTGGCCCAGCGTGGTGGCTCACGCCTGTAATCCCAACACTTTGGGAGGCCAAGGTGGGTGGATCACCTGCGGTCAGGAGTTGGAGACCAGCCTGGCCAACACGGTGAAACCCTGTCTCTAAAAATACAAAATGTAGCTGGCCGTGGTGGCACGTGCCTGCAGTCCCAGCTACTCGGGGGGCTGAGGCAGGACAATCACTTGAACCTGGGAGGCGGAGGTTGCAGTGAGCTGAGATCACACTGCTGCGCTCCAGCACTCCAGTCTGGGAAACAAGAGCGAAACTCCATCTGAAAAAAAATATATATAGATATAGATATAGATATAGATATAGATATATGGATATATATAGATAGATATAGAGATATCTATATAGATATATCTATCTATATATCTCTATATCTATCTATATATATCTATATCTATCTATATCTATATCTATATCTATATATATCTATATCTATATCTATATATATATCTATATATATCTATATATATATATCTCCTTTAATTCTGCCCAGAGGCAAACACAGGAAACATTTTGGTACATACGCTTTGTTTCGGTTTTTTTTTTTTTCCATTTTTACAAATGTGAAAGGTCCAGGTATATATACTTCCATGAGTTTTTCTCTGTTTTGTGTGTTTCCAAAAGTGTGATTATGCTATTTATGCTGCTTTGTAACCTGCCTTTTTACTTCATAGTGCCTGGTGAACACCTTTCTTTCCTTATGGATAAACAGTATCAAAGGATGGTTTTCAAGTTAAAATTTTGACCTTCGTATACACATAGGGTGAGCATGTACATGTTCTTTAATGAAGGAACTGGGAGGATGGTAAAACTGGTTCAACAGAGAAACAGAAATTTATATAGTCAGTGTGGAAAAATGTATTTAAATGGGATTTCTAGGTTAGATATGAAACTGGTTAATATTCTACAGGGCAACGAAATTCTATCCTTTGGGGTTATCTTTTCTGCTGGACAGAAATAATTTGCATCTCAACTGGACAAAATCAAAATCATTTGCAATTTATTCATATATAAATTCACATCTAATTTCATAGAGTCTAGGCCCCTAAGTAAATGGTCAGTCAAACAAAAACATATATTTCTCTAGAGCAATGATTCTCAACTAAAGGTGATTTTGCCTCCCAGAGGACATTTGGCAATGGCCAAAGACATGTTTGGTTGTCACCACTGGGGAGTGTTAGTGGCATCTGGTGGGTAGAGGCCAGGGGTGCTGTTAAAACATTGTACAATGCACAGGACAGCCTCCACAACAAAGAATTATCCAGCCCAGACTGGCAACCTCCACAACAGAGAATTATCCAGCCCACACTGTCAGTGGTACCCACCTCTACCTATTAGATGCTAGTAGCACCCCCACAGTTGTGACAACCAAAATGTCTCCAGACATTGCCAAATGTCCCACAGGGAGGCAAAATTGCCCCCAGGTCAGACGCACTGCTTTAGAGTTGCACTTTACAAATGCATCGCATCTAGTCACGTGTAGCTATTTATTTTTATTTTTATTTTATTTTTATTTACTTTTTAATGTCATAATGTTAATGAACACCAGGGGTTCAGTCTAGGTCCTAGGCTTGATATACAGAAAGCCAATCACTGAGACAACAAGTATTGCAGGGAAGAAAGCTTTCTTCAGGTGACATCACTGGGAGAGACCGGAAATAAACCTCAAATCCATTCCTCCTCCCTGACTAAAGGTAGGTGTTTACACATCATGGGAGGATAACAGGAGCAGCAAGGAAGAGGAGTTGGTCAACAGGCAGCAGGGGCATCCCACAGAAGAAACGTACGTTTCTCAAGCTTCAGTTCTATGGACATCTGGCTTGTTGGAAAATTGGGCAGGCATCAACAACAAAAAATGTTTTTAATTAACCAAAATTGAAAATTTAGTTCCTAGCAGTAGCCTTACTTCAAGTGTTCAGTAGCCAATTGTGGGCCAAGTGCAGTGGCTCACTCCTGTAATCTCAGCACTTTGGTAGGTCAAGTCAGGAGGATTGCATGAGGGCAAAAGTTTAAGACCAGCTTGGGCAACAGGGTGAGAGACCTCATCTCTACAAAAAAAAAGAAAATAAAAAAATAAAACAACAACAACAAAATAGCCATGTTTGGCTAGTAGCTACTCTACTGGGCAGGGCAGGCAGAGAACATTTTCCTCTTTGTGGAAAACTCTGCTTGATGGTACTGCCTTAGAGAAATAATCATTTCATGGGTCTGTTAGACATTGGGACAATGTAATATTGAAAAAAATATGCAGGTCAGGTGCAGTGGCTCATGCCTTTAATCCCAGGACTTTGGGAGGCTGAGGCATGCAGATCAGTTGAACTCAGGAGTTCGAGACCAGTCTAGGCAACATGGTGAAACCCCATCTCTACAAAAAAAAAAAAAAATCAGCTGGGCATGGTGGTGGGCACCTGTAGTCCTAGCTACTCGGAAGGCTGAGGTGGGAGGATGGCTAGAGCCCAGGAGGTGAAAGTTGCAGTGAGCCAAGACCACACCACTGCATTCCAGCCTGGGCAAGAGAGCAAGACCCTGTCTCAAAAAAAGATTTAAAAAACATATATAAAGAAAAGAAACAGAAAAAATGTGCAGCTATCCTTTTTGCTTATTTCCAAGTTTTGGATAATTTTTCTTTTTTTCTTTTTCATCAGCACTTTTATTTTTCCTTACGCACTCGTGTTGTTGGGGCCTAATGTTCTCACATAACTGTAAGAAACCAAAATTTGTTGTCATCTCTTAAAGAATTGAGAATTGCATACACACACACACACACACACACACACACACACACAAACCTTACGTAAATTAAAGGGATGAATACATTTACAGGTGTAAATGCAAACCACTTCCAACTCAAGGCAAGTAACAGCCATGGTATTCCGGCAGGAAAACATCAGCTAAGAAAGGAAACTGGGTCCTATGGCTTGGACTTTCCAACCCTGACAGACCAGCAGAACAGAAACAACTGGTTCAGGAGCCCTTGCCAGCCTCTAGAGAAATCCCAGAACACTCAGCCCTAACACATTAACACCCTGCACTCGTGGGAGACTGCTGGCCACGCAGACCCACCAAGCCATGGACTTGTCTTCCACAAGCACGTTCTTACCTCAGCCACAAAGTGACCAAGCCACATGTACTAAGGGTTGAGATCCAAGATATGTACAGAATACTTAACAAATACCAAGGGAACAGTTAACTTGCATATGAGGTCAAAATCAGCAACAAGTTCTACAATCCAGTGCTGATATCAGATACAAGCTTCAAGGACGAATTTCTTTTTGAAGGCTTATTCCAGTTTCATGAGGCTAGCATGGGGTGTATGCATTTGCCAGGGGCAAATTTATTCTTCTGAATTAATCCACGCCACAAATGCTAGGCATCTGCTCGCAGTCCATTTAGAAGCATTTGCGGTGGATGATGGAGGGGGCTGACTCCTCGTACTCCTGCTTGCTAATCCACATCTGCTGGAAGGTAGACAGGGAGGCCAGGATGGAGCCGCCAATCCACACCATGTACTTGTGCTCAGGGGACTCGATGATTGTGATCTTCATGGTGCTGGGCGCCAGAGTGGTGATCTCCTGCATCCTGCCCGTGATGTCCAGGTACACGGTGGTGCCGCAGGACAGCATCATCTTGGCCTACAGGTATTTGTGGATGTCCACGTCACACTTTACGATGGAACTGAAGGTGGTCTTGTGGATGCCGGGGGTTCCATGCCCAGGAAAGAAAGCTGGAAAGTTGCCTCTGGACACCAGACCCACTGGCTGCAGATGGTGATGACCTGGCCGTCGGGTGGCTCATAGCTCTTCTCCAGGGACGAGAACACGGCGGTGGCCAGCTCCCGCTTGATGTCCGGGGTAACGTAGCACAGCTTCTCCTTGATGTCACGCACGATCTCCCACTCGGCCGTGGGGTGAAGCTACAGGTGAAGCTGTAGCCACACTCGGTGAGGATCTTCATGAGGTAGTTGGTTAGGGGAGATGGGCACCGTGTGGGCGACCCCATCTCCAGAGTCTGTGACAATGCCACTGGTGTGCCCAGAGCACTAGAGGGACAGCACGGCATGGATGGCCACACACATGGCCAGGGTGTTGAAGGTCTTAGACATGATCCAAGTTATCTTCTCTCTGCTAGTCTTGGGGTTCAGGGGGGCCTCAGTCAGCAGCACTGGGTGCTCCTCTGGGCCACACGCAGTTTGTTGTAGAAGGTGTGGTGCCAGATCTTCTCCATGTCATCCCGGTTCGTGACCATGCCCTGCTCGATGGGATATTTCAGGGTCAGGATGCCGTACTTGCTCTGGGCCTCGTCGCCCACATAGGAGTCCTTCTGGCCCATCCATGCCCACCATCATGAGCTGGTGCCCGGGGCACCCGACAATGGAGGGGAACATGGTTCAGGGGGCATCGTCCCTAGCAAAGCCAGCTTTGCACCTGCCAGAGCCATTGTCAATGATGAGCACGATGATCTCTTCTTCCATCGCCATCGTGGAGAAGTGGGTGGCTGAGCAGCGGGAGGACGTGGTGTGTGGGCTAGTGGCAGCGAGTGAGTAATAATTTCTTCTACAAGACCTTTGTTAAAGGCAGCATAGAGCTGCAAGGCTAGGTAGACTGTAAACACCATGACATCATGGACTGGAGCTTGGTTCTCTCATTATCCCTAGCACCTGCTGCAGGGACTGATACCTGGCAAGCACTCAATTATAAATATCTGCTAAGTGAATGAATGAATGGGGTGAAATTCGGTGGGTAGCAGGTCCCTTTGCAGTGACTTCCTTGGGTTGGCTGTCAGCAGTTATGCAATTGTCACACCTATCTCAGCAAGTTCTGAGGACCAAGTGGGGGATGACCAGCAACAGTGCCTATCCCAGGCTCTGACACCTGCTCAGGAGGCACCCAACCGGCGATTTTCCTTCCTTTCTTGAAATCATCAAAATGGTTCCCAGGCCTCTAATAGTTCAAAAACCCTTACCAAGTCTATGTAAATAAAGAAAACTTCCCTTGTTCAGACAGCTTGTTAGTGGCAGAACTGGAACTAGAGACCCAGTGTCTAATCATCTTGCAGATGACTTTACCAGCAGTGACATTCCTTGTTGGTGACTACTGAGTCACTCTATGTAGGGCCAGCTGAGACAGAGGACAGTAACCACGAGGAGGGAGTGGACACACCAGGGACATTAATTCAGCGAAGTGCCAGGCACTGCTAATTCAGAGGCTAGTGTGGGCAGCTCACATGTATACATTTTTTGTTTTTTGAAACAGGGTCTCACTCCATCACCCAGGCTGGAGCGCAGTGGTACAATCACAGCTCTCTGCAGCCTTAAACTCCTGGGCTCAAGTGATCCTCCCACTTCAGCCTCTGGAGTAGCTGGGACCACAGGCTTGTGCCACAATGCCTGGCTAATTTGTTGTATTTTTTGTAGAGACGGGATTTGCCACAATGTCCAGGCTGGTCTTGAACTCCTGGGCTCAAGCGATCCGCCCACCTTGGCTTCCCAAAGTGCTGGGAATACAGGCATGAGCCACCGTGCCTGGCCTCACACGTATACCTTTGATGACAACTCATGGACAATTACTTTTTTCTTGTTTGGGACAGGGTCTGTCACCCAGGCTGCAGTGCAGTGGTATGATCCTAGCTCGCTGTAGCCTCCAACTTCTGGGTTCAAGTGATTTTCCTGCCTCAGCCTGCTGAGAACCTGGGACTACAGGCGTGCACCACCACACCTGGCTTCATGAACAATTCTGAGAGAGGTACAGGGCACATAAAGTACACGGCTGGCCCAAGGGTGCAGCATCTGCTGGGGCAGCAGGAAATGGAGGACAGTAGGCCAGGCCCCAGGGGTTGACCATCTTTTGGGTTTATATTTCTCATTCTTCCCACAATGAGTCCCTAAAGCTCACAGGAACTGTAAGTGGATCAGAGACTGTACTAGAATGGCGATGATTAACGCCATTGTGAGTTATGGAAGCTTGCCCAGCTCGATGGTAGTCCAGGCCTAAGGAAAGCAAAGTCCCACAGAGTTTCTGGGAAGACTGAGGAGGCTCCCAGGGCTGGAGATGTGGTGTTGGAGGGACATGGCAGAGTGCTGTGGCCACATTGTGTATGTTATGTAAAAGGCTGAACCTGACTGTATAAGACCATGGGACTGTCTAAATGTTCTAGAAAAAACTGATCTGAGTGTGTTGTAGGAAGATTACATTATAAAAATTCGAAGTGGGAGGAACAGGAGTCCGGCAGAGCAGCTCTTTTTTTTTTCTTTTTTTTTTCCTTTCAGATAGGGTCTCACTTTATGGCCCAGGCTGGAGTGTAGTGGTGCAATCATAGCTCACTGCAGTCTCAAACTCCTGGGCTCAAGCGATCTTCCCACCTTAGTCTCCTAAGTAGCTGGGACTACAGGCAAACACCACTGTGCTTGGCTAATTTCTAAACTTTCTGTAGAGATATGGTCTCTTGATGTTGCCCAGGCTGGTCTCAAACTCCTGAAGTCAGGTGATCCTCCCACCTTGGCCTCCCAAAGTTCTGAGAATACAGGTGAGCCACTGCACCCAGCCTAACTCCTTTTTTTTTTTTTAATTTGTCAGACCAATAATTGATGACAAGCTTATTTCCAACTTGTCTCAAGGGAAGAGGCTTCTAAGCAGTCTAATTCAAAAATTCCCTCTTGACAAAGATAATTTGCAGGAAAAAGGGATGGTTAGATAATCACTACTTCACTGCATTTTAAAAAATGACTGGTGAAGGAAGATTAGACTGGTTAAAGATCACTGGGCTCCTTCCAAGACTGACAATTGACTGAGGGTGGCTCCCAGAAGGGCTCTTAAGCTCATTAAATAAAGCTAATTACTCATTTTAGCAGCAATGGTAATTTATCACTGGAAAGAGTAACTAATGATAACAGACCACAAAGTTCTGCTCTAGCTATGGTATTTATACGTATTTATATTTTTTAAGAATTTAGTTTTATTTTTTGAGACAGGGTCTCACTCTGTCACCCAGGCTGGAGCGCAGTGGTGTGATCTCGGCTCACTGAAGCCTCCACCTCCCATGCTCAAGTGATTCTCCCACCTCAGCCTCCCAAGTAGCTGGGACTACAGGCACACACCACCGCACCCAGCTAATTTTTTAATTTTTTGTAGAGATGGGGTCGCATTATGTTGCCCACGCTGGTCTTGAAATCCTGGGCTCAAGTGATCCAGCCGCCATGGCCTCCCAAAGTGCTGGGATTACAGGTTTGAGCCAGTGAACCTGGCCGAAGACTTTATTTTTTAAAGCAGTTTCAGGTTCACGGCAAAAAGAGGAAAGTACAGAGATTTCCCACATACTCCCAGCCCCCACATATGCACAGCCTCTCCCATGATAACATCTTCCACCATGATGCATTTGTTACAACCATGAACCTACACTGACATGCCATTATCACCCCAAATCCGTAGTTTACATTAGGGTTTGCTCTAGGTGTTATACATTCTAGACGTTTGGAAAAATGTACAATGACATATATCCACCATTATATCATCTAAAGTATTTTCACTGCCCTAAAAGTCCTCTGTGCTCATCTAGTTAAGGTTTTTTTTGTTTGTTTGTTTTTGAGACGGAGTCTCGTTCTGTCGCCCAGGTTGCAGTGCAGTGGCATGATCTCAGCTCACTGCAACCTCCACCTCCCAGGTTCAAGTGGTTCTCTTGCCTCAGCCTCCTGAGTAGCTGGGACTACAGGCATGTACCACCATGCTTGGCTAATTTTTGTATTTTTTGTAGAGACGGGGTTTCACCATGCTGGCCAGGCTGGTCTGGAACTCCTGACCTCAGGTGATCTGCCCGCCTCAGCCTCCCAAAGTGCTGGGATTACAGGCATGAGCCCCCGCGCCCAGCCTGAGTTTTGAACCACTTTTTTCTTGCTCATCCTCACAGTGAGAGAAACAGGAGGAATCTGTTTCTATCTCATCTAAATTCTCGTCATCTTATTCCATCTAGATTTAATGCCCTATTCTTTCCTACGTGGTCACTCCATTCATTCAAGAAATTGCATGACTATCTTGTGCCAGGCTCTGGGCTAGTGTTGGGGATACTGTGATGTGTGAAAATGGGCACTGTCTTGTCTTTATAGGTGCTAGTGTTCAGCTGGGGAGAAAGGCAATTGTATAACCGTTCACAAAGAAATTGAAAATTACGACTGTAATTTTGATATGTGCTTTGAAGCAAAGAAACGAGGTACATGCTGTCTCAAGGGAGACCTGTCTCTCACTACGAAGTCCCTGTCTCTGCCTATGAAGACTGTGTTCACTAGTTCATAGGGTAGGGGCTGGGGTTTGTGCAAACCCCTGAGGCCCCATAGATGTTGGCTAAAAGAGCAAAATGAAGAGGTGAGGCTGGGGGCCGGGGTGAAACCCTGCAGCCCTGGTAAGATTTTGATCTTTATCCAAAGAGAAAGGGAAGCCACTGAAAAGTTTTTTGTTTTCTTTGGTTTTTTCTTCTGAGACGGAGTCTTGCTTTGTCACCCAGGCTGGAGACCAGTGGTGTGATCTGGGCTCACTGCAACCTCTGCCTCCTGGGTTCAAGTGATTCTCCTGCCTCAGCCTCCTGAGTAGCTGGGATTACAGGTACGTGCCACCACACCCAGCTAATTTTTGTATTTTTAGTACATACATGGTTTCACCATGTTGGCCAGGCCGGTCTTGAACTCATGACCTCAGTGATCTACCCGCCTCAGCCTCCCAAAGTGCTGGGATTACAGGCGTGAGTCACCATGCCCGGCAGCCACTGAAAAGTTTTAAGCGAGGAAGTGAATACAATATAAGGAGAAAGGTGGAGGGATATTTTGAGATCACTCTAGCTGCTCAATGGATGGGGGACAGGCAGGGTGGAAATGGAGAGACCAGAGAGCCACGTGCTCAAGATAAAAGACAGTAGCCTAGGCCAGGCGTGGTAGATAACGCCTGTAATCCCAGCACTTTGGGAAGCCGAGACTGGTGGATCACCTGAGGTTAGGAGTTCGAGACTAGCCTGGCCAACATGGTGAAACCCCATCTCTACTAAAAATACAATTTAGCTGGGCGTGGTGGCATGCACCTGTAATCCCAGCTACTCAGGAGGCTGAGGCAGGAAAATCACTTGAACCCAAGAGGCAGAGGTTTCAGTGAGCCGAGATCATGCCATTGCACTCCAGCCTGAGCAACGAGAAAGAGACTCCATCTCAAAAAAAACAACAACAAAAAGACGGTTGCCTGGACTAGGTGGGTGGCAGGCAGATCGATGGCCTGATAAAATATACAGGAAGTAAAACCCACCAACATATATTTAGTGGCTCCAAGGTTGATTTTTTTTTTTTTTTTTTTTTTGAGACGGAGTCTCGCTCTGTCACCCAAGCTGGAGTGCAGTGGCGTGATCTCGGCTCACTGCAACCTTTGCCTCCCAGGTTCAAGAGATTCTCCTGGCTCAGCCTCCAAGTAGCTGGGACTACAGGCACATGCCACCATGCCTGGCTAATTTTTGTATTTTTAGTAGAGATGGGGTTTCGCTATGTTGGCCAGGCTGGTCTTGAACTCCAGACCTCAGGTGATCTGCTCACCTTGGCTTCCCAAAGTGGTGGGATTACAGGTGTGAGCCACAGTGCCCAGCCCAAGATTGATCTTTGATAGGCCCAAATGCAACATGAGCTACACTTCTGTTACTCTCTAAAATTTGCCATAGTAATTAATTTCCCTTACTGGACAGTCAACTCTTTGACAGTAGGGTTACCATGGAATGGAAATTTTCTCCAGTAGAATGTTGACCTGAGCCTGGGCGTGGTGGCTCATACCTGTAATACTAGCACTTTGGGAGGCTGAGGCAGGCAGATCATTTGAGATCAAGAGTTCGAGACCAGCCTGACCAACGTGGTAAAACCCCGTCTCTCCTAAAAATAATAATAAAAAAAAAATAGCTGGGCATGGTGGCACATACCTGTAATCTCAGCTACTTAGGAGGCTAAGGCAGGAGGACTGCTTGAACTCCAAGGCAGAGGTTACAATAAGCCGAGATCGCACCATTGCACTCCAGCCTGGACAGCAGAGTGAGACTCTGTTTCAAAAACAAAAAGAAAAAAAGAAAATTGACCCAAAGCTATGCATATATTGAGTACTCACTCGTTACATGTCTAATTATAAAGACCACCTAAGATTCTCCTGTACTTTTCCCTCTGCTTAGTATTTACCACAATTATAACCAAAGTTATTCATATAATTATATATTCAACAGATCTCTCCCTGGACTGTAAATTCCATAAGGACAGGGAGAGAGGACAGGAACCAAACTGTCTTGATTACTGCTTTATTCCAATGCCCAGCACTGTACCTAGTACTCAACAAATATCTGCAAAAGAATCTCTTTGTTAAATACGTTTCCAAACATTTACATAGTGCTTAGTATCTGCCAGTCTCTGTTCTTAGCACCTTAAACATATGAACACATTTAGTCTTCGTAACAACTCCATGAGGTATATACTATCGATGTCCCCACTTCACTGATGAGGAAACTAAGGCAGGGAGATTAGGTTCTTAAGCGATTCTGTTTTATCAAATATAGACACACATTCGTTCCAAAACATTAACTAGTCTCTGTCTACGACAGGAGCTATGGGAGGTGCTGGGGACACAAAATAAAATCGTGGTTAATGCTTTTTGAGTACCTGCTATATATCAGGCTTGGTGTTAGGCACTTTACAGAACTTTATGAACTTTACAGAACTTACAATAACCTTGCAAGTTAGGTATTCTTAATCACATTTGATTATTTGTAGCCGGTGTTACTAACTTATTGGTTGCTTGATTGATTGATTGAGACAGGGTCTCGCTCTGTCGCCCAGGATGGAGTGCAGTAGCAGGATCACGGCTCACCTCAGCCTCAAACTCCTGGGGTCAAGTGATCCTCCGGCTTCAACGTCCCAAGTAGCTGGGACTACACACACACGCCACTATGCCCAGATAATTTTTAATTTTTTTGGTGGGGAGGACAGGGAGTGGAGTGTTTTCCTATGTTGCCCAAGATGGTCTCGAACTTCTGGCCTCAAGTGATCCTCTCGCCCGGGTCGGCGTTACTATTCTAGTCCAACCTCCTACTTACCCGGTAAACCCACAAGGCTCCGCCCCTTTGCCGAAGCTGGCCCCGCCTATGCCCTCTTCCACGCCTGCGCGCTCCGTGCGCCAGTTCCCCCCACCCCGCCCCGCCCCAACCCCGACCCGGCAGACGACGCGCCGTGCGCCTGCGCACGGCTTGCCCATGTGTGCTGCAGCCGTCAGCCGGCCCAGCTGAGCAGCAGCAACGGACCTTGTTAACGGCGCGGCAGCCTCCACCGCCTGCTGTTGCCCTCCTCTCTCGGTGGTCTGTCCGCCCAGCGCACGTCACCATGGGCAAGAGCCGGACGAAGCGCTTCAAGCGACCTCAGTTCTCCCCTACGGGCGACTGTCAGGCCGAGGCGGCTGCGGCGGCGAATGGGACCGGAGGCGAGGAGGACGACGGGCCGGCGGCGGAGCTGCTGGAAAAGGTGAGGCGAGGGCTCCGTCGGGCCGGGAGGCGAGACGAGGTTGCCCCGCGCGCGTGCGCATTGCGCGCCTTCTGACCCTTTTCGCTCTCATCCGCAGCTCCAGCACCCGAGCGCCGAGGTCCGCGAGTGCGCCTGCGCAGGGCTGGCCCGGCTGGTGCAGCAGCGGCCGGCACTCCCGGGCCTGGCGCGACGAGACGCCGTGCGCCGCCTCGGGCCGCTGCTGCTAGACCCCAGCCTGGCCGTCAGGGAGACTGCAGCCGGCGCGCTGAGGTGAGCCAGGAAGGGTGCGGGGCGGTGCCCACCGCTGGCCTCCCCCGCGTCTGGGCTGCGGGCGGTCGCAGCGGTCACCCAGCGCCTTCTGTGTGCCATCAGGCACTGGCCCGGTCTCCCGTTTGCAGAGATTTGAAGCCAGTCTCCAGGCTCCGGAGAAGCCCAGTATCCCCGCATCTCATCTGTCCACCTGGCTGCTTCACCTGCAGCGTCCACCTGCTCAGGCGTCCTGCCCTCACGCCTTGCGCACGTTTTACACTCTCCAAAAGCCCTCCTTAGGGTCCCTTGCTTGGATGAACTCTTCAGTTCATGTGTCAGGAATCGTTCTAGATGCAGGGGACTTTGAGCAGCCAAGACTTTTGAGCGAGATCTGTTGACAGCCAAGATCCCTGTCTTGGCACAAGTCATGTTGATGGGGAGACAGACAGGAAGCTAGTAAAAAGGTAAAACATAATATTAAATAGTGAGAATTGCTGTGGGAAAACGAGATGATGATGAGTTGGGGGTGGGAAGTTTGAATTGGGTGCTCTTGGGCCGGGCGCGGTGGCACACACCTGTAATCCCATTGCTTTGGGAGGCCAAGGAAGGAGGATCACTGGAGGCCAGGAGTCCAAGGCCAACCTGGGCAACATAGCAAGACCCCGTCTGTAGAAAAATTATAAACAATTAGTCGGGCATGGTGGTGGGTGCCTGTAATCCCAGCTACTCAGGAGGCTGAGGTAGGAGAATCGCTTGAGCCCAGGAGTTCGAGGCTGCAGTGAGCTATGATCACACCACTGCACTCCAGCCTGGGTGATAGAACAAGACCCTGTCTCAAAAAAAAAAAAAGGTGCTCTTTAGATGACTTGTGAAAGGAGATGTGCAGGGTGAGAGAGCCAGGAGGCATGGGAAAATAGGGGGAAGAATATTCCCCACAAAGGGAGCAGCAACAGCAAAGAAGCGAAGCAGCAGGCAGCTTGACGTGGTTAAACAGCAGAGAGGGTAGGTAGGTGGCTGAGAAGAGCAGGGGTGGGTAATTACAGGAAGTGAGGCTGGAGAGAGGGATGAGCTGTACGATGGTGTAGGGCTGAGGACTTAACTCTAAGCAGGGAAGTGACATGCTGCAACACATTTTGTGAAGACCACTCTGCTGGTTGTGCAGAGAATGGACTGCAGAGGGGGCAAGAGTAGAGGTTAGTATTTGTAGTTCTTACAGCTCTGTCTCTGTTTGTTATTTATATTTCATTCACTGATATAGCAAATATGTATAAAGTGCCAACTGTGTGCCAGACACTGAGCTAAGCTGTGGGCATGGGGTAATGAGCAAGGCAATGTCTCTCCTTAAGAAATCTTAAAGTGTATTGAGGGAGACAAGCATTAACCAAACAGTTACATAAGTGTATGATTACAATGAATGGTAATGACAAAGGGTGCTAAAAGAGGGTACAAACAAAGGGTTCAGGGAAGAAGACTGAGTGAGTGGTGCTTGAGGTGAGCTCGGAGGAATGAATGGGCATTCACCAGTTGATGGAGGGGGGATAGACGCTCTTCTTCCTTTAGGGAGGAAACAGCATGTGGAAAGCCCTTCCCTTCCTCCCACAGCATACAGAGGCTGGGGGATCCTGGCACATTGTGAGGGCATCTTCTGACTATCTCCATATCCTTAGGGACTAGCACAGTGCTGTGTACTCGGAAGTCATGTCTTTCCAATTAAAATTTACCCAGGGCTGCTTTAGGGGGTGTCATTCTCAGTAGCCCCACCTTGCTGCCCTTGCAGTTCGCTTTTTATTTTATTTTATTTTTTTAGAAACGGGGTCTCCCGCTGTTCCTAGGCTGGTCTTGAATTCCTGAGCTCAATTGATCCTCCCACCTAGGCCTCTCAAAGTGCTGGGATTACAGGTGTGAGCCACAGCACCTAGCCCTGCCCTTGTAGTCTTGATTCCAAGAAAAGGTCCCTTCATACATGATGTGATTTATTCACATGAGAAAAGTCTCCCCTCTCCCCTTCTTGTAGCCATGCACCTGTATACTGTTTCAGACCTCAGAACTAAGTTATATGACAGCGTCGTCTGTTTATATCTTGTAGAACATGGATCAGAACAGATGGAAATCTCTGGATTGGTTCTGCAGCGTATGACAGAAACAATAAGCTATTTCCTCTGGGAAACCTTAAATATGGCTAAAAATAGAAATGTGAGAGGGTAGAAGTGTTCTGTGACATGTGATGTGAAAGTAAAACATGTTTTAAACTTCTTGTGTAGAAATCTCAGTGCTTGTGGAGGTTTTGAAGTTTGTGATGACATGGTGACTAAGGATATCATGACCCCTCTGGTTGCGCTGCTAAAAGAGGTATGCAGTTTTTACAGTATCTTGATGGTAGCTTTTGGGATGCAAACTTAGACTTTTTTTAGTACTTTGGTGTTGGTGACTTTGTCTTCTATCTAAACATCTTATGGAAATTTCATTCCTTTTCCTGGAAACACCAATCTGCTCTCATTATTGATACTAATCTCTATTATTTTGTAGCTTTATTTTTATGATAGTTGGAAAAGACTTTCCTAAAATTGTACAGACTCACTCCTTTAGATGTTAAACTTCTTACAATAAAAATAATTAGTATTTAGTCATTGCTTATTTATGTGCCAGGTATTATTTTCATGTTTTGGATATTATATAATTTAATCCTCACAGTATTCTATGAGGCAGGTATTATTCCCATTTTACAGATGACAAAGCCGAGGCACAGACATTAGGAACTTGTGAAGATTACAGTAAGTTCTCATGTTTGATCTCATTCCAGTCTTATTGCATGACATAGTCAAGAGGTTAAGGAGCTCTGTCTCTGGAGTGCCTCTGGTCCTCTATTCTGTACTGATGGGTAATTTTCACTTAAGGCTACATAAAGGATATCCAGTTTTGATGAGAGGCATCAGTCATTTTAGAGCAGTGATTCTCAACTGGGTATGATCTTGCTTCACAGGGCATAACTGGCAATGTCTGGAGACATTGGTTGTTACAGAGCTTGTGGGGTTTGCCACTGGCATCCAGTGGGTAGAGGCCAGGGATGCTGCTAAACATCCCCAAATGCACACGACAGCCCTTCCTTCCCCAACAAAGAATTTTCTGGTGGAGAATTTCAGTAGTACCTGGATTGAGAAGCCCTGCTTTAGAGGGTCTCCTGGGCTGTACTAGAGGGGCTTAAGAGCACCAGCTTTGGAGTCAAATGCTAGGGCCTGAATCCCAGCTTCACCACATGCTAATCTAACACCTTCAGCAGCCTCCCTGTACCTCACTTTCCCATTTGCAGCTGGAGATTGGGGATAATAATAGTTCACCTACCTCATAGGTTTATTGTGAGGATTAAATGACTTGATACATGTAAAATGCTTAGAATAGTACTTTAGAAGGCGCTATGTAATAAACAGAAGGTGCTAGGTAGAAGCTCTTATTTCATCTTTTGTTGCCTTCCTACTGTCTTTTATTACATTTATTAGGTAAAATACTTTGTATTGATTTTGTACTACTGTTTGTAAGGATTCGACTGGCTTGTTAACCACGGTAATTTCTGATGTCTAGCCTTTGTGTTTCATCACCATCATTACCCTATTTGTTTAATTCTTCTTAGGAACCAGGGTGCTAATCATGATATTTGGTTACAGTGTAGTGCTGGACTGGATTCAAATGAGATGTCTCTGCAGGAGAAAAAAGATCAGAACAGAAATTCTATTGAGAACATAGCCAATGAGACTGTGAACGTGCTGTGGAATATATGGTAAGATGCCTACCAAACACAGTCTCCTGCTATAGCAGTACCCAGGCTGCTATTCTCTGTTATACTGTGTAGGAATCTCTGTTCCCCTTGGTAGGCCTGTTAATCTGGGATGTTAAGACATGGTAGGGGCCGGACATGGTGGCTCATGCCTGTAATCCCAGCACTTTGGGAGGCCGAGGCGGGTGGATCACTTGAGGTCGGGAGTTTGAGACCAGCCTGGCCAACACTGTGAAACCCCGTCTCTACCAAAAATATTAAAAAATTAGCCGAGTGTGGTGGTACATGCCCATAATCCCAGCTACTCGGGAGGCTGAGGCAGGAGAATCGCTTGAACCCTGGAGGCAGAGCTTGCAGTGAGCCAAGATCGTGCCACTGCACTCCAGCCTGGGGGACAGGGCGAAATTCCTGTCTCAAAAAAAAAAAAGACTTGGTAAGAGGCAGGATCAAGTGACCTAAGATCAACCCTCCTTCCCAGTCCGTTTTCTTACTGCATCACTACATCTTTTGTTTTACGGCTTTCCTCTCCAGTCATTGCATCTGACAAAAGATAGGAGGAATCATGACCATTAGCACCTGTGGCTCCTCCTTTCCCCCGACTTCTTGTACACCCTGAGCAGAATTTGTCTTTAAGCTGGTCAGTCCCACATGCAGGTGCAGCTTTGGTTTGGCCTCTAGACTGAGATGGGGACCACAGACCTTGGCTGGTGCTTTTCTTTCTCTTTCCTGGCACTTACTGTCTGATTGGGAAGTAGATGCCTAAGAAGAGCTCCCTTGGCCCCAGGAGGAAGAAGGCCACTCTCCATTCTGTGATTGTAGCAGTGGTGAGGGTGGAGTGGACTTGCCGCTAGGAATGGAAATGGCTAGAAACACAACCTGGATTTACTTTTTTCTGCCCCATTTTATGTCCCACATTTCTAGCAAGACTCTGTCACAGTTTCTTATCTTCAGTCAGCAGCAATTACAGTGGCTGACCTAAAAGCACAGATGTTTCTTAGAATACAAGATTAAGTTGGATCCTGAAATGCCTACGTGGCAATCTGACCTTGCCTGTGATTTCATTTTAATGAATGCATTCCACCAGAAATATTAGAGAGATCAGATCTGAGGAAATGGCATTTGAGCAAAAACTGATGGGTGCTGTTTTTCTGTGCACCAGATAACTTTAAGTCATAGAAATTGTTGCATTTGGAAGTTTTTAAAAAATTTCCTTGAAAAGAATCTGAATATATCTCCAAGGTGATTTCTCTTTTCTGAATACCTATGAGCCCTGTCTGTATCACTGAGTTACTATAACTTTTAACATTTTTGTTTCATCATTTATATTTCAAATTATCTTTACACATATATGCCTTGTCTTCCTGACTAGACTGTGGGCTCCTTCATGCTGCCATAACTAGATAGGTAGGTAGGTAGGTAGATAGAAGATATGAAATATTTTTCATTACATAACAGATTTAGTTTAATAATTTAGTCAGCTCTGTTAGCGTGTCATGTGTGTATGTTATATGTATGGAGGAAACATGTACAACATGGATATTTCCTCTGGAAACATGGATACAATTATTACAATTAGCCTTGTTAACTCGTATTTAATGTGTTTGCTTATTCATAACACTGAAAGCTGAGTCTTTTATTAAAAGGTAGTATAATTTAAAAAATACTTATTGTAATTTCTCTATTGTAGACTGCAAATTCTGCTTGATGAAATTATAATTGCACTCTAAAAGGCTTGAATAAAATATAATTTTATTTTCCTTTAAATGTGTGTTTTTGTTAATGTTCTAAAATATAGTAGGTTAAAAAATAAAAAATAAATTTGTGTTTTTGTGTGATAAATATAGAGGCCTTTTATCCTCCTTTAACTTGTTATCATTGTGGTATGGAGGAAAGAAAAAACAGTAGCCTGGACCCAGGGAACCTAGGTACTGGGCCTGGCTCTACCACTAACAAAATGTGTGCTCTTTGATGGGCCACTTTACCACTTGGGGCCTGGGTCTTCACATTTATAAAATGGGGAGTTGAATTAAACGATTTACAAGATCTCTTCCAGCTCTAACCTTCTATAAGGAAACTGGCATCATGGCAAAGAGATTGATGAAAAGGTCCCATTGTGATAGAAATAAAATATAGATAGCCAGTTCTCATGTACAGTGAATGTGAATGGGTGTTAGTTCCTTCATCGATAAAAATGGTGGGTGTTTGATTCCAACTCCTTGGTTTATAAAGCCTCGTTTGTTTTTTTATGGATTGCTATGGTTGATTTCCTACTGTTAAAATGTGAATAGTAAAACTTTTTTTTCCCCCTTCAATTTAGTGAATGCAGTAGTAGAGCAGTGTCTATATTCAACAAAGAAGGGTGTTTGGAGATTGTGTTAAAGTATTTAAGTAGGTTTCCTACCAATGTTGACCTGGCTATTTCAGTAGGTAAGTGAAGAAAAGGTGATGACTTATTAAGAATGTGTAGCCTTATTCAAAAATTTTTATGCAGCTTTGGCGTGTTTATTCCACTGGAGTGATTTTTTGTTTCGTTGTATGTGAATGTGTAGCTCAGCACCTGTTTTTTCTGGGTCTTAAATCTGTGATTAATATTAATTCTTTACCTACTCATTCAGTTTTTCTGCTTTTGACTCTGAAAGGGAGAAAGGTAATTATGTGAGGATATGTGGTTTCTAGCCTGTTTCCATTCTTAGCAGCCTTTATTAATTCTTGAAGTTTTCATCTCCATTTACTAAGAAACAGTAACGCACAACTACCAGGCCTTTAAGCCAGTTAATTGGAATCTAAACTTATTTAAATGTATTGTGCTACTATCTCATACGTCCAGCAGAAAACTGACGGCCTGAGTTTTGTTGAGAGAAAAAGAGGAAAAGAAATGATTGAAATTCCACTTAGGCCTTCATGCCTTCCATGAGACAGGGAAGGCAAAGTCCAGCAACTTCAGTGGCTTTGGCTGCCTCGCCTTCTCTTTATTGGGCTGGGGAACCACTGGGGACCCTCAGCTCAGTGGCAGGAGGCAGAAGTCAGAGCATAGGCAACTCAGCAGAATTCTGGGTGGGAGTGGAGAAACAATTGAGGGAGAGCATTTCTTTTCTACCGATCATTACTGCGGGCATCCAGCTGTCCCTTTGTGGAACTGCATTTCTCCTGGGGAGGAAGAAGTGTATTCCCCTGACTGCTGTTTTTCTTGACTCTAATGGATATTTTTAAGAGAACAGAATTGAGGGAAAATAGTAGAATAAATACTACTGAGAAAATTTTAAAAATCATTTCTCTAAATGGAATCTTGGTGGGGCTGGAGAGTTGTGAGTAAATGGGGATTTTAAAAACGATTCAGCCATTTTTAGGAAATTGATAGGTGACTTAATCTCAGAGGACAGTTTTTGTTACAATAAGAGAACTTCAGGAAAGTTAGTTCATATCTTTTACAAGAAAAATCACTTCTATTTTTGTGCCTTTAGTCTTATAGATTTATTTCTGTTTTTAGTTTTTCTTCCCCTTAATGAGCGTTTTTGAAATGGATTAGAATAGTCATTTTGCATTGTATAATAGTGTTTTCCTTCTCCATGTAGCTAGATTAATGATTTTTTAAAATACATTATTACTTTTGCTTCTAAAGTCAAGCAATGCTTACATATAGTAAAATGAACTTATAAGATTCCATCCCATGTATTCATATAACTTTTTTTGAACCTGTATGGTAGCAGTCATGGCTGTTGGCTAAAGTAAATTTAATTAGTTTCTTAATGACAAAGATATTACATTTGGATATATGTACAGAAATGCATATATGTGGATTTCCATATAAATGTATCATCAACCACAGCAGTAGCATGCATTTTGAGTAATTTTGATGGGCATGATTTAATATTTTACACATCTCTTAATTTGCTCATACTTTTATATAAACTACTTTTTTTCTTAAAGAGCTATTGCTCTGCCAGAAATAACCCTAACTTTGAAGGTCATGATAAATTTAAAGGAAGCCAGACGTCCCAAAACCTAAGGCTGTTTGCTACTGGTCCTTGATAAGTACATAAATTGAGGGTAAAATTTTTTTTTTTTTTTTGAGATGGAGTCTCAGCTCTGTCACCCAGGCTGGAGTGCAGTGGCGCAATCTCGACTTACTACAACCTCCGCCTCCCGGGTTCAAGCTATCCTCTTGCCTCAGCCTCCCAAGTAGCTGGGATTACAGGCGTGCATCACCATGCCTAGCTAATTTTTGTGTTTTCAGTAGAGATGGGGTTTTGCCATGCTGGCCAGGCTGGTCTGCAACTCCTGACCTCAAGTGATCCTCCTGCCTCAGCCTCCCAAAGTGCTGGGATTACGGGCATGAGCCACCGCACCCGGCCTGAGGATAAACTTTTATAAACATTTATAGTAACGACATTGCCGCATTTAAGAGTCTTTTTAGGCTGGGCGTGGTAGCTCACACCTGTAATCCCAGCACTTTGGGAGGCTGAGGCGGGCGGATCACAAGGTCAGGAGATCGAGACCATCCTGGCTGACAAGGTGAAGCCCCATCTCTACTAAAAATACAACAAATTAGCCAAGCATGGTGGCGGGTGCCTGTAGTCCCAGCTACTCGGGAGCCTGAGGCAGGAGAATGGTGTGAACCCAGGAGGCGGAGCTTGCAGTGAGCCAAGATTGTGCCACTGCACTCTAGCCTGGGCGACAGAGCGAGACTCCATCTCAAAAAAAAAATAAAAGAGTCTTTTTAATTGTATTTTGTAAAAAGTGTAGATCTGGCTGGGCATGGTGGCTCATGCCTGTAATCCCAGCACTTTGAAGGGCCGAAACGGACAGATCACTTGAGACCAGGAGTTCCAGACCAGCCTGGCTTTCATGGTGAAACCCTGTCTCTACTAAAAATATAGAAATTAGCCAGGCATCATGGCGCATACCTTTAATTCCAGTTACCTGAGAGACTGAGGCACAGGAATCGTTTGAACCTGGGAGGCAGAGGTTGTAGTGAGCTGAGATGCGCCACTGCATTCCAGCCTGGGTGACAGAGCAAGACTGTCTCAAAAAAAAAAAAAAAAAGTATAGATCTGTACAGGATTAGAAATTTAAAAAGAAAAGAAACATGATCTTTTCCAGCACTGATAGTTTGGGAAGCCTCATTTGCGCATATCACCCTGAGATAAAGCATATATATTTTGCAAAACCTACATGTGTCTAATGAAGTGGTAATGATACAATGTTTTATTGATGAGTTATACTGGTGTAAATTATCCAAAGCAGAATTCATTTGTTTCTAAATACTTATTTTTTGCCTCGTAGCATATTGTTTGCAGACAGTGACTGAGGATAACCCAGAGCTGCTGAAGTCTTTCAGTGCTACAGCATTGAACATGCTGGAATCAGCACTGCTTTCTCCTGTCAGTTCCATGGAATCTCTTCTATTGAAGACATTGGTAGCAGGTAAAATTTAGCCTTACGGCATAGTATATTGTTTCAGTAGCTTTTGGTATGGATGTGGTGGGGGCAAAATTTAGTCATTCATTTCAACACATTAGGTCTTCTGTGCTTTTATCTGTTCTGAAAATTTTAATATCTGAGAAGAGACCCTTACTTCAAGCAGTTGTCTATAGTTGTAAATCCTTGTAGAATAGATTTGTTTCGAATTTAACAAACTACTGTTAACCTGATAAAGAGATGCTGTTGTCAGGATCCCCACTTATTTATGAACCAGTGATTTCAGAAATTGACCACTTAGTTTTCCATAAGTTTTTTTTTTTTTAACCACCAACTCTTTTCTCTGCAGAATGTCTGAATACAGAAGTAAGAAATTATCTGAAGGTCTGTTTAGTATGTACTTTATTTAGTTTATGTATCTATTTTCTTCTTGCCCTTTGTCTTGCAGAGATAATTTATGTTGAGAGATTTTTTTTTTACTTTTTTACTTTTTTTATTTTTTATTGTTTTGAGATGGAGTCTGGCTCTTTCACCCAGGCTGGAGTGCGGTGGCTGGCTCTGCAGCCTCACCTCCCAGGTTCAAGTGATTCTCATGCCTCAGCCTCCCAAGTAGCTGGAATTACAAGCGTGCGCCACCACGCTCAGCTAATTTCTGTATTTTTGGTAGAGACGGGGTTTTACCATGTTGGCCAGGCTGGTCTTGAGCTCGGGACCTCAGGTGATTTGCCCACCTTGACCTCCTAAAGTGCTGGGATTACAGGTATGAGCCACTGCGCCTGGCCTGTTTTTTTATTTTAATAGTGGAAAAATACACATGAAATTTACCGTCTTAATCGTTTTGGGTTTTTTTGAGACAGAGTCCTCCTCTGTTGCCCAGGCAGGAGTGCTGTGGTGCAATCTTGGCTCACTGCAGCCTCCACCTCCTGGGCTCAAGTGATCTTCCCATCTCAGCCTCCCAAGTAGCTGGGACTACAGGTGCATGCCACCAGGACCAGTTAATTTTTTTTTTTTTGAGACGGACTCTTGCTCTGTCACCCAGGCTGGAACGCAGTGGTGCGAGCTCAGCTTACTGCAATCTCTGCCTCCTGAGTTCAAGCGATCCTCCTGCCTCAGTCTCCTGAATAGTTGGCATTACAGGCACCCACCACCACACCTGGCTATTTTTTTTTTTTTTTTTTTTGGAGACTGAGTCTCGCTCTGCCGCCCAGGCTGGAGTGCGTGGCGCGATCTCCACTCACTGCAAGCTCCGCTTCCCAGGTTCACGCCATTCTCCTGCCTCAGCCTCCCGAGTAGCTGGGACTACAGGTGCCTGCCACCACGCCCAGCTAATTTTTTGTATTTTTTTTTTTTAGTAAAGACGGGGTTTCACTGTGTTAGCCAGGATGGTCTTGATCTCCTGACCTTGTGATCCGCCCGCCTTGGCCTCCCAAAGTGCTGGGATCACAGGCGTGAGCCACCGCGCCTGGCCTAATTTTTTTATTTTTTTAGTAGAGACGAGGTTTCACCATGTTGACCAGGCTGGTCTCGAACTCCTGACCTAAAGTGATTGGCCCATCTCGACCTCCCTGTGCTGGGATTACAGGCGTGAGCCACAGTCCCCAGCCACAGTTAATTTTTTGTATTTTTTTTTGTAGAGATGGCATCTCACCATGTTCCCTAGGCTGGTGTCAAACTCCTGAGCTCTTGTAATCTGCCCACCTTGGCCTCCCAAAGTGCTGGAATTACAGGCGTGAGCCACAGCACCCAGCCTTTAATTGTTTTTAAATGTATACTTTAGTGGTGTAAAGTACATTCAGATTGTTGTGCAGTAAAAATCCGGAACTCTTTTTCATCTTGCAAAACTGAAACTGTACCCTTTAAACACAATTTTTCCCATTTCCCCTTCCCCCAGCTGCTGTCAGCCACCATTCCTTGACTCCTCTAAACACCTCATAGAAGTGGAATCATACAGAATTTGTCTTTCTGTGACTGGCTTATTTCTTTTTGCATAGTGGCCTCAAGGTTCATCCATGTTGTAGCATGTGTCAGAAATTCCTTCCTTTTTAATGCTGAATAATATTGCCTTGTAGGTATTATACCACATTTTGTTGATCTCTTCATCTGTTGATGGACACTTGGGTTACTTCTACAACTTGGATATTGTGAATACGGCTGCTGTGAAAATGGATGTAATTTTTTTTTTTTTTTTTGAAACAGAGTCTTGCTCTGTCACCCAGGCTGGAGTGCAGTGGCAAGATCTCGGCTCACTGCAACCTCTGCCTCCTGGGTTCAAGTGATTCTCATGCCTCAGCCTCCCAAGTAGCTGGGATTACAAGCGCCCACCACCACGCCTGGCTGATTTTTGTATTTTTAGTAGAGATGAGGTTTCACCATGTTGCCCAGGCTTGTCTCGAACTCCTGACCTCGAGTGATCCTCCCACCTTGGCCTCCCAAAGTGTTGGGATTACAGGGTGAGACACTGCACCTGGCAAAAATGAATGTAATCTGTTCAAGTCCCTGCTTTCAGTTCTTTTGGGTTTATAGTCAGGAGGTGTTTTTATTTTTGTAGTAACTTAAAAAAAAATTACTCTGACTACTTAATGATAGCTCCTGTTCTTTTTTGATAATCAAAAAATTAAGAACCTACTCTCATGTTTATATGTCAGACCAACCTTGGAATTTTAGTGCATTCCATTTCACTCTTGGAATATAAGAAGCTGCTGAGGAGAGCAGCTTAGGTTACAATGAAAGAAAGTGATGCCACTCACTTTGTCATTTTAAAAGAAACTTGATCAGTGTTCTCTGGGTCTGCTGATAATGCAGTGTATCAGAGAAAGGCATTGTGTGCCAAGGAAGGGAGATGATTGTGCAGGGTTATAACTAAGGGCACTGCCTCAGTGCAGAACTCATTGATATTTAATAAATAATGAACAAAGGCAGTAGGGCTGAGATTTTTTGAAATTACACTGGCCTTAAAAGCTCCAGTCTTGTGAAAACTTAAACTTAGTAAAATATTTCACAGGCATTTCTTATCCTTATGCTTGTTTTTTTCCCAGGCACAATTTGGAATCTAAAGGACATTATTCCATGCAAGAGTCAAGCAGAAATCATAAATGCCTTACTAAAGATCTTATCTGAAGTTTTGGGAATGGATGCTGGTGAAATGGTTATTCAAATGAAAGAGGCTGAAACGCAAAGGTTAAAAACTGCTGCAGAGGCTGAGGAAATATTAGAGAACACTAATGGGGATGATTTGATTGAAGATGATGAAATGGAAGGAATTTCTCATAAAAGAAGAGTCAGAAGGAAAACTTTCGTTTCAGATTTACTTCCGGTAAGTCAGGTTGCTGTTCTCAAATATGGATTAATACAGCTGTTTTTTTTTTCCAGCAGTTATCCTTGGCTTTGCAGAAAAATGTTATAGCAAAATTAGCTATAAAGTGCGTTTTGGTAAAAATGAGTCATATTTTCCTGTTGATTCTCTTTATGTCATTAAAAATCTCCTAAAGGGGGAAAAAAATCTCTTGTCTAAAGTGAATCGTTTTATATGCAGGAGAAGGTTTCAGAGATGGGATAGACCTATCCTTTTGGAACACTTTAGAAATAGATGATCACCTTCGTAACTCTTGCTTCTCCCCACTTCTGTTACATACTGTCTGCCAGACTGTCTTCAAACTAAAGGAATTTGTACTTTGCCTGAATTGTCCCTTGCATTCTTGCCTCTTATTTTAGTATGTAGCCTTATCAAGGTGGCAAACCAAACCTTCATTTATCCAGTACTGATCCAAAGAGGTTGGGTGACTGTGAGATGAATGATGGTTTGTAGTTTTCTTGGAGTCGGTGATGGTGGCATACTTGTGCTGGTGGTGTGATATTGCAGTAAAGGGGAACAATCTTGGGTGCAGGAAGCATTTCAGCTGACACAGTCTGCAGAGAGAGAAAGTTCTCCCAAAGTGTTTTGGGAGAACACTTTGTTAAGGAGGAGAGCAAATAGGAAGACGGGGCACAGTGAGTGAGGCTTTATTCATTCAGGTTCACATTTACTGTGCTCCTAATGTATGCCAGGCACTGTGCTAGACGCTGGTGATAAAAAGATGATTAAGATGTAATTTCCAGCCTTCAGGAACTTCCTCCATGTTGGGAAGACAGACACATAAAACCATGGCTCTAAGGCCTACGCTGAGAACAGTGCCGTGGCCATGCACAGATTTCTAAGAAAATAGTATCTGTGGAGTAAGCCCTTGTGACTCAGCCCCTGTGGGAGAGCTAGGGAAGAGGCTGCCAGAGAGAGCCGTTTAGACAGAACACCTGGGGCGTCATAAAGGAGGGGGTGAGAAAAAGCAGGTTAGTGTTTGGAGAGATCACTCAGGCAGCTGGAGGAAGGGAGAGCACAGGGGCCTGGCAGCAGGAGGACCAGTCAGGAGGCTGCCGAAGGACGATGAAGGCTGAGTTGGAAGGAGGCAATCATGTCCTCTCATGCTTACCTGTGTTCGTGATGTCTCGGGAAGCGTAAATTGATGGTGTTTCAAAGAAATCAAAATGTGGATAGAACCACTTTTCCCCTCATATGAGCAAACTGTGGGTGCAAACCACTGTGTTAAGTGCTGGGACAAATAACAGAAATGGGAAGGCCACCCTGAACTTGAGTTGCTCACAGATTTTTTTTTTTTTTTTTGAGACAGTTTTGCTTTTGTTGCCCAAACTGCAGTGCAATGGTGTGATCTCGGCTCACTGCAACCTCCTCCTCCCAGGTTCGAGCAATTCTCCTGCCTTAGCCTCCCAAGTAGCTGGGATTACAGGCATGTGTCACCACACCCGGCCAACTTGGCATTTTTAGTAGAGATGGGGTTTCTCCATGTTGGTCAGGCTGGTCTCAAACTCCCGACCTCAGGTGTCTGCCCGCCTTGGCCTCCCAAAGTGCTGGGATTACAGGGGTAAGCCACTGCGCCCAGCCTAGATCTTTTTATTTTATTACTATTGGTTTATTTTGAGACGAGATCTCACTATGCTGTCTGGTCTCAAGCGATCTTCCCACCTCGGCCTCTCAAAGTGCTGGGATTATAGGCGTGCACCATGGTACCCAACCTGTTTCATACCTGTGCATGGAAAGAGGGGATGTGATAAATCAGGGCTTATGGGGTCATTTTCAGCTGTGGGCACCATCCTACTCAGGTTTCTGTTGATCCTATCTGATATACTGTGTTTGAAGGATCTGAAATCCCTTGCTGGGAATGAGAGAATGGCATTCTTGTGTGATTGTCCCCACCTCCAGCCTTGCTTCCAAGGACCTTCTACAGGGAGTAAGGTTGGGGGTGAGACCCAAGTCTAACAAGGTTTAGATAGAAGTGCCACTGTTGAAAAACGATTGATATTTAACTGATATGTAGAAATTTATTTTCTTATTACTTTTATTTTGGTGCTTGTAAAAATGCAGTGTTTTCTTATAGTAAAAACTGGCTTTTTAAAGTCTTCTGGCCAGGTGTGGTGGCTCACGCCTATAATCCTAGCACTTTGGGAGGCTGAGGTGGGCAAATTGCCTGAGTCCAGGAGTTCAAGACCAGCCTGACCAATATGGTGAAACCCCATCTCTACTAAAAATACAAAAATTAGGTAGGTGTGGTGGCATGTGCCTGTAGTCCCAGCCACTCAACTTGGAAGGCTGAGGCACAAGAATCACTTGAATCTGGGAGGTGGAGGTTGCAGTGAGTCAAGATCGCGCCACTGCACTCCAGCCTGGGCAACTGAGCGAGACTCTGTTTCAGAAAAATAAAACTAAATACAAATAGAAATAAAGTCTTCCTTAAGATTGTAGTGGTGGGCGGTGGTGGGGCGGGGGGTAGAGGAGAAAAAAAAGAAGAAAAGGAGAATAAAGTGTTCTTAACATAACTGACTAGACTGGATGATTAACATGCTAGTCGGTCAGCCAGCCAGTGTTTAAGTGCCAGTAGGATGCCAGGAACACAAATTATATTCAGCTGTGGTCTTCCACACTATCCAGTGTCTTCTGCAGCACTCCTTTAGAATCAAAACTGCATCATTTAACTTAAGAAGGTATAACCACAAAGATATAAAGGAAGAGCAGTTCAACCCAAGTTGGTTTTTTTGTGGGGGCACATGCAAAAGTAGAGTACTCTCTGCCCAGCTTCTACAGTTACCAATTTTCAAAGTCTGGTCTATTTGATTTCATCTAGTTCCCGTCACGCTGTCTTTTCTGTACTGATTATTTTGAAGCAAATCTCAGATGTCATAACATTTCGTCTAAATTGGTTCTTTATGTCAGCTTGATAGCAGTAAGAAGCAGAGAAAAGTTCTGAGCAAGAGAGTTACATAAAGAGGTGGAGCTTAATTTCAGAGTTCCTTTTAAGCCAGATCTTCGGCTGGGCATGGTGGCTCACGCCTGTAATCCCAGCACTTGGGGAGGCCAGGGTGGGTGGATCACTTGAAGCCAGGAGTTCAAGACCTGCCTGGCCAATATGGTGAAACCCTGTCTCTACTAAAAAGGCAAAAAATTAGCCGAGAATGGTGGTGCATGCCTGTAGTTCCAGCTACTCGGGAGGCTGAGACATGAGAATCGCTTGAACCCAGGAGGCGGAGATTGCAGTGAGCCGAGATCATGCCACTGCACTCCAGCCTGAGTGACAGAGCAAGACTCTGTCTCCAAAAAAAAAGAATAAAAAAGAATAAGCCAGATTTTCGTATATTTTAAGTGAATGAGAGCCCAGCAGCAACATGTCTTGTTTAGCTTTGAATCTCCTCTAATAAATGTATATTTAGTTGAATTAGCACACACACAAAGCAAATAGAAATGATTTTTATATAGGTTCTTGCTACCAATAAGTAGAATTCAAATTTAGGGATCCCTGAGCTACGTCTATTGAATTAGCAATTTGCTTTTTTTTTTTTTAAGAATATGCTTAGAAGTTACAGTTAAATTGTTGCACAAAGAAGCCACTGGGGCTGGACATGGTGCTCATGCCTGTAATCTCAACACTTTTGGGAGGCTGAGGTGGGAGGATTACTTGAGGTCAGGATTTCAAGACCAGCTTGGGCAATATACTGAGACCCCATCTCTCAAAAAAAAAAAAAAAAGCAGGTAAATTTTTTTTCTTTTTCTTTTTCTTTTTTTCTTTTTTTTTGAGATGGAGTCTCACTCTGTTGCACAGTGGTACAATCTCGGCTCACTGCAACCTCTGCCTCCTGGGTTCAAGGGATTCTCCTGCCTTGGCCTCCCAAGTAGCTGGGATTACAGGCATGCACCGCCATGCCTGGCTAAGACCTTGTCTCTACAAAAATTAAAAAAATTAGCCAGGCATGGTGGCATGCACCTGTAGCCCTAGCTACTCAGAGGCTGCGGCAAGAGGATTGCTTGAGTCCAGGAATTTGAGGCTGCAGTGAGCTATGAACGTGCCACTGCACTCCAGCCTAGGCAACAGAGTGAGACTCTGTCTCTAAGGGGGAAAAAAAAAGACAATTGAAAACTGAAGTTTGGAAATATTCAAATAGTAAAATATACATTATTTTTAGCTCATGTACTGTTTTGGAATATCAGTATGGTTATTTCACTTTCCATAGACAATTTGATAATTAAGGTTATATAAATTTATATTACCCATTTTAAGAAATGTTGGTTGATAATGTTAAGTTTAAGTTGGCGTTATATATTTTCAGAGAAAAAAAAAGCTTCCTTCTTTCTTTAGTCTTAGAGAAATGCTTTATTATAGTCTTTACAGAAAGGCAGGAAGCAAGTCTGTCTGCTCCATAGCAAGTTCTACAGGTCACATAAGGGCTCGTTAGTAGTGTGTGTTAGCGCAGCCATTCCAAGAAAGACATCTAAGCTAAGCATCTAAAAGCAGGTTTGGTGTTTCTAAGTGCCTGGTGTCTGAAATGAACTCTTGTTTAAATCTTAGTATGCCCAGCTACTTCTTGACACAGTAGATAAGTTTCAGGGTGAATTCTGTTCAGAATTCCTGAATATTTGTCTGTTCTCTCCAGCTAACTAAGTGACGCTTGGGGAATAGCCATGCAGATAGATGGAAACCCAGTTAACGGGGGCATGCTCCACTGTACCAAGAGGAATTATAATGCTCGTTTGTACTTCTGGCACTTCATGACTTTTCTTTTACCTACCCCATTCCCCGTGTGCTCTATTCCAAGCGCAAAAATCTTCTAGTAGGCTTTCACTAAGGAAATTCCCCAAAAACATTTTCCCAACCATTGAGAGTTGGTCATTTACTTTTTTTTTTTTTTTTAAGCCCACTGACAAGGAACTGAGAGAGACTATAGCATTGCTGACAGCCCAACAGACTGCTCTGGAAATTATTGTCAACATGTGCTGCAATGAAGGTTTGTTAACATTTACATTTAGACATTTTCCCCCTGAGCCAAGAGGGAAACTCCCGTGGAGATTTTCTTAACTATTCCAGTTCTGCGTGGTTTGCCCGCTTCCCAGATCCCTCTGATGACGAATGGGAAGAGCTTTCTAGCAGTGATGAAAGTGACGCATTTATGGAGAATTCCTTCAGTGAGTGCGGGGGACAGCTGTTTTCTCCCCTCTGCCTCTCCCATGAAGTTCACACGGCTCTCACCAACTACCTCATCCCAAAGAAGGTAATCCATTTTCATTCTAGGCTTACCGTGGAGCATGGGAAAGGCTTAAGCAAGGTATTCATTTTGTGTACAAAAGAAGCAAGCTCACACTTCCAGGTTGTAGATGGTGGTAAGATCTGAGACAAAGCTGAGCCTAACAGTACTGGAAATAGGCGAAAAGGTCATTCTATATGAAGCCTAACCATTTCACTTAGGAGTAATATGTTGGAATTATGTAAGGGAATCGTGTTAAATGACTACTCTTTAACCTTTGCTTTACTGCCTCTTTTAAATCTAGATTTTTGAGAAAACTGCCTTTCCAAACAGCATTGCAGTTGACCTATGTTCTAGGAACCCTACTTGGAAACCTTTGATTAGAAAGTAAGAACTCTTCTGCTTTCAAAAACATTTGTCATTATTTTATTTTATGAAATGATGGGCTATTAAATAGAAGGTGCTGACTCCCCCTAGGACCCAGAAGTTTTGTTCCTGGGTATATATACCAGAAAAATATGTGCCCACATGCCCTAGAATACATGTATATGAGAGTGTTCATAGCAGTGTGTGTCACAGTTGCCCCAACCCATAAACAAACGTGTTGTCCATCAGAGTTAGAATGGTAAATAAATTTTGACAAAATCACGCAGTACAATACATGCAGCAGTAAAAGGGATCTGAATTAGAGCTACTCACAACTCGGATGGAACTTACATTGTTGAACCAAAAAAGCGAGACATAAAAGAATACACACACTGTGATTCAGTTTTTACAAAGTTGAGAAACAGGCAACATTGAACTATTTTGTTCAGGGATGCATACCTTGGTGATAAACCTATTAAAAAAAAAAAGAGGCAAGGAAATGTTTACCATAGAAGTCTGTATGGTGCTTACCTGTAGGTGTCAGGGAGGTGGGATATTATATGGAAGAGATACAGGGGCTTTCAGGGTCCAGCAGTGTTAATTTCTTTCCCAGGTGCATGGGTTTTGGTTTCATAGACTGTTTGTTAAACTCTCTATGTATGTTGTGTACTTAACTGTATATATGTCACATTTCACAATTAAAAATAATTTTAGGCTGGGCATGGTGGCTCACACCTATAATCCCAGGACTCTGGGAGGCCAAGGTAGGAGGATCACTTGAGGCCAGGAGTTTGAAACCAGCCTGGGCAGCATAGCAAGACCCCATCTCTACAAAGGAAAAAAAAATACAAAAATTAGCCTGGCATAGTGGCACTCAGCTGTAGTCCTAGCTACTTAGGAGGCTGAAGTGGGAGGATTGCTTGAGCTCAGCAGTCTAAGGCTGTAGTGAGCTATGATGGTGACACTGTACTCCAGCCTGGGAAACAGAATGAGACCCTGTCTGAAGAAAATTATAATTTTAAGGATGCTACCCTACATAGAAATTTTTCTAAAACATATTCCTCATGACTCATGAATGAGTTGTGTATCAGAGGCCGTGAATATTCAAGCAGTTTGATTTGGCAGATTAACAGTTCACCTTATAATTCTAGCACTTTGGAAGGTACAGGCAGGAGGATTGTTTGAGGCCAAGAGTTCCAGAGCAGCCTGGGCAACATAGCAAGACCCCTATCTACAAAAAATAAAAAACTTAGCCAGGTGTGGTTGCATGCACATGTAATCCTGCTCCTTAGGAGGCTGAGGCAGGAGGATCACTTGTGCTCAGGAGGTTGAGGCTACAGCGAGCTGTGATCACACCACTGCACTCCAGCCTGGGCAACAGAGTAAGACCCTGTCTAAAAAATGATGATAAATTTTAGAAAACACAAAAAACAGTTCACCTTGTGATTCTTTGCTAACTGCCATAGATACCTTGTATTTACAGATATTTCCAGTCAGAACGTGAAGCTTAGGCTAAAAGTTAATACTGAATTCTGATGGGCAACTTCTGGAGAATCAGATGGCATTGTTTCACTTCCTTTCCAGAATGAACACTATTCAGTGCAGAGCCCTCTTCTGTCTCCAGAGTCTTGTGTCCCTCCTGGATGTGGAGCACCTGGGAGGAGCCGCAGCCCTTCAGACGCTTGCACAGCATCTGTCACAGCTGCTTTTTTCTCAACCAGGTATTTAGACTTTATTGCGAAAGACTACGCAGACGGAACAGAATTTTGAAGGGGCAGGAATTTGGATTTTGTAAATGTATATTGTTTGTCATCCAATGTGCAGAAACCTTTCCCAGACACAGGAATCATGTATTTATAGTTGCCATGGGGTACAGAGTCAAAACGAGGTATGCAAGCAGCTCCTGGGCTTATAATTTTCTTTTTTGTTAAAATTGTTTGCATCCAGTTATATCAGGCCAGTCAAGGCTGTATCATAAATATCATAAAGGCCTCATTAAGGTATTTGGATAATTCTCAGCCAAGCACGGTGGCTCATGCCTGTAGTCCCAGCACTTTGGGAGGCCGAGGCGGGAGGATCACCTCAGGTCAGGAGTTGGAGACCAGCCTGGCCAACATGATGAAACCGCTCTACTAAAATACAAAACTTTAACTGGGCGTGGTGGTGGAGATGCCTGTAATCCCAGCTACTCGGGAGGCTGAGGCAGGAGAATCGCTTGAACCCAGGAGGTGGGGATTGCAGTGATCTGAGGTTGTGCCATTGCACTCCAGCCTGGGCAACAAGAGCAAAACTCCATCTCAAAATAATAATAATAATAATTGAGTACTATTCTATTATTTTCTTCCCAGTTACAAGCATTTAAGTTTGATTAATATATGTATGTAGTACAGAATTCAAAAGTTATTAGAGGACAGAAACTGGAAAGCCTCCCTCCTTTCTCCGACACCCAGTTCCTCTCCCAGAGTCAAGTTACTGTTGCACCAGTTACTTGTGTATCCTTCCAGAGAGATTCTCCATGTATAAGAGAGCGTGTGTATGCGGGCATGCGTGCGTGTGTGTAAGGCAAATGGTAGAATACCATCCACACAATTCTACACCTTGCCATCATCTAACATGTATCTTTCTTCAAACACCTTTGCATGGTAGGAGCTGATTCTCTTAAGTTACAGGTCTCTGATACGGATTAATTTCATATGCACACAAAGATCTATAGCGATACAAGAGTTAAATTAAATATTCTTTTAAATGACCTAGCTGTAGGTTTCACTTGGAGGGAAAAACAAAAAAAACAAAAACTAGCTGTACAAAGTCCAATGCATGTTCTTCTAACAGATTTTCATAGTTCCTCATAGTAAAATCTTACTTAATTTGACCACATTAAACTATAGGAGCTCAAACCAAACAAAAACAAGAGAGACTGAGAGAGAAGAACAAGTGGTGTTTTCTATACTGAAGGAAAACTCTCCACATTACTCCACCCAGTATCCATTGCTGGAGCGAGGGTAGCCTGGGAGGTGGGAATCTGCCCCTCTCTCTCAGCTGCTGAGGTTCCAGGTGTCTTTCAGGATTTTTTGAGGGTAAACGTGAAGATATTTGCTTTCTACACTGGCAAATAAGATAATTCCATTGTGTTATATTCAGTGTATTCTTCATATATTTTATCCTCCTTTTCAGACACAACATTAAGTCCAAGAATTGAACTCTTAAAAGATCAGGCCAGGCGCGGTGGCTCACACCTGTAATCCCAGCACTTTGGGAGGCCGAGGCGGGTGGATCACCTGAGGTTGGGAGTTCGAGACCAGCCTGGCCAACATAGCGAAACCCTGTCTCTACTAAAAATACAAAAATTAGCCAGGCGTGGTGGCAGGCACCTGTAATCCCAGCTACTCGGGAGGCTGAGGCAGGAGAATCGCTTGAACCCGGGAGGCGGAGGTTGTGGTGAGCCAAGATCGCGCCATTGCACTCCAGCCTGGGCAACAAGAGTGAAACTCCGTTTCAAAAAAAATCAAAAGAGAGTCACTTTTAACTAAATACAAGTTTTTGTGTCAACATCCATTCAAGTGTTGGTCCCCAGTTCTTTAGACATCTGTTTTACATTCCGTCAAGTTCCTAAGAGGTGCTGTGTGTTTAATGGTACATGTTTTTTAAGTTCTAAATTAATCTTTAAAAATTAAGTAATTAAATATTCAGAAACCCATATGTGGTTACTGAGCTGTCTCTGCCACCCTTTCAACATTGATCAGTTAACAGGTGTACCTTTCAAGTACTCCCTGGCTGTGCATTCATTGGCTGGAATGATCCCATGAAAGCTGTGCCCAGCCATGCCCAGGACAGGATATAGTCAGGATATGGGCAGTGCTAGTCCCATTCCCATTCCAGGGCAGGACGGGACAAGCACTGGAGTACAGAGGCAGCTCGTCAGTGTGAGCAGACCAGATGATGGCTGTAGCTTTGTATTTGTCTCCTAGCCTCCTAAACCTGGAAGAGATCTGGATGGTAAACGGGGAGGGGACTTTCCCCAACTTTTGCAAGCATTCTGGCTCCCATCAGCCCAGCAAGATGTCCTGTGGGGTGGGAGTGAGAGGGCTGCTGTTGCTCATGCCCACCCCCACCCATTCCCCTGAGTAGAGGCAGGGGGCAGAGCCAGGCAGGGAGTCCACAGCCAGGGTCCCAGGTGAGCAGGACCCCAAGTCTCTCACTGCTTCCAAGCCCTACCTAAGCTCTAGGTAACCCTGGCAGCCCTGGTTCCACAAGCTGCCATCTCTCAGCTCTGGGCCATTTCTCACTGAGAGTCTGGTCCAGGTACCCCCGGTCCCATCCCCAGGCAGCACACAGAGGTTATTTCACTTGAAACAAACTCCCTGTGTGCCTGTGCTATAGTGAAAGCACTCAGATATGTTTCTCTTGGTTCTGCTGGTTATTTGTGGTCACTGAGGCCAGCACATTTATTAACTGCAAAGATCACAGGAAAACTGCCCCAAGCTGAGTCCTGGAGAAATAATGGAAAGTTTCTGAATTGTGGGAAAATATAACTAAGCACTTTGATTTTAAATAAATTCCCATTTCATGTCTATTCTTGACATCATCTTTTTTTTTTTAAGGTTCAGGAATGTGACATGCTGCTAGGTTAAGAATGCTTTTGTGTATCCTGAGGGTCTTGATGATATTTATGTAGAAATCGCCTACCACACGTTACTGTCACAACAGTAATTTTGAAAATGTATTCACCTAATGACATGTGCTCAGTTACTTCCAGGGATTGGTAGTCTGAATTGGCCTTGCCTATGTAATGGGTTTGGATGGTTACTGCTGGGGGAAGAGGGCCATTACAATACCTCTGGGCTGTCCAGCTTGCTTGGGGCCCATACTCGTATCCCATCTGTGGCCTTCGTATCACCTAATATTGGCATTCGGAGAAATGGAGAATCAAAATGACTTGAAAAGTAGTGTCATTGTTATTTATTTTGGAGTAACAGAATGTTTTCTTATCAGAATGAATTTGATAAAGGATAATCGCTTATATTTGGAGATGATATTCTTTTTTTTTCTTTTATTTGAGATGGAGTCTTACTCTGTTGCCCAGGCTGGAGTACAGTAGCACGATCTTGGCTCACTGCAATTTCTGCCCCCCAAGTTCAAGCAATTCTCCTGTCTCAGCCTCCCAAGTAGCTGGGATTACAGGTGCCTGCCAATGCGCCCAGCTAATTTTTGTATTTTTATAGAGACGGGTTTCACCATGTTGGTCAGGCTGGTCTTGAACTCCTGACCTTGTGATCCACCCGCCTCGACCTCCCAAAGTGCTGGGATTACAGGCATGAGCCACCGTGCCCGTCCTAGAGATGATATTCTAATACAGTCCTTCTAAGCATTTGGGATTTATTAATAATGTAATCCTATGGGTTCTATATGGATAGTGGGAATTGTTACAAGATAGTTTAGTGGGGGCTGGCCACGGTGGCTCACACCTGAAGTCCCAGCACTTTGGGAGCTGAATTGGGAGGATCACATGAGCCCAAGAGTTTAAGACCAGCCTGGGCAACATAGTGATACCCTGTCTCCTCCAAAAAGGTTTTTTAATTAGCCAGGAGTGGTATCTTGCTTGCGCCTGTGGTCCCAAGGAAGCTGAAGTGGGAGGATTGCTTGAGCCCAGGAGGTCAAGGCTGCAATGAGCTATGATTGTGCTACTGTACTCCAGCCTGGGCAACAGAGTGAGACTCTTATCTCAATTAAAAAAAAAAGAGAATTTAGTGCGGAGAATGGGGCTAAAGATCTCTGCTGTTTTGTGTTATGGTTGAGAGTTAAAGGTATGATTGTTCTACTGCTCTAACTTGTTTTAATTTTAATGCTAAATACAGTTCTGAATACAGTAGTTATAACATTTGTGATACTCTGTACATACCTACATTTATGTTTGTGTCTGATATCAGAGATAAAAGGAGCACATTTTAGTACAATCTGGTCCTTACATTCAAAAGCACTAATTTCTTTGTCTCCTTCATTAAAAGCTATTGGTTTTCAAAACATCAATGCGTTTTTTAGCAATGTTGTATTTCATATTGGGTCAGTCTGTCATTCGGCTCTATTACATGAGTTCCGAAATCATTTAGGATTCTCTGTTTTTCCAGATTTTGAGAATCAGAACGTTCTTTTTTAGTTATAATTAAAATGGTAGTATCCCATTGTGGGATATATTTTCCATTCCATATCGGAATATTGAAAATTCAGGCTGGGTGGCTGGGCGCGGTGGCTCACACCTGTAATCCCAGCACTTTGATAGGCCAAGGCAGTTGGATCACCTGAGGTCAGGAGTTTGAGACCAGCCTGACCAATATGGTGAAATCCCGTCTCCACTAAAAATACGAAAATTAGCTTGGCATGGTGGTGTGTGCCTGTAGTCCAGCTACTTGGGAGGCTGAGACAGGAGAACTCCTTGAACCTGGGCGGTGAAGATTGCAGTGAGCCAAGATTGCACCACTGCACTCCAGCCTGGGTGACAGAGCAAGACTCTGTCTCAAAAAAGAAATTAATTAATTAAAAATAAGAAAAAAAATTCAGGCTGGGAGTGGTGGTTCACACCTGTAATCCCAGCACTTTGGGAGGCCAAGGTGGGCAGATCACCTGAGGTCAGGAGTTCAAGACCAGCCTAGCAAACATGGTGAAACCCCATATCTACTAAAAATACAAAAATTAGCCGGGCGTAATGGTGCATGCCTGTAATCCCAGCTACTTGGGAGGCTGAGGCAGGAGAATCACTTGAACCCGGGAGGCAGAGGTTGCAGTGAGCCCAGATCTTGCCACTGCACTCCAGCCTGAGCGACAGAGTGATACTCCGTCTAAAAAACATAATAATAATAAAAAAATTTTAAATCAGTCTGAAAAATTCACCTGAGTATAATTACTTGTGGGTTGATGATGTACCTACATTTAGACATGCTACAAATTCTTAAATATTGTTCAAAGTTGGCTGGGCACGGTGGCTCACGCCTGTAATCCCAGCATTCTGGGGGGCCGAGGCGGGCAGATCATGAGGTCAGGAGATTGAGACCCTGGCTAACATGGTGAAACCCCGTCTCTACTAAAAATGCAAAAAAAAATTAGCCAAGTGTGGTGGCGGGCACCTGTAGTCCCAGCTACTCGGGAGGCTGAGGCAGGAGAATGGCATGAACCTGGGAGGCGGAGCTTGCAGTGAGCCAAGATCGCACCACTGCACTCCAGCCTGGGCAACAGAGCGAGACTCTGTCTCAAAAAAAAAAAAAAAAAAATATCGTTCAAAGTTGTTGAGAGTAAAGACATTGAATCACCTCTTTGTGTGCAATTCATAAATCTATAAATTCATAATTTTATAGGGCTATACCTAGAGCTTTAATCATATATACACTTTGCAGTCAATATGGTAACTTTTTGAAGTTTAATAGCAACAAATTGGCTGGACGGAGTGGTGCACACCTGTAATCCCAGCACTTTGGGATGCTGAGGCGGGTGGATTGCTTGAGCTCAAGAGTTTGAGACCAGCCTGTACATATGATGAGACCCTGTCTCTACAAATACAAGAAAAATTAGCTGGACGTGGTGGCACGTGCCTGTGGTCCCAGCTACTCGGGAGGCTGAGGCAGGAGCTGATTGCTTGAGCCCGGGAGGTCCAGGCTATTAACAACTTCACTCTGATTTTTGAGTGCCTGTTAGGTACCACGTTTTATGAGACAGCCCTTGTTACTTCATTGTCCTGCTGAGGAAGCTGAGATTTAGGAACCTTAGCTGAGAGGTTAAGGAACCTCTTCCAGGTCATTCTTTTTTTTTTCTTTTTTCTTTTTTTTTTTTTTTTCCTGAGACGAGTCTGGCTCTGTCGCCCAGGCTGGAGTGCAGTGGCGCGATCTCGGCTCACTGCAAGCTCCGCCTCCCGGGTTCATGCCATTCTCCTGCCTCAGCCTCCTTAGTAGCTGGGACTACAGGCGCCCGCCACCACGCCTGGCTAATTTTTTTTTTTGCATTTTTAGTAGAGACGGGGTTTCACCGTGTTAGCCAGGGATGGTCTTGATCTCCTGACCTCATGATCGGCCCACCTTGGCCTCCCAAAGTGCTGGGATTACAGGCGTGAGCCACCGCGCCCGGCCCAAGGTCATTCTTTTAGCTTGTATTTATTGAATGCTTTATGTCATACACTGTTCTAGATGGTAGGGATGCAGGCGTGAACAAGATAGGCCAGGTCAATATGTTCGTGGAGTTTGCATTCTAGTATAAATAAATGTTTTATGTGATATTAGCTATGAAGAAAAAAGTAAAAGCAGAATGATATGAGGCGTTACACTAGGCCAGTTAGTGTGGAAAGGCCTCTGTGAGGAGGTAACATTTGAGCCAAGACTAAAATGAAGGCAGGAGGAGTCACATAATTATGTCAAAGGCAGCTCTCTATCCTAGGGCTGAGTGTGTAAAGCTCTCCTATTATTCTGTGATCATTACGGGAAATCCCCTATTTTGGTACATAATACATATCTGAAAATGAAAGAGCCAAAAAATACAATCAGCCGGGATTAGAATTTGAACAGAAGCTGCCTCTCTTCTACCCGGGTAACCTAAAAGTGGGGGATCGGAATGGTATAAGTCCCAGGAACTGTGGGGCAGGAAGTGAGTGTATCTATTGCTACGTAACAAGTTATTCCAAAACTCTGTGACTTAACAACAACAACAATCATTTATTATTTCTCGAAGTTTCCTTTGGTCAAGAATTTAGACAGGGCACAGTGGAGATGGCTTTTTCCTATTCCACAATGTCTAGGCCAGTGGTTCTCAACCATGGCCACTTATCCCCTCCCACCTCCCACCTGGGGACATTTGGCAACGTCTGGAGGTATTTTTGGTTTTACAACTTGGAAATTGCAACTGGTGTCTAGAGGGTTGAGGCCAGGAATGTTCCTTCACATCCTACGGTGCCCAGGAGACCCCTGCGCACACATAAAATGAAGAATTATCTGGTCCAAAATGTCAGTAGTGCAGAGGCTGAGAAATACTAGTCTAGGGCCTCTGCTGGAAGACTCGCAGAGTATGGGCTGGAATCATCCGAAGTCTTGTTCACTCACGTGTCTGGCAGTTGGTGCAGGGGTTGTCAGGAAGAACACCCACAGTGACCTCTTCATGTGACGCAGGCTTCCTCATAACAGGATGGCTGGGTTCCCAGGGCGGAAGTCGAGAGAAAAAAGAGCATGCACACATGCGTCAGGGCTGGAAGTCATACTGCCTTTTGTGACCTAGCCCGTCACTTTGTATTCTGTTGGTTGAAGAAGTCACAAAGTCCCACCCTGATTTAAGGAAAGGAGAAGTAGATTTCACATCTTTATGGGAAGTGGCAAGGTTCTTGAAGATCACACAGGACTTGAAATATTGCCATGGCCATTTTTAGAAAATACAGTCTACCACACCAAGCAAATCTCTTCCCATCAAAGAGGTTAAGGAGCCAACTCCCCTGGGTGACCCTCACTGTCCCTTGCACGTGCCTGTGCCAGCATAATGGCTTACTGCTGGTGTTCTGTTTGTCCCGTGTGGGAAGAAGGGACAATAAGAAAAGTGTGCGAATAAGGAGTAGGAGTGGGAAGGGGATGCTGGGTCAGTTAAAGTGATGGTGCCATCATGTCCTGGCTCTGCACAAGCAACAGTGTGTGGCTAAGCAGTGGGCTTGGGTTGGCAAGGAAGCATTCTGACTCCACCAAAGGTAGTTCTACCCAGCACCCTGATGGAGATCTATGAATGACAGAATTCAGTCTGCAAAAGCTAGCTTAGGTTTATTATGTGCTGAAGTGTGAGTCAAATGAAAACCCAGTGTCTGGAAGTCAAGGACTGTCTGTAGAACACCTCCTTGCTGTGATTATTTTAACCACGATCATCTTTCAGACTTAGGTATAGAGTGTACAGGGGGCTGTTAACTAAATATTTTGGCTTAAATATCGAGGGTTTTTTTTTGTTTGTTTGTTTTATTAAGAATAGCATTTATTAACATTTAGCATGCTTTGTTTTGTTTGTTGCTTCTACAAAATAGCCTATCTTGGAGAAATGCAAATTTTATATTTCATTTTTGTGTTTTAGATTTTGCTAAACATGTTGACTTTCTAGAAGCCATAAGTAGTGCTTTGAGGGCCCTTTTGCAAACAATGGCCTCCAAGAACATTTCCCAGGTAAGAGTTTTAAAATTTTTTGTATGAAACTTGTAAAGATTGTGTATTATGGAGGCAAAATTCATTACTTCACTATTTTAAAAAATACATATTTCTGTTACAAGAATAATATGTGATCTTTGTAAAAAATAAAACAAAAGTGATTAAAATAAAAAGTAATATCTTTCTGCTCCCTACCATCAGCAACACACAGGTGCTTTTAATTTAATTTTTTAAATTTTTTAATATATAGGCTTACTAGCAAAACAAGTGCTTTTTAATCAATACAACTTAATTGATAGATATGTTGTAAATAATTTCTCTATCATTGGTCTTTTTTTTAAATCTTTTTTTTTTTTGAGACAGAGTCTTCCTCTGTCGCCCAGGCTGGAGTGCAGTGGCATGATCTCAGCTCACTGCAACCTCTGCCTCCTGGGTTCAAGTGATTCTCGTGCCTCAGCCACCCAAGTAAATGGGATTACAGGCATGCGTCACCACAAAATTTTTGTATTTTTAGTAGAGACGGGGTTTTGCCGTGTGGCCAGGCTGGTCTTAAATGCCTGACCTCAAGTGATCCACCCACCTTGGCCTCCTAAAGTGCTGGGATGACAGGCGTGAACCACCGTACCCAGCTTTTTTTTTTTTTTTTTTTTTAACATTTCATTACAGACTTTGCAAGCATGCCCTCCTGACCCTTCACAGCAATCCATGTGCACTTCATCTCCCATAGGTGCCTTACCACTTTTGCTACTTTTTACTAAGGAGACTTTTAAACATTCCTAAAAGCAGAGATAATAATGTTGCTTTGTTTTTTGAGACGGGGTCTTACTGTGTTGCCCAGGCTAGTCTCCTGGATTCAATCCTCCCACCTCAGCCTCCCAAGTAGCTGGGATTACAGGTGTGCGCTACCATGTCCAAAGCAGAGATAACCCTATGAGCCTGCATGCACCGTCGCCAAGCCTCAGCAGGTTATTAGCGTCCTGTCATTCTTGTGACATGGTTTCATTCATCTCACTGGGTCCTTATTTTTGTTTCCTGGAGTATTTTAAAGCAAATCATATTAGACCCATCAATATTTTATTATGTAGTTCAGTATGCATGTCTGACAGAAAAATAAATTTTTAAAAATCTTAACCCCAGTACCATTACCCCAAGGCTCCAAATTAACGGATATTTCTTATTATCCTTTGGTTTGCACTCTGAGTTCAGTTTTCCCAGCTGCAGTCTAAGTTCAGTTTTCCCAGATTGCCTTAAAAATGTATTTTAACATGGCCAGGCACGGTGGCTCACACCTGTAATCCCAGCACTTTGGGAGGCTGAGGCGGGCAGATCACCTGAGGTCAGGAAGTCAAGACCAGCCTGGCCAACATGGTGAAACCCCGTCTCTACTAAAAATACAAAAGTTAGCTGGGCATGGTGGCGCACTCCTATAATCCCAGCTACTTGGGAGGCTGTGGCAGGAGAATCACTTGAACCTGGGAGGCGGAAGTTGCAGTGAGCCAAGATCATGCCACTGCACTCCAGCCTAGGCGATAGAGCAAGACTCCGTCTCAAAAAAAAAAAAAAAAAAAAACAGAAAAAGAAAAAAACGTCTTTTAACAGTTGGCTTGTTCAAATCAGGATCTAAGCAAGGTTCATGTGTTGCTTTTGGTTGATATTTTGGTCTCTTATTATCTCTAAAAAAAATTTTACTGAGATTTGATTCACATACCATGCAGTTTATCCATTTAAAGTATACAGTTCAGGCCAGCTGCAGTGGCTCACGCCTGTAATCCCAGCACTTTGGGAGGCCAAGGCCAGTGGACCACGTAAGGTCTGGAGTTCAAGATCAGCCTGGCCAACGTGGCGAAACCCTATCTCTACAAAAAATACAAAAATCAGCCGGGCATGGTGGCAGGCACCTGTAATCCCAGCTACTTGGAAGGCTGAGGCAGGGAGAATTGCTTGAACTGGGAGGTGGAGGTTGCAGTGAGCTGAGATTGCACCACTGCACTCCAGCCTGGGCGACAGAGGGAGACTCTGTCTCAAAAATAAGTAACTAAAGTGTACAATTCAGTGGTTTTAGTATATTCTCATATTCTTAAATCTCTTAGTCTATAGCATTTCCCTCACTCCCCTCCTTTCCCCATACACTTACCCATTGAAGAAACTCTCATTTTGTTCCGTAGCATTTTCTGCACTGGCAGATTTGGCCAACTCATCATGATGGCATCGTTCAGCATTCCTCTGTCCCCCATGTTTCCTGTGAGCCGGGAGCTAGGTCTAGAGCCTTAATTAGATCCAGGTCCAGATTATTTATTTATTTATTTTTTGTATTTATAATAAATAATCTAGACAGGTCCAGATTTTTTGGCAAGAATAATTTATAGTGCTTTATATATTTCCTATATTTATATCACAAATCATATGATATTATAAAATAGTGATGCTGAGATTAATTAGTGGGTTCACATAATGGTTTTATAACCAGTGATTGTGGTTGCCTGGCTCCATTATGTCATTAGTGGGTTGCAGAATAGAGATACCCTAATTTTGTCTTTTCTTTTTTTTTTTTTTACATTTATTAGCTATGATTTTTTTTTTTTTCAGAATAGCTATCCTAGCAATCTCTATAAGTGACCAGTGATTTTTTTTTTTTTAGTATCATTTTGAACTCAGGGTTTTTTATATATTTGTATTTCATTCCATTATAGTCATGCTTTTTGCTGCCAAATTCATCCCATCTTTGGATAGTAGGAGTCCCTTCAAATTGGCTCCTGTGCCTCTTTTACAAGAATTTTAGGTTTTTGATCACTTTTGCTTCCAGGCATAGGATGTCCCAGGTTCAATTTGTAATTTTCTTGCTTAAAACCTGGAATCTGGCCAGGCACAGTGGCTCATGCCTGTAATCCCAACACTTTAGGAGGCTGAGGTGGGCGGATCACTTGAGGTCAGGAGTTTGAGACCAGCCTGACCCACATGGCGAAACTCCGTCTCTACTGAAAATTCAAAAATTAGCTGGGTGTGGTGGCACGCGCCTGTAATCCCAGCTACTTGGGAGGCTGAGGCAGGAGAATCGCTTGAAGCCAGGAGGTGGAGGTTGCAGTGAGCCAAGATTGCACTGCACTCCAGCCTGGGTGACAAGAGTGTGACAAGAGTGAAACTCCGTCTCAAAAAAAAAAAAAAAAAACCCTGGAATTAGTTACTTCTCCAAGAAGCTCTGATTTCTTTAGTGGGGAAAGTGAATTGTGGAGTGCTTATTGCTATCATGTTGCCATTGTTTCTAGGTCTTTTTAGTGGAAATAGCTAGGAAATAGGCATTTTTTTAGGAGACAAAAATAGTAAGTTTATCCTGATAATTTCCAGTTTAAATAAAAAATGGTACAATATTTTTACTTAATTTTCGATTTTGTATTTCTATCTTTTTGTATCCCCCAAAAAGATACATTTGTACCCAAAAAGGTACATTGTACCCAAAAAGATACATTAGTGACATTAAAATTCTTATTTGCAGCTGGTCTGATGGTAGTGGGTTATCAGGACTTATTAACATTAGTGTCACTGAAGTTGGTATACAACCCCCCACGCTAAGTTTGACTGGCTTTAAAAATAATAATAAATAGGTCGGGCACGGTGGCTCACGCCTGTAATCCCAGCAGTTTTGGAGGCCGAGGTGGGCGGATCACAAGGTCAGGAGATCAAGACCATCCTGGCTAACACAGTGAAACCCCGTCTCTATTAAAAAATACAAAAAATTAGCCGGGTGTGGTGGCGGGTGCCTGTAGTTCTGGCTACTCAGGAGACTGAGGCAGAAGAATGGTGTGAACCCAGGAGGCGGAGCTTGCAGTGAGCCAAGATCGGGCCACTGTAATCCAGCCTGGGCGACAGAGCGATACTCCGTTTCAAAAATAATAATAATAATAAATAATTTAAAAATTAAAATTAGAGAAAAGAAAGAAAAATATTTTTCAAAAATTTTATTATTTGCTTTCTCCTACAGAATGTACTTTGTAGTAGTGACATTAAAAGACATTAAAATTATTTGCTATACAGTGATATTAAAATTGTTTGCTGTAGTAACATTAAAATTGTAGTGACATTAAAACTATTATTTGCTTTATCCTACGGAATGTACTTAATAGTATCAAAATAACAATGCTCTTGTTATTGCCAATAACACTATTTCTTTTTGCTTCTTTATATAATTTTTTTCTTAATGCTTTTAAAATTTTTTTATACTTTATTTTTATTTTTTAGTTTTTTAATAGAGATGAGGTCTTGCTATGTTGCCCAGCCTGGTCTTAAACTCCTGCTCTCGAGTGATCCTCTTGCCTCAGCTTTCCAAAGCTAAGAATTTTTTTGAAGAGCATAATTTGACCCTCAGTTTCTAAGAAGTAGGAATGGTAATGGGATGCATAGCCTGCCATGTGGCTGTTGGATGGACCAGAAAACCTTATACTCTAGGGCCTATAGGAATATCAAGTATTTTTATTGATTTCCCCTGGTATGTAAGCAGCAGCTTATGGGATCAGTGTGATGGTTAAGGAAAATTACTCAAAGCCCATGTTCAGGGCCAGGTGCAGTGGCTCATACTAATAATCCTAACACTTTGGGAGCCTGAGGCGGGAGGATTGCTTGAGCCCAAGAGTTCAAGAACAGCCTGGGCAACTTTGTGAGACTTCATGTCTACAAAAAATAAAAATACATTAGTCTAGTGTAGGGGCTCACACGAGTGATAAGTAGTGAAGCTAGGATTTGAACCCAGGGTTCAATCTCCAGATTCCAAGCCTTTGTGTCTGGCTCCAGATTCCAAGCCTTTCATCACTACACTGTGCTGCTGCTTATAGGAGATAGTCTCACTCTGTTGCCCAGGCTAGAGTTCAGTGGCACAATCTCAGCTCACTGCAACCTCTGTCTCCCAGGTTCAAGCGTTTCTTGTGCCTCAGCCTCCTGAGTAGCTGAGATTGCAGGCGTGAGCCACCGCGCCCAGCCTTAAACTGAAAATTATCCACTACATGGTAGAAGCACCATATAATGTAATGGTTTCTACAGTCTTTAATTATGATAATACAGATATCTCAAAGTAAGTTCTTACCTTGTATAGACTCAGCCAATTTTTTTAAAACCACACAATCCTATTTATACTTTCAAAGCCTTTTTCTTACCATTAATATTAAAAAGGAATTGGACTCTCTTTAGTGTGTGTACATCTGGAATGAAAGTCTTCATCAAATTAAATGGAGCCCCTTTGATATTAGATAACAGTGCCGACATGAGCAGGGTTCACCTTAGTTCAGAATTACCAGCTCTGTCTGGGAGAACTGGAATACATATTAATAGTAACTTACCTGCCAGGAGTTTATGTCACTCTTAAAATCCTGTAGCCTATAGAGGAGATTCCTGTCAGTCCGGTTTTCACATGCTGATAGAATTAATTGAGTTTAACATTATAAATACTGTCCTCTTCTCTTTTAACAGTGCATGACTCCTGATCAGCTGATGACATTATGCAAAGCAGGCATTCATAGTAGTAATGTCGGGGTTAGAGTGAATGTCGTTAGCATTTTAGGAATCACTGGCAGCGTCCTTGCCAAAGAAGATGGTACACTTGAAACTCTTAAGGTAAAACAATTTGCTTCTGACCTAACATGTTAAATAATTAGAAATGGGAGAAGAACTGTTGGTGTAGGATTTCTTAAAACTTGTGTGGACTTGAAGAGAAGAAGTCATATCAAGTTGCTTTATTGAGTCATATTATTAGAATATACCCTTTGGCTTGATCTAACTATGTGTATTAATTAGGTAAGTATTTGAAAAGTTGAGCCACATTTTACAATTTAACGTTATTCCAGAGGTACTTTTTTAAAAAAATAAATCTGTCTTTAGTGAAAGGGCAAATTCAGAATTTTTAAAGATGCCTTCTGCCTTTGCTGTTGCATCCAATGTATGCATGTTACATTCTCCTGCTGATGAATGAACAATCCACACCATTTTCCTTGCACACCAGGCAACATGCATTCTGAAAAATACAACACAGTTAATTAATTCTAATACCACTCCATAAATTTTAAGCAGCAACCCTGGTAGTGCCAATATACTAGCAATTCCCTCAGCATATTTGCTCTTACCACTTAGCACAGTTGCTCACAAACTGCACTGTTAGGAGTACAGCGTCACTAGTAATTAAAAGGACAGTCATAGTAACATTACACTTTGGTGTGCTAATAATTGCTGAAGTGTGAGACTAGTGGATAATAAACTCATTATTATAAAGTACCTCTTAACCTGCTAAGAACTTTACAATGATGACTGATGTTTTTAAGAATCTATTTTTGAAAAATGATACTTGCAAAGCTTTTTTTTTTTTCTTTTTTTTTCTGAGATGGAGTCTCAGTCACCCAGGCTGGAGTACAGTAGTGCAGTAGTGTGATCTCGGCTCACTGCAACCTCCGCCTCTGGGTTCAAGCAATTCTTCTGCCTCAGCCTCCCGAGTAGCTGGGATTACAGGTGCCCACTACCACACCTGGCTAATTTTTGTATTTTTAATAGAGATGGGGTTTCGCCATGTTGGCCAAGCTGGTCTTGAACTCCTGGGCTCAAGCGATCTACCTACTTCAGCATCCCAGAGTGCTGGGATTACAGGCATGAGCCACTGCACCCGGCAACAGTTATTTCTTAGTGTGTCTAATTCCTGGTCCATATTCATAATTTTACAGTTGCCTCAAAATTATCTGTTTACAGAGAGCTTGTTTACACTGCTGAAGTCCACATGTTATGTTTCCTGTGGGGTCTTCTCTTTCTCTCTTAATCTTGAACAGTTCCTCCCCGGCACCACGTGGTTATTCTCACCTCCTGGATCAGTTGTCCAATATAGTGTCCAAAACCTTCTGGATTTGTCTGATTGCTACCTTGTGGTGGTAAATTTGTTTTTTTATCCTTGTATTTCCTACAAACTGACAGTTAGATCTACAGACTAGATTCGATTCAGATCAGTCCTATTTTACGTTTTTTAGAGATGAGGTCTTGCTCCATTGCCGAGGCTGGTCTTGAACTCCTGGGCTCGAGCGACCCTCCCGCCTTAGCCTCACAAAGTTCTGAACTTACAGGTGTGAGCCACTTGCAACTGGCCTAAAGTGTTTTTCTTATGCTTTTAAAAGCAGATTTTTTGTTGTTGTCGTTGTTGTTACAGATAATATTTCTATGCATCTTGACATCATGGAGAAATCCTTTTTGAGAGAGGTAGAGGGGAAAATTTAGTGATTTCCAAAATCATACATCATTTATGGATTTTAATTCACTTTATTTATGAATATAAACTATAATATGTTTAATTTATCTTGCTTATACTTGGTATGTTTATAAGTATTTAAGTCTAATCTCTTGAAGTTTTAATTTTTCCCTGGCATTTGTATATAAAATAGTATGCATGAGTTATTGCCACATTCAAAGTTGGTACTTGTTTTGGAGACTGGTGTTAGTCATACTAAATGTGTTTTGTTGTTTCCAGAACATTGGGTGCTTTCTGCTTGAAGTTACCACCAAAGATCCTTCCCTTGTGGTAGCAGGAGAAGCTTTGGATGCCCTCTTTGATGTTTTTGCAGATGGTAAAGAAGCCGAAAGAGCCTCGATTCAAATTAAATTATTATCTGCTCTGAAAGAATTCCAGCCGGTCTTTAAAATGAAGGTTTGTAGCCATTTAACTTATAAATACATAAGTCTGAACATTCTGTGGGGACAAGGGTGTGTGTAGTTACCGCTGTGCAACTCAGAAGCATGTGCATGACGAATCCCCATATGTAGCACAGCATCCCCAGTACTTTGTAAAATGTTCGTTGACTGAGTCATAGCTCAACAGTGTGACTACTGAATCATTGAAACTGAAGCTAAAATGGTATCTGACAAGTTCTTCTTTTTTTAAGTTTAGTAATTTTGACAATGCTTCATATATGTCAGTATTATACTCTGTATTTTGCAAAGCACTTTCATACACATTTTGCATTTATTTAATTTTACTTTTTTTTGTTTTTTTGAGACAGAATCTCACTCTGTCGCCCATGCTGGAGTGCAGTGGTGCGATCTTGGCTCACTGCGACCTCCCCTTCCCCAGTTCAAGTGATTCTTGTGCCTCAGCCTCCCAAGTAGCTGGGATTACAGGTGTCCACCACATCACCCAAATAATTTTTGTATTTTTAGTAGAAACGGGGATTCGCCTTGTCATCCAGGCTGGTCTCGAACTCCCAACCTCAGGTGATCTGCCCACCTTGGCCTCCCAAAGTGCTGGGATTACAGGTGTGAGCCACTGTGCCCAGCCATATTGTTCTTAAAGGTTACAGTCCTTTAAATTTCTGGATAAAGAGCTTGCAAGATAAGAAAAAAATATCCCCTATTTCCCTGCAGCTTCAAGGAAAGCAGATATATTAATAGTTAGAGTCATCAAACTCTGCAGAAGCAGGTGCTTAAAAAAGGTTAAACAGTGAACTGGGAAAATAACCCCTGACTTCTGAAAGGTCTTTGTTCTGATTGATTTTCCTACTCAGTATGTATTGCTGTGGTAATAACATTTGTTTTTCTTTTATCAAAGGTATAAAGCTCTAATGAGATTTCTTCCTAGCCAGAGGCTAGCCTGTAGTTATTTATGTGAAACTCTTTTTTTTGCTAAATGAAGCCACAATTTGTGTTAAAGGCTATTCAGTGTATATTTAGCTGCAAAATGCATTTATGTACAATCAAGAACTTCTCTTGAGCAGTGTTTCTCAAAAGTGCCCTCCTTGTATCAGCAGCATCAGCCCTTGCCTGATAACTTATTCAAAATGCAGGTCCTCGGCCCCAACTCCTGACCTACTGAGTCATAGACTCTGTGGATGGGCCCACCAGTCTATTTTTCAACAAGCCTTCCAGATGATACCGTTGCACACTAAAACCTGAGAGCCACTGCTCTAGACTAGAGGTGAGATCAAACTCAGATTCCATACAATTGATATAAAAAACCACAGGCCAGGCGCAGTGGCTCACACCTGTAATCCCAGCACTTTGGGAGCCCCAGGTGGGAGGATCACTCGAGTCCAGGATTTCAAGACCAGCCTGGGAAACATAGCAAGAACTTGTCTCTACAAAAAAATTTTTTTAAGTTAGCCATTAAGTGGTGGCTCATGCCTGTCATCCCAGCTACTCAGGAAGCTGAGCAGGAGGATCGTGTGAGTGCAGGAGTTGGAGGCTACAGTGAGCTCAGTGGATTGCAGCACTGCACTCCAGCCTAGGCGATGAAGCAAGACCCATCTCTATTAAAAACAAAAAACAAGCAAACAAACAAAACCAGCGCTGGGCATGGTGGCTCACACCAGTAATCCCAGCACTATGGAAGGCCAAGGTGGTAGGATCACTTGAGCCCACGAGTTCAAGACCAGCCTGGGCAACATAGTGAGACCCCACCTCTACTAAAAATTTAAAAAAATTACTCCAGCATGGTAGTGCGCTGCTTGTAGTCCTAGCTACTGTGGTGGCAGAGGCAGGAGGATCACTTGCGTCCGGGAGGTCGAGGCTGCAGTGACCCATGACTGCAGCACGGCTCTCTGGCCTGGGCGACAGAGAGAGACCCTGTTCCAAAAACAAAAAAACCACAACACTACAGACTAACCTCTGGCTAACAAAGGAATTTTTTTTTTAAGGTGGGGTCTCACTGTGTTGCCCAGGCTAGTCTTGAACTCCTGGACTCAAGCAAACCTCCTGCCTCGGCCTCCCAAACTGCTGGGATTACAGGCATGAGTATGCACCCAGCCTAACAAAGGAATTTCATTAAGGCTTTATACCTTTGAGAGAAGAAAAACAATTAAGTATTATTACCATAGCAATGCATACTAACTAGGAAAATCAATCTGAACAGCAGACCTTTCAGAGGTTAGGGGTTATTTTCCCAATTCATGGTTTACATAATTCCTTTCTATAGTTTATATAACTCCTACCACCTGCCATTCAGTCACCTTTGTAACTATCATTTTTAATAATGCACATTCTCAGTTTATTCTTTACTTACCGAGTTCCATTTACCTTGGAAGTAAAAACATTTTTTCCAAATTCTTACAGCTATCTGCTTCAGCAAATGGTTAAATACACCCTAAATTAAATACTTTATTTAAATGAATTAATCATATCTACCAAGTCATATATGATTTTTTGTTTTTTGTTTGCAGATACGTAAAGAAGGGAGAGGTAACTATAGCACAGATCAGCTGTGTGTTCTTGACAATGTGAAAATGAATTTGCGAAGATTTATTGCTTATCAAGAAACTGTTGAGAAAAGACTGACTTCTTAAACAATCCAAAAAAGAAACCAGTTCTTCCCCCAAAGTATTCAATGCTTAGAATACTAAAAGGTTTTCTTTGAATGTATATGTTTCTGAAAGTCATTTTTTAATGATTACATTCTGTACATTCTGTAAAAACTTCAAAACCTGGCCAGGCATGGTGGCTCACGCCTATAATCCCAGCACCTTGGGAGACCGAGGCGGGTGGATCACTTGAGGTCAGGAGTTTGAGGCCAGCCTGGCCAACATGGTGAAACCGCATGCATAAGCATGGTGGCACATGCCTGTGATCCCAGCTACTCGGGAGGCTGAGGGAGGAGAGTCGGTTGAACCTGGGAGACAGAGGTTGCAGTGAGCTGAGATCACGCTACTGCACTCCAGCCTGGGTGACAGAGGGAGACCCTGTCTCCAAAAAAAAAAAAAAAAAAAAACTTCAAAACCTGTCAGAAACTCTGTTGCTGGTTTTTTTGTGTGTGTGTTTTGTTTGTTTGTTTTGTTTTGTTGTTTTTTTCTTTTTTGAGATGGAGTCTCACTGCTGCCCAGGCTGTATTACAGTGCTGCGATCTTGGCTTACTGCAACCTCTGCCATTCCAGGTTCAAGCGATTCTCATGCCTCAGCCTCCTGAGTAGCTGGAATTACAGGCACCCACCACCACACCTTGTTTTTGTTTTTGGTTTTTTGGTTTGTTTTTTTTTTTCAGTAGAGACGGGTTTCACCGTGTTGGCCAGGCTGGTCTCAAATTCCTGACCTCAAGTGATCCGCCTGCCCTGGCCTCCCAAAGTGCTGGGATTACAGGCATGAGCCACCGTGCCTGGCCAGAAACTCTTTTTTAAGTGATGAGATCTGTGTGGCATTTCTAGCGCTCTCTAAATTATGTCTCTGGCATATTTTAATCACTGGAAACTCAAAGAGTGGAAGAGTGGAAGTGCGAAGGAATCTCAGGTAGCTCTTAACTAATTCGCCAGCAGTGAAGAAACTTCAACCAATCATGTTTTCCTTGAATTTTGCAAAGAAAGAAAATCCAAAGCATTGCTTGGATGTTCTTTTAAGGCATTTTATATCAGTTGAACCTTAAACTGAAATATGAAGACAAGCTTTATAAACTAGTTTTTTGATATGAAGTATATCAATTATGTTTGCCTTTTGTGAAGAAGTAAATGAGTTGAATTTCTATTTCACTTACTAGATTATACTAATGAGCTAATGGGGTCATTGCCATCCTCCCTACTCATGACTTTGATGAGTTATTGCTGTAACATCACTTCTTGATTTAATTTGATATGGAATCAGAATTGGGAGAAGGTATTTTTAAATAAACAACTTTTTAATGGAAAGTTTTGTGTCTTACAAAATCTTTTTTAAGATACCAAATAAAGGGTTATTAGTAGAAAATGAGATGATACTATTCGTGGATATTTGTTTGCTAATGCATATTGCTTGGAATATATGTGAGACATTAAAAAAATGACAGCACGACTTTGCAGCATTACCTCTCAGTGTCTTCGAAGTACTAGGTGACAGCTGGGGCTCGAGGGAGTTTCCCTGTGCATCATTGTCTCGGCTGGGCCTCTGAACCGGCTTCATTGTCCATCCGTTTGCCTGATGAGAAGGGAAATTTGAAAATTTCTGTACAGTTGATCTCAGTTGCCCTGACAAAAGGCCCAATCCCCAGTACAGGACTTAATTTTAATTCACTGCTTCCACAGCAGCACAAAATGAGCTAGTAGTGTTAGATTTCATCTGCACTGTGATGTATTTTACAGTTTTCACCTATATGATATAGACTGTTGGGAAACCAAGATTGTTTCCCAGCCCTAAGAGTTCCTAGCCCATGGCACCAAGTAAAATAACCCAAATTGTGTATATGGTGGGAAAACAGAAATGTATACCATATACAACACCTCGCTTTATTATGGTCCTTGCTCATGAATTTTAAGGTATATATGTATGTTTAGTGATCATTTCAGCTAAATGATTGGCCCAAGCATGTCTCCTTGGAGAACGACTCTTCCAAAAAAGAAAGTATTAGAGTTCTCTCTGCCTCAATTATTTATAAAATATAATTATTTTCAAGGAGAAAAAAGTTCCTCATTCTGTTTATTCTTCCCCACAGTTTCTGACCTATAAACAATATCCAGGATATTTAGCACAGGACCTAGTATATAGTCGACTCTTCATAAATATTTGTTGAGTAAATAAATGCTGGTGATTTTCTCGTTGTTTTGTGTGTGATTTTCTGTTTTACTAAGCAAGCTCTAAAGCAGCTGTTGAATGCAGAATCATCCTTAAACACGGTAGAAGATGAGATGACACTGAAGATGTGCCATCCTAAAAATCTCTTAGATTCTGAGGCATGGATAATTGGGTCTGGATTTCTCCCATTCAACTTTACCACTCTAACGACACAAAAGAAGGGAAAACAACTCATAAATACAGCATACAGTTTTAACTATTTACATAATAACTCAATAGAGCATGCAAGTATTATTCATGGCACAGGATAATGGAGAGCTTTTTCTGTATGACCATAGGGGAAAAAAAGTCTGCTTTAAAATATACTTATTTGAAAATCACCCAGAATAGCCCGTTAGAAATACACACTGGAGGCCAAGCATTTTGGGAGGTCGAGGTGGGCAGATCACTTAAGGTGAGGAATTTGAGACCAGCCTGGCCAACATAGTGAAATCCCATCTCTACAAAAATACAAAAACTAGCTGGGTGTGGTAGCATGCACCTGCAATCCCAGCTACTTGGGAGGCTGAGGCAGGAGAAACTCAAACCTGGGAGGTGGAGGTTGCAGTGAGCCAAGATTCCACCACTGCACTCCAGCCTGGGCAACAGAGCAAGACTCCACCTCAAAAAAAAAATAATTAGCCGGGTGTGATGGCCCATACCTGTAATCCCAGCTACTCAGGAGGCTGAGGCATGAGAATCACTTGGATCCAGGAGGTGAAGGTTGCAATAAGCCAAGATTGCACCAGTGCACTTTAGCCTGGGCAACAGAGTGAGCTCTGTTAAAAAAAAGAAAGAAATATACACTGTTCAGGCATAGTGGCTCACACCTGTAATCCCAGCACTTCGGGAGTCCAAGACGGGTGAATCACTTGAGCTCTGGAGTTTGAGACCAGCCTGGGCAACATAGGGAAGCTTTGTCTCTGCTAAACATAAAAAAAATTAGCTGAGCTTGGTGGCGCACACCTGTAGTTTCAGCTACTTGGGAGGCTAAGGCAGGAGGATGGCTTGAGCCTAGGAGATGGAGGCTGTAGTGAATCATGATTCCATCCTAAGCAACAGTGCAAAACCTTTCTTAAAAAAAAAAAAAAAGGTTGGGGGCTGGGCGCAGTAGCTCACACTTGTAATCCCAGCACTTTAGAAGGCCAAGATGGGCAGATCACTAGAGCCCAGGAGTTCGAGACCAGCCTGGCCAACATGGCAAAACCCTGTCTCTACTAAAAATACAAAAATTAGCCGGATGTGGTGGCATGCCCCTGTAGTCCCAGCTACTGGGAAGCTGAGGCAGGACAATCGCTTGAACATGGGAGGCGGAAGTTGCAGTGAACTCAGATCACGCCACTGCACTCCAGTCTGGGCGGTAAGACTCTGTCTCAAAAAAAAAGGGGAGCTGGCCGGGCGTGAAGGCTCACACCTGTAATCCCAGGACTTTGGGAGGGCGAGGTGGGTGGATCATGAGGTCAGGAGATCAAGACCATCCTGACTAACACAGTGAAACCCTGTCTCTACTAAAAATACAAAAAAAAAAAAAAAAAAAAAATTAGCCAGGTGTGGTGGCAGGCACCTGTAGTCCCAGCTACTTGGGAGGCTGAGGCAGGAGAATGGCATGAGCCTGGGGGGCGGAGCTTGCAGTGAGCCGAGACTGTGCCACTGCACTCCAGCCTGGGCGACAGAGCGAGACTCCGTCTCAAAAAAAAAAAGGTGGGGAGCTGACCTGGGTGTGTTTGGCTGTGCATATGCGTCATGCAACCTGATTTTAAACTTACTGTGTATAAAGCTAAAGCAATCAAATCATATGGTTTTAGCATAAGTAAAGACATACAGATCAATGGAACAAAATTGAGTCCAGAAATAGACCCATAATTATATGATCAATTGATTTTCCACTAAGGTGCCAAGTTAACTTGATGGAGAAACAATAGTCTTTTCAGTAAATGGTGCTAGAATAACGAGTATCTATATGGAAAAAGACATACTCAAGAGTCAAAGTTTGATAAATTATTATTTATTTTTTACTAATTCATCAACTACAGTCTTGGGTGCAGCTTGCTTTGTTTTTCCTCTAAGTGCGTGATTGGGGAGAATGCAGTGATAATTAGTAGTTTGGTGCCCATGCCCTGATTCATACTAGACACCAGCAGTTTCATCCCATCACTTTAGTGTCCACAGCCCCAGTGTGCCACCACAGCAAAAAAAGCCAAGTCGCATTTAGTATTGTGAAAACAGTATTGACCTCATGACCCCCCCCCCCGAAAAGGATCTGTGGAACACACTTTGAGAACTACTGGTCTAGAAAGAGCTAGAAAGAGAAAATAAGGAGGATTGAGACGAAGTTGTGAAGAAATCTAGTAAGTGCTGGCCTGGTTGGAGAATGAACCTGAAAAGAAACACAGAAGGAGTCCCCTGAGATGTAGAAGGAACCAGAAGGCTGAGTGCAGTGGCTCACACCAGTACCCCTAGCACTTTGGGAGGCCTAGGTAGGAGGACCACTTGAAGCCAGGAGTTTGAGACCAGCCTGGGCAACAAAGCAAGACCCCGCCTCTACATTTTATACATTTTATTGATTGATTGATTAGACAGAGTTTCTCTCTTGTTCCCCAGGCTGGAGTACAATGGCATGATCTCAGCTCACTGCAACCTCCGCCTCCCAGGTTCAAGCGATTCTCCTGCCTCAGCCCCCTGAGTAGCTGGGACTATAGGCATGTGCCACCATGCCTGGCTCATTTTTGTATTTTTAGTGGAGATGGGGTTTCACCATGTTTGCCAGGCTGGTCTCGAACTCCCGACCTCAAGTGATCCACCTGCCTCTGCTTCCCAAGGTGCTGGGATTACAGGTGTCCCACAGCCACAGATCCTGGCCTCATTTTATACATTCTAAAAGAAAAAAAAAAAAAACAGAAGAGTGCAGTCAAGAAGTAAGGGAGTGGCCAGGCACAGTGGCTCATGCCTGTAATTCCAGCACTTTGGGAGGCCAGGGCCGGTGATCACTTGAGGCTAGAAGTTCAAGACCAGCCTGGCCAACATGGTGAAACCCCGTCTTTACCAAAAATACAAAAAATTAGCCTGGTGTGGTGGCGCACGTCTGCAGTCCCAGCTACTTGGGAGGCTGAGGCACGAAAATTGCTTGAACATGGGAGGCAGAGGTTGCAGTGAGCTGAGATTGTGCCATTGCACTCCAGCCTGGGCAACAGAGTGAGACCCTGTCTTAAGAAAAAAAAATTTAAAAAGAAGTAAGGGAGCGGCTTCAGAAGGAAGAAGGGGCCATGAGCATGGATGCAGTTGAGAGATGCAAGGAGGGATGAGGGATGTCTCTTGGTTTCGAGGCATGGATATCACTGGGGATCTTAGCAGGGGATGTTTCCATGGTGAGCAGGTCAGAAGTCAGGTTGGAGGGAGTTGGGGGAGTGTGAGATGGGAGGAAATGGAGCCGGTGAAGTCAAAGCAGTCTTCAGAGGAACGTATGAAGGAGAAAACAAAGAGACAGCCACAGCTGAAGGAAGGAGTCACAATTGCTAATGTCCTCCTCCTGCATAAATGGATGAACTGGTGATGCAGAGGATTTGGAAGAGGGAGCAAAGGAAAATGCTAAGATGACGCTTGGGTTTCCCACTTAGGGAATGGACTGAATAGTGGTCTATTGAGATGGAAAACAAGGCCTAAGGTAGGTAGAACACACCTGTAGTTTGAGGTGAGAAAGCATTTTCCTACGAAATCTTAATTTCCTTTTTAAGGAAGTTTTTGGGTTCTTTACTCCCAAACCTCAAAGCCTGCCTACTGCTTCTGTTGGTTTACACACACACGTACACAATCAAGAGCTTCAAAATCTTACATGGTCTTGTTCTGTTGCCCAGGCTAGAGTGCAGTGGCATGAACATGGACCACTGCAGCCTCAACCTCCTGGACTCAGGCAATCCTCCAACATCAGCCTCCCAAGTAGCCGGGACCACAGGCACATGCCACCATGCCCAGATCATTTTTTTTTTTAATTTTTGTAGAGACGGGGTCTTGCTATGTTGCCCAGGCTGGTCTCAAACTCTGGGGCTCAAGTGATCCGCCCACCTCCACCTCCCAAAGTGCTGGGAGTACGGACATGAGCCACTGTGTCTAACAAGGTCTTAATTTTAATGCACTTTTTATCTTTTTTTTTTTTTTTTTTTTGAGATGGAGTCTCACTCTGTCACCCAGGTTGGAGTGCCATGGCGTGATCTCAGCTCACTACACCCTCCTCCTCTGGGGTTCAAGTGAGTCTCCTGCCTCAGCCTCCAGAGCAGCTGGGAATACAGGCACGCACCACTGCACCTGGCTAATTTTTGTATTTTTTAGTAGAGACGGGGTTTCACCATGTTGGCCAGGCTGGTCTTGAACTCCTGACCTCAAGTGATCCACCTGCCTCAGCCTCCCAAAGTGCTGGGATTACAGGCGTGAGCCACCACACCTGGCCTAAAGGTCTTTTTATCTTGTCCCTTTTGTGAATTAAAAGTACATATTAATTTATCTAAGAACAAAAAAAGTTACGTCTTCATATCATGGAAGATTCTCAATTTTTGCTCATCAGAGAAATGTATATCTTTAATTGGGACTATTTTGGTCCACTTAATTGAGCATTTTCTTCTTTTAGTGAACAGAATTAACTTGAGTCATTTTATTCTATGCAGTGAGAAATTATAAACAAGTGGTTTTGAGAGTTTGCTTAAATGTATTTTTATCCCTCCTGCTCTTATATAGGAGTCCTAATTATGAGAACACAGTTGCCCTAAAATTTTTACATTTTCAGCAATGTATGCTTGCCCATGAAAAGAACACATTCTTTTTGAATAAAGAATCTACTATCTTCAATTTCTTCCATTTAGTAAGAGCAAAACCAGGGCCAGGTGCAGTGGTCACGCCTATAATCCCAGCACTTTGGGAGGCTGAGGCAGACGGGTTCCTTGAGCTCAGGAGTTTGAGACCAGCCTGGGCAACATAGCGAGTCCTCATTTCAAAAAAAAAAAGAGAGTGAAACCAGGAAAAACACTTTTCTACTCTCATTTGTGGGAACCAATATCGCGAGTTTATTTAACATAAAGATAATTAGTTATTCAAGTAAAATAAGAAGAAGTTTTTTTTTATTTTGTTTTGAGATGGAATTTCGCTCTTGTTGCTCAGGCTGGTGTGCAATGGCACAATCTCGGCTTACTGCAACCTCTGCTTCCCAGGTTCAAGTGATTCTCGTGCCTCAAACTCCCAAGTAGCTGGGATTACAGGTGCCCGCTACCACTCCTGGCTAATTTTTGTATTTTTACTAGAGACAGGGTTTCACCATCTTGGCCAGGCTGGTCTCGAACTCCTGACCTCAGGTGATCTGCCCACCTCAGCCTCCCAAAGTGCTGAGATTACAGGTGTAAGCCACCGCACCTGGCCTGAAATGAAGATATTTTTGAATGAATGTTCTTGCATTAAAGGAATAATGGCCAGGCGTGGTGGCTTGCACCTGTGATTCCAGCTGCTCAGGAGGCCACGGCAGGAGGATTGCATGAGCCTGGGAGTTTGAGGCTGCGGTGAAAATACATAGATAAATAAAGGAATAATGGATTTGCTTTTAGGCCCATCAGATTTTAAATTACATATAGTGGAACAGGTACAGAACATGGAGCTGAAGTGATTTTCACAAAGCTGTTTCAAATAATCACCTTCATTTTTTTTCATTTTTTAAAAGAATTTTAAATAAAAAAGAAATAGAGACAGGGTCTCCCTTTGTTGTCCAGGCTGGTCTCAAACTCCTGGGCTCAGGCAATCCACCTGCCTCAGCCTCCCAAAGTGCTGGGATTACAGCGATGAGCCACCATGTCTAGCCTCCTTTTTTCTTTCAAAGATGAATGTACAAAAACGGAAATTAAGTTTAAAATCATTAGAGTCTTTAAAACATTACACACTGCAATGAAATAGACAACTGCATATTGCACACTTTCATGAAAATTTGCACATAAATTTAAAGCATTTCACAATTTGACAAAATATTCTCATAAACTACCAAAAAAGCCTTAAAGCTATATGAAAGATATGGAAATGTTCACTTTTGATCTGTCACTTTCACCTTAAATAATAAGGTAAAATAAGTTCTGAAAATTTCAGATGACATTTTCCATTGCTGTATTGAAAGAAGATATACTTCCTATTTTCTTAAAGTTGTGTTTAATAAAACAGGTAATACCCATGCATGATAAACAGTTAAAACAATATTAGAAGAGAATTCTTTTTTTGTTTGTTTGTTTGAGACAGAGTCTCGCTCTTGTTGCCCAGGCTGGAGTGCAATGGCGCGAACTCAGCTCACTGCAACCTCAGCCTCCTGGGTTCAAGCGATTCTCCTGCCTCAGCCTCCCAAGTAGCTCGGATTACAGGCACCTGCCACCATGCCCAGCTAATTTTTTGTATTTTTAGTAGAGATGGGATTTCACCATGTTGCTCAGGCTGGTCTCAAACTCCTGATGCCAGGTGATCCACCCACCTCAGCCTCCCAAAGTGCTGGGATTACAGGCATGAGCCACCACGCCCGGCCTAGAAGATAATTCTTGAAAAGTATTTTGGGTTGGGCATGGTGGCTTACATCTGTAATCCCAGGACTTTGGAAGGCCAAGGTGGGAGGATAGCTTGAGACTAGAAGTTTGAGGCCACCTGGCCAACACAGCAAGACCCTATTTCTATTTTTTTTTTTTTAAAGAAAAGTTTTGTTTTGTTTTGTTGAGACAGGGTCTGGCTCTGTCACCTAGGCTGGAGTGCAGTGGTGTGATCTTGGCTCACTGTAACCTCTGGCTTAAACTAACCTCCCACCTCAGCCTCCCAAGTTGCTGGAACCACAGGCACGTGCCACCATGCCCGGCTAATTTTTGTACTTTTTTGTAGAGACAAGGTCTCACTATGTTGCCCAGGCTGGTCTCAAACTCCTGAGCTCAAGCAATCCACCTGCCTCAGCCTCCCAAAGTGCTGGGATTACAGGCACGAGCCACTGCACCCGGCCTAGATTTCTTCTCTTTACATTTGGAAAGAAAAATAAGAACCAGAAACCTGAGTATCCCTCTTGCATTCTGGATTTTCTCCTTGCTTTAAAGAGGGCTTTAGAAAGAATGGGTCACTGGGTATCTGGAGGCCACACGTGATTCCGTGCTCACCACGCTGGTTCCCTGCAGGTGCTGGAAGGTGAGAAAGTCCCTGTCCCTTCCTGCCTTCCAAGACTCACTGACAAGAATGAGAAGCCTGAGAAATCTCTGTGGTATGTGGGATGACACCGCCCAATGAATTCTGAAAGAAACAGGAGAAAAGAGGCACTAAAGCCTATGTAGAAGCTTGAGGAAGAGAATGTGGCCTGTGCAGTTGGAGTCCCGCCTTCCTGCCCTCATCCTGACATTCTGGTGACACCAGCCTGACTTCCAGCTGCCACCCACTGTATTTCCCTGCCTGAGGACTTCCTTGAGCCCCCAGGTCCTCCTTTGCCACAGAATGACAGGTCAGAAGTGCAGGGAGTGGACTAACCTGCCCCAATCCCTCCATGGATGACTGACAGGTGGAGGTGCACAAAGGTCCCACACTCCTGCCCCTTAGGCAGGAGGATCAGATGCGCATTCTACATTGGCTCCCAGAGTTCTCTAGCAGATTAGGTTTTAGAGGCTCCCAGGGGACCCTGCTGGAAAACACACCCACTGTTGCTCCCATCCCTTCCCTACTGGAATTCCCCTCTGCCCACTGTGTTTCTTGGGATTACCTACCTCCCACACGACTGGTTGCACTTGAAACCTTGGGAGAACTCAAGGCAACGCAAGACATATTTGAGTTATATAGATAGACAGATAGAGGGAGAGAGTGTGTGTTTTGTTCTGTTTTTTGTTTTTGTTTGTTTGTTTGTTTTGTTTTGTTTTGTTTTTAGTGCTGAAGTCTCCCTCTCACCCAGGCTGGAGTGCAGTGGTGCAATCATAGCTCACTGCAGCCTCAAAAACTCCCAGGCTCAAGAGAACCTCCTGCCTCAGCCTCCAAGTAGATGGGACTATGGGTGCCCACAGCCACTCCTGGCAATGTTTTAAAATTTTTTAATTTTAATTTTTTTTTTTTTTGAGACAGAGTCTTGCTCTGTCACCAGGCTGGAGTGCAGTGGCACAATCTTGGCTCACTGCAACCTTCCCCTTCTGGGTCCAAGCAATTCTCCTGCCTCAGCCTCCTGAGTAGCTGGGACTACAGGCATGTGCCACCATTCCCAGCTAATTTTTGTATTTTTAGTAGAGATGGGGTTTCACCATGTTGGCCAGGCTGGTCTTGAACTCCTAGCCTGAAATGATCCACCCACTTTGGCCTCCCAAAGTGCTGAAATTACAGGCATAAGCCACGATGCCCAGCTTTTAAGTTATATTCAAGTTGTTCTTTGAAGTAGGGGAAATGTCTTTCTGTGTGTGTCTAAGATATGCAAGTTCATAAATTTACATTCTGTGTGTGTAAGAGTTCTATTCATTAGTCACACCTGTGGAGTAGTGCTTGTCAATGTGTAGGGCAATTATATTAGATTTCTTGCCTTAGGATAGAAGATAATTCTCCTGGCCAGGTGCAGTGGCTCACACCTGTAATCCCAACACTTTGGGAGGCTGAGACAGGCAGATCACCTGAGGTTAGAAGTTTGAGACCAGCCTGGCCAACAGGGTGAAACCCCATCTCTACTAAAAATACAAAAATTAGCCAGGTGTGGAGTGCGCACCTGTAATCCCAGCTTCTAGGGAGGCTGAGGCAGAAGAATTGCTTGAACCTGGAAGGTGGAGGTTGCAGTGAGCTGAGATCCCACCACTGCACTCCAGCCTGGGTAACGGAGTGAGACTTCATCTCAAAAAAAAAAAAAAAAAATTAGCCGAGCATGATGGCATGTACCTGCCGTCCCAGCTACTCAGGAGGCTGAGGCATGAGAATCGCTTGAACCCAGTACGTGGAGGTTGCAGTGAGCCAAGATCACATCACTGCACTCTAGCCTGGGCAACAACAAGAGAGCAAGACTCTGTCTTAAAAAAAAAAAATCTAGACTCTGTCTAAAGAAAGAAAAATCTAGACTCTAAAATATATATATGTGTATATATATGTATATATGTATGTGTGTGTGTGTATATATATACATATATGTGTGTGTATATATATACACATATATATATATAAAAAAACAAAACTATAGTAACCAAAGCAGCATGGTACTGACATATAAAAATAGACACATAGACCAATGGAACAGATTAGAGAACCCAGAAATTAATCCACTTATCTACAGCCAACTGATTTTTGGCAAAGGTACCAAGAATACTCACTGGGGAAAGAACAGTCTCTTCAATCAGTCGTGCTAAGAAAACTGAAGATCCACATGCAGAAGAATGAAACTAGACCCTCACCTCTTATTCTATACAAAAATTAACTCAAAATGGATCAAAGAACTAAATGTAAGACTGGAACCTATAAAACTACCAGAAGAAAATATATAGACAGGAAATGCTTCAGGACATTGTCTGTGAAAAGATTTTATGAATAAGACCTCAAAAGCACAGGCAGCAGGAGACTGAGGCTGCAGCGAGCCTTTTGTACTACTGCACTCCAGCCTGGGCAACACAGCAAGACCCTGTCAAAAAAAAAAAAAAAAAAAAGCATAGGCAGCAAAAATAAGTAAATGGGATTATATCAAACTCAAAAGCCTCTGAACAGCAAAGGAAACAATCAACAGAGTGAAGAGACAACCAACAGATTGGGAGAAAATATTTGCAAACTACTCATCCAGTAGGGGATGAATATCTAGAATATACAAGAAACCCAAACATCTCAACAGCAAAAAAAAAAAAAAAAAAAAAAAATTTCCAATCTAAAAAATGGACAAACGAGGGCCAGGCACGGTGGCTCACACCTGTAATCCCAGCACTTTGGGAGGTTGAGGCAGGCAGATCACCTGAGGTCGGGAGTTCACAACCAGCCTGTCCAACATGGTAAAACCCTGTCTCTACTAAAAAATACGAGTAGCCTGGTGTGGTGGTGGGTGCCTGTCGTCCCAGCTACTTGGGAAGCTGAGGCAGAAGAATCGCTTGACCCTGGAAGATGGAGATTGCAGTGAGCTGAGATTGCGCCATTGCACTCCAGCCCGGGTGACAAGAGCAAAACTCCATCTCGAAAGAAAAAAAAAAAAAAGGACAAATGATCTCAAAAGAAGACATTCAAATGGCCAACAAATATAGGAGAAAAATATTCAAAATCATTAATCGTCAGGGAAATGCAAATCAAAACCGTAATGAGGCATCATTTCACCCCAGCTAGGATGGCTATTACCAAAAAGACAAAAAAATAATAAATGCTGGTGAGGATCTGGAGAAAAGCGAACTCATGCAGTGTTAGTAGGAATGCAAACCAGTACTGCCACTAAGGAGAATAGTTGGGAGGTTCCTGAAAGAACTAAAAATACAACTACCATATGATCCAGCCATCCCACTACTGGATATTTATTAAAAGGAAAGGAAATCAGTATATCAAAAAGATATCTTGGCTGGGCACTGTTGCTCATGCCTGTAATCCCACCACTTTGGGAGGCCGAGGCCAGCGGATCACCTGAGGTCAGGAGTTCGAGACCAGCCTGGCCAACATGGTGAAATCCCATCTCTACTAAAAATACAAAAATAAGCCAGGCGTGGTGGTGTGCACCTGTACTCTCGGCTACTCAGAAGGCTGAGGCAGGAGAATCACTTGAAGCCAGGAAGCAGAGGTTGCAGTGAGCCGAGATCGCGCCATTGTACTCCAGCCTGGGAAACAAGAGTGAAACTCCATCTCAAAAAAAAAAAAAAGACATCTCACCCCCTTGTTTATTGCAGCACTATTCTCAATAGCCAGGATATAGAATCAACCAAGATATGGTATCAACTTTATCCGGTCATCCGGAAACAATAGATGAATGGATAAAAAGAATGTGATATATTTACACAATGGAATATTATTCAGCCATGTTGTCATTTGTGGAAACAGGGATCAAACTGGAGGACATTATTTTAAGTGAAATAAGCAGGGAACAGAAAGTTAAATAAACACTGCATGTTCACATTCTTTTTTTTTTCTTCTTTTTTTTTTTTTTCTTGAGACAGAGTCTCACTTTGTTGCCCAGACTGGAGTGCAGTGGTGCAATCTCGGCTCACTGCAACCTCCACCTCTCAGATTCAAGCGATTCTCGTGTCTCAGCCTCTCAAGTAGCTGGGACTACAGGTGCGTGCCACCATACCTGGCTAATTTTTTTTTCTTTTTTGTATTTTTATATAGACAGAGTTTCACCATGTTGGTCAGGCTGGTCTCAAACTTCTGACCTCAAATGACCCACCCACCTTGGCCTCCCAAAGTGCTGTGGTTATAGGTGTGAGCCGCTGCGCCCGGCCTGCATGTTCCATATTCATATGTGGAAGCTAAAAAAAAGTTGATCTCATAAAAGTAAAAAGTAAAACAGAGGATACTAGGAGCTAGGGAGGGTAGGGAGAATGGAGGGATAGGGAGACATTTGTCAAGGATACAAAATTTCAGCTACATAAGAGGAATAATTTCTCATGTTCTACACCTGTATAGGATGACTACAGTTAACAATAATATATTCTATAGTTTCAAATAGCTAGAAGGAGGGCCAGGCGCAGTGGTTCATGCCTGTAATCCCAAGCACTTTGGGAGGCCAAGGCAGGAGAATTGCTTGAACCAAGGAGGCGGAGGTTGCAATGAGCCGAGATGCACTATTGCACTCCAGCCTGGGTGACAAAGTGAGACTCTGTCTCAAAAAAAATAGAAAAAGAAAAAGAAATAGTGAAGGGGCCAGGCGCTGTAGCTCATGCCTGTAATCCCAGCACATTGGGAAGCTGAGGTGGGACGATTGCTTGAGATCAGGACTTTGAGACCAGCCTGGGCAATATAGTGAGACCTTGTCTCTATAACAAAATCAAGAAAATTAGCCAGGCATGGTGGCATGTACCTGTAGTCTCAGCTACTTGGAGAATGAGGTGAAAGAATCGCTTGAGCCTGGGAGGTCAAGGCTGCAGTGAGCTGATTTCATGCCACCGCACTCCAGCCTGGCTGACAGAGCGAAATTCTTTCTCTCCAAAAAACAAACAAACAAACAAAAAAAGGAGTGATGGGAGGGATGTGTGATTTTTGTTCTTTGAAATGTGTTGAGATAGGGGCTGGGTGTGGTGGCTCACATCTGTAACCCCACCACTTTGGGAGGCCAAGGTAGGTGGACCACCTGAGCCCAGGAGTACAAGACCCACCTGGGCAACATGGTGAAACAAAAAAATAACCAAAGAAATTAACCAGGTGTGGTGGCGTGTGCCTGTATTCTCAGTTACCCGGGAGGCTGAGGAGGGAGAATTGCTTTAGGCCAGGAGGCAGAGGCTGCAGTGAGCCAAAATCACACCACTGCACTCCAACCTGGGTGACAGAAAGAGACCCATCTAAGAAAGAAAGAAAGATAGAAAGGAAGGAAGGAAGGAAGGAAGGAAGGAAGGAAATATGTTGAGAAAGAAAGAAAAAGAAAGAAAGAAAGAAAGAAAGAAAGAAAGAAAGAAAGAAAGAAAAAGAAAGAAAGAAAAAGAAAGAAAGAAAAAGGAAAGGGAAGGAAGGAAGGAAAGAAGGAAGGAAATATGTTGAGATAGATCCTTCCTGATCATTCTTCTTTCCTCCTTCTCATCACTTGGGAATCTGAGGATGTGGCACCAGGATTCTCTGCTCCAGGAACACCAATTTCCCCACTTGAGTTACCCATCCTTTGTGTCTCTTCTCCAGGAGCTCGCACTCCAACCAATTAAGAAAAGATTTGGCTACAATGACACATTGGCTGGAAGACACACCCACAAACCCATGGACCACCGGACTGTGAGTAACAGTCCTTACTTATGCCTCCTTGCACCCCAGTGTTAAATATTGGTAGAATGAATAAATGAATGAATGAATGAAAGGCAAAGACAGCTATTTAGTCAAGTACCCAGATATTTCTTGAAAAGGATGTTATTGTGGCCAAGAGGCTGTGTGCCACCTTATTTATTTATGTATGTCACCCAGACTGGAATGCAGTGGTGCAATAATAGCTCACTGCAGCCTCTAACTCCTGGCCTCAAGTGATCCTTCCAGCTTGACCTCCCAAAGCTCTGGGATTACCAGGTGTGAGCTTTGCCTGGCCTAAGCATAACTTTTGATCTTCATAGGATCCAAAGTCATGAACTTGTAGCCACGTTGACAACTTGTCCGGCTTGAACAGATTGAATAATCAAGCAGACGTAGCCATAGTGTCACCTGTGAGAAACTGCAATATTTTATAGCTGCTTTGTTTGTTTTTTTGAGATGGAGTTTCACTATGTTGCCCAGGGTGGTCTTGAACTTCCTGGACTCAAGCAATCCTCTCGCCTCAGCCTCCTGAGTGGCTGGAACTATAGGGACTCACCACTGTGCTAGGCAAAATTGTAATGTCTTACAGACACATACACACACACAAAAAAAACTAATTATGATTTAAAAAGCTAGACAGAGATAATATCTTATAACTCAAGGTTTTTCAGCCATCAACACATAGATGTTGATTAATCATTCAACATTAATTATGGTTGTGTTTTTCAGGTCCTGTTTTAGAACTTTGAACAGGTCAATAATCTTGTATTGCTGTGGTCACAGTCCCTTGCTAATTACTGAAGGTAAATAAGATGTGATCACAAGAAACAGTCCACTCACTGTGTCTCACATATTCTCTATAGCCCTAAGAGAAATGACTTCCATTATATTTTAAGTTGGTTATATTGGCTAGTTTCTTTCTTTTTTCTTTTTTTTTTTGGAGATGGAGTCTTGCTCTGTCGCCCAGGCTGGAGTGCAGTAGCACGATCTTGGCTCACTGCAACCTCCTCCTCCCAGGTTCAAGCAATTCTCCAGCCTCAGCCTCCTGAGTAGCTGAGATTATAGGTGCCCACCACCACACCTGGCTAACTTTTGTATTTTTAGTAGAGACAGGGTTTCACCATGTTGTCCAGGCTGGTCTCGTTCTCCTGACCTCAAGTGATCCATCTGCCTTGGCCTCCCAAAGTGCTGGGGTTACAGGTGTGAGTCATCGCACCCAGCTATATTGGCTAGTTTCAAAACAGATCAGGGGCTATCCATTTGAAACCGTCCCACTAACATGATATGACAAGGTTTGTAAGTGATAAGCTTGGCAGCTTCGATTTCTGGCACAAGGTGTGTGGCCTCCCAGAGCTCTAGCCTGTCCTCTCTGACTCAGTTTTTCTTGCTCTGTAATGGGTTCTGTCCATTTGTCAGCCTGCAGATTTTCAGCTGGATTTTTTTTTCATGTCAGCCAAATAAATACAGAAATTGCTCCCCCCACCCTGATTATAATCATTTTGGCCACATTTTTCAAAGCTTACTCTTAGACCATCCCAAAACTCCAGGGTAACTCCATATTATTATTCAAATTTTTTCTCAAATTAAATGTCTGTTAGGCTGGTTACACAATCACAATAAGGGAAAAGCTTGGCCCTTTCATTTTGCATTTTACCTCAGAGAAGGTCCTTGTGGCTTGACTTTGCACATTACTGGAAACAGAATTTGCCTTTCTGCTCCTTTGTGAGGTAGTCAAAGCACGATGTGCATGTGGTTCCAAACACATTTAATTCTGTAGCTATTCTTTTGTTGAAGGCGCTCACCACAAAACATCCTGGAGGGGGATTACGGGGCAGGTGCAACAGACAAGGGTGTTTCCCGGATGGGGAAGGCAGAGCGCCAAGTAAAGGAGTAAGTGCTGAAGAAGGGATTTTACTTGAAATTGGAAGTCATAGGAGCTATTTGGTTTTGGGGGTGCATGTTTAAGTGATACATTTATAGATTAAAAACGAAATTCAGGCCATGTGCTGTGGCTCACACCTGTAATCCAGTACCTGCAGAGCCCCTCCTGCCTTGGCCTCCCCCAGAAAAACAAAGAATTTCAGAGTCAATAGCACGTTATGTTTTGACTACATCACAAAGAAGCAGAAAAGGGCCAGGCACCGTGTCTCACGCCTGTAGTCCCAGCACTTTAGGAGGCTGAGGCAGGCCGATCTTTTGCGTTCAGGAGCTCAAGACCAGCCTGGCCAACGTGGTGAAACCTCGTCTCTACTGAAAATACAAAAAAATTAATCGGGCATGGTGGCATGCACCTGTAGTCCCAGATACTTAGGATGCTGAGACAGGAGGATAGTTCGAACCCAAGAGACAGAGGTTGCAGTGGGTTGAGGTTGTGCCACTGTACTCCAGCCTGGGTGACAGAGTGAGTCTCCATCTCAAAAAAAACCCCCAAAACAAACAAATGACAACAACAAAAGCAGCAGAAAGGTAAATTCTTATTTTCCTCTTTTAAAAAAATTTCCTTTGTTTTAGGAATTCTTTTTCCAGACATGTGTCAAGCCAAGCCATGAGGGCCTTTTCCAAGGTAAAATGCAAAACAAGCGGGCCAAGCTTTTCCCTTATTTTTCCCTCCTTGCCTAGGAGTTTGAGACCAGCCTGGGCAACAGAGCAAGACCTCGTCCCTACAAAAAAATGAAAAAAAAGAAAACAAAAACAAAAACAAGTGGCTGGGTGCAGTGGCTCATGCCTGTAATCCCAGCACTTTGGGAAGCCGAGGTGGGCAGATCACGAGGTCAGGAGATCGAGACCATCCTGGCTAACACGGTGAAACCCCATCTCTACTAAAAATACAAAAACAATTAGCCAGGCATGGTGGCAGGCGCCTGTAGTCCCAGCTACTTGGGAGGCTGAGGCAGGAGAATGGCGTGAACCCAGGAGGTGGAGCTTGCAGTGAGCCGAGATGGTGCCACTGCACTCCAGCCTGGGCGAAAGAGCGAGACTCCGTCTCAAAAAAACAACAAAAAAAAGTAGCTGGATGTGGTGGTGCTTGCCTGTAGTCCCAGCTACTCAAGAGGCTGAGGTGGGAGGATTGCCTGGGTCCAGGAATTGGAGGCTGCTGTGAGCCATGATCACACCATTGCAGATCCAGCCTGGGTGACAGAGCGAGACCCTGTCTCAAATAAATAAATAAATAAATAACAGTTCAGAAGAGTATAAAGTGAAAGTCTCAATTTTTCATGGATTTCTTATGCTCTAGTTTTCCTCCCCTGGTCTTCTGTTACTTCCATGTATACCCTTCTAGAGATAGACGATGTGTATGCACATAGACAGGGCACTCTTATGACTGGTAACATATTATAACATTGGCCCACTTTGTTTGCTATTTTGCTTTTCTGTAACAATATACTCATTCAACAAATATTTATTAAGTACCTAATGTATGCTTGAATCCTGTCCTATGTACTCAGGATAGAGCAATGAACAAACCAATCAATATTAGTTTTCTATTGCTGTGTAACAAATTGTTGCAAATGCAGCAGTTTAAAGAAACACATTTAGTCTCTCTCAGTTTTTGTGGGTCTAGAGTCCATGCACTGTTTCCTTGAGTTATCTGTTTCAGGTTCTTGCCAGGCTGCAATCAAGCTATCAACAGTGCTGTGTTCTCATCTGGAGACTCAACTGGAGAAGAATTTGCTTCTAAGCCCACTCCAGTGGTTAGTGGACTTCATTTTCTTGTAGGAATAGGATGGAGAGCTTTGGATTTTTACCAGCTGTTGGCCAGAGGTCCTCAGTTCCTGGAGGCTGCCCCTGTGCAGTTGACAAGCAGCAGCTTGCTTCAGGCCAGGCCAGCAGAAGAAAGCATATCTGCTAGCAAGACGGAAGTCTTATTGGCTGGGCGCAGTGGCTCATGCCTGTAATCCCAGCACTTTGGGGGGCTGAGGCGGGTGAATCACCCGAGGTCAGGAGTTCAAGACCAGCCTAGCCAACCTGCCGAAACCCCATCTCTACTAAAAATGGAAAAATTAGCCAGGCGTGGTGGTGGGTGCCTATAATCCCAGCTACTCAAGAGGCTGAGGCAGGAGAATCGCTTAAGCCCTGGAGGCAGAGGTTGCAGTAAGTTCACACTACAGCCTGGGTGACACAGCAAGACACACACACAAAAAAGCAATTATTTTTGTGTAGCTCTGTGTAACCTCGAATTTTTGGGCTCAAGCAATCCTCCTGCCTCAGCCTCCTGAGTAGCTGGGACTAAAGGCATGCACCACCATGCCCAGCTAATTTTTTTTTTTTTTTTAGACAGAGTTTTGCTCTTGTTGCCCAGGCTGAAGTGCAGTGGTGCGATCTCAGCTCACTGCAACCTCCGTCTTCTGGTTTCAAGTGATTCTCCTGCCTCAGCCTCCTGAGTAGCTGGGATTACAGGTATCCACCACCATGCCTGGCTAATTTTTGTATTGTTAGTAGAGACGGGGTTTCACCATGTTGGCCAGGCTGGTCTCGAACTCCTGACCTCATGATCTGCCCACCTCGGCCTCCCAAAGTGCTGGGATTACAGGCGTGAGCCACCGCACCTGGCCTGCCCAGCTAATCTTTAATAAACTTTTTATAGAAACAGGGTCTCACTGTGTTGCCCAGGCTGGTCTTGTACTCCTGGCCTCAAGTGATCCTCCCACCTCAGTATCCCAAAGGGTTGGGATTGCAGGAAGGAGCCGCTGTGCCTGGTCAAGACTGAGTCTTATAAAGCAACATAATCATGGGAATCATATCCTATCACTTTGTCACATGCTATTGGTTAGATGCAAATCACAGGTCCCACCCACACTGAAGGAGAGGGAATTACATAAAGACTTGAGCAGCAGGAAGTGGGGATCATGGGAGAGGAGACTATCTTAAAGTCAGTCTGCCTTGCAAACCAAGCTCCTGTTCCCATGGAGCTTACGTTCTAGTAGGGGAAACAGACAACCAATGAATAGGCAAATAAGTGCATGCTGGGTGCTAAAAATAAGTGCTAAAGCCAAACAGTAAATTTGGGTAAATGGAGCAGATGTAAAGGAGTGTTACTGTAGAAGACAGCAGTCAGGGAAGGCCTCTGGGGCAGCAACATTTGAGCAGAGACCTGAAGGAAATGAGGAAGGCACAGAGATTACTGGGAAAAGAGGCACCAGCCTCCAATGAGCATGTGCACAGGCCCTGCCAAGTGAGCATGCTGGAGGGTTCTGTAACAATGCAGAGACCCATGTGGCTGCAGCACAGTGATCCAGTAGCAGGATGCAAGGCTAGAGAGGAGATGGGGTTGGACCAGATAGGGCCTTGCAGCCGTGTTAAGGATCTGAGTGTGATACAAAGACATTAGGAAACATGGGGCAGAGGAGAAACACTGGCTTTCCATTGCAAAGGATCACTTTGATCCTGGGATAAGAACAGATGGATGAGAGGCATGGCTGGAAGGAGAGAAACCAGTCTTAATCATTTCAGCGAGAAACACTAGTAGTTTGGACCCAAGTGGTGCATTTCCTGGAAAGTAGGCAGCTGTCATCTAAAGGAAGAGCCTGCAGCATCAATGGTAGGTTGGATGTGTGGTGAGAGTGAAGAAAACGTTAAGGGTGATGCCAAGGATTTTGGCCTGAGTCACTTGAAGGATGGGGTCATCATTTATTGAAATGCAGAAGACAGTGAGAGAAATGGGTTCGAACAGAAAAAAAATCTGGAGTTTGATTTGTTTCTTTTTGTATTTTTTCTGGGAGACAAATTGTTACTTACACTTGTTAGCGGATTCTGACTTCCATGCCTACCATCCTGCTTAGAGTTTGATTTTATTATGTGCTGTAAGCAAAGTGACGTTGTCATTCTTTTTTTTTTTTTTTTTTTTTTTTGGAGACAGGGTCTTGCTCTGCTCTGTCATCCACACTGCAGTGCAGTGGTGTGAACACAGCTCACTGAAGCCTCGATTTCCTGGGCTCAAGAGATTCCCCAGCCTTGGCCTCGCAAAATGTTGGGATTACAGGCGGAGGAGGTTCCAAGCGTTGATGTGGATGATTCCAGACCAACAGTTGGAAAGATATGCAGTAGCCTAGACAAGAACTAGGCAAGTAGGGTTGGGGTAGAGGCTTCCAGCATGTCCTGGAGATATAATACGGAAGGTCTGGGGTTTTTTGAATGTAGGAGGATCAGGAAGGTCATACTTGTCTCCTAGGCACAAAGCAGAAGGTGACTGTCAAAACAAAACAGGAACAATAGTAAAACTGGGTTCTAGAAAAGAGCCTTGGAAACTTCTTTTGTGACCAAGTAACTCTTTTTCGAGAAGGCCTGGACTGTGTTTCAAGCTATGTAGGCGCTGCTAAGAGAACATTCTGGAGTACAGTGTTGACATTTAGTAAGGGCCTTTGTCTTTTTATTTCTTTTCTTTTTTTCATGCTATTCTGACAGAAGAGCCTTTGTCCGCCGGATGCGGTGGTTCACACCTGTAATCTCAGCACTTTGGGAGGCCGCGGTGGGCAGATCACGAGGTCAGGAGATCAAGACCATGCTGGCTAACATGGTAAAACCCCATCTCTACTAAAAATACAAAAATTGGCTGGGCGTGGTGGCGTGTGCCTGTAATCCCAGCTACTTGGGAGGCTGAGGCAAGAGAATCACTTGAACTAGGGAGCCGGAGGTTGCAGTGAGCTAAGATTGTGCCACTGCAATCCAGCCTGGCAACAGAGCGAGACTCTGTCTCAAAAAAAAAAAAAAAAAAAAAAGAGCCTTAGTCTTTCAAAACAGAAATTTGCATGGTTGGATTGTTTAATGACAGAAGAGGTAGCAAATGTCAGTGAGCACCTTCTCCTTTATCCATAGACTACATTGCAGGGGTGAGTTAAAAAGAAAGGGTAACATGGGGCCAGGCACGGTGGCTCACACTTGTAATCCCAGCACTTTGGGAGGCTGAGGTCAGAGTTCAAGACCAGCCTGGCCAACATGGTGAAACTCCATCTCTACTAAAAATACAAAAAATTAGCTGGGCGTGGTTGAGGGCACCTGTAATCCCAGCTATATGGGAGGCTGAGGCAGAAGAATGATGTGAACCCAGGAGGCAGAGGTTGCAGTGAGCCGAGATCATTCCACTGCACTCCAGCCTGAGTGACGGAGCGAGACTCCATCTCAAAAAAAAAAAAAAAAAAAAAAAAAAAAAACGTAAAATGCACAGCACTGCTAGGGTGTTGCATCTTGTTTGAGTTTCTGGGCTTTCTCTCCACTAGAGTGGCCGCCCAGAGACCAACACTTGCTTTGCGTACCTCTGGCCAAGGGCGCTACTTCCTCTAGTAACAAGAAAGATGATGGGAGGATGGGAGGAGCTGCCTCCATGGCCTTGTGAAAACCTGAATCTGAAAAATGTCTGAATTTGTTAAAGACCAGTCCAAAAATTTGAGAAAATGAACTCATTCTGGGAGTGGGTTTTTTCCACTCTCATTAGGCTGAGCTACCAATTCTTTTTGGGGGCCTTAGTGCCTGCCATGGTCAAGTTCTATAGAAACACCACTCAACACAGAGTTACCCAGAAAAGGCAAAGCTATCAAGATAGAAAGTAGATTAGTGGCTGCCTAGGGCTCAAGTGGGTAAAGGAGTGACTGCAAATGAACCTTAAAGATCTTTCTGGGGACGGAGGTATTTTAAAGTTGGAATGTGGTGATGATTGCACAGCTCTGTACATTCACTAAAAATTATTGAATTGTACACTTAAGATGGGTGAATGTCACAGTATGTAAATTAAAATAAATCTCTTTTAAAAAATATTTAATCAGCCAGGCGCAGTGACTCATGCCTGTAACCCCAGCACTTGGGGAGGCCAAGGCGGGCTGATCACTTGAGCTCAGGAGTTTGAGACCAGCCTGACTAACATAGTGAAACCCTGTCTGCACCAAAAATACAAAAATTAGCAGGGCGTGGTGGTGTGCCCCTATAGTCCCAGCTACTAGGGAGGCTGAGGTGGGAGGATCACTTGAGCCTGGGAGGCAGAGGTTGCAGTGAGCCAAAATCACACCATTGCACTCCAGCCTAGATGAGGAGAGTGAAACCCTGTCTCAAAAAAAAAAATTAATTGACAAATAATCACTACATATCTGTGTGGGATGCAATGTGATGTTTTGATATATGTACACATTATGGAATAATTAAATCAAGCATATCCATCACCTCACATAATTTTTTTTTGTGGTGTGAACATTTAAGATCAGCTCTCTTGGTCAGATGCAGTGGCTTACGCCTGTAATCCCAACACTTTGAGAGGCCAAGGCAAGAGGATCACTTGAGCCAGGAGTTTGAGACCAGCCTGGGCAACATAGTGAGACCCTATCTCTACAAAAAATACAAAAATTAGCCAGGCGTGGTGCCATGCACCTGTTGTCCCAGCTACTTGGGAGGCTGAGGTAGGAGGATCACTTGAGCCCAGAATATTGAGGCTGCAATGACCTGAGACCATCCCAGTGCACACCAGCCTGGGTGAAAGAGCAAGACACTCTCAATAAAATAAAATTTAAAAATAAAATAAAATCAGTTCTCTTATAGGTCTTGAAAACTTATTCTTCTGTATAGTTGAAACTTCATACCCTTTGACCAACATCTCCCCATTGCCACCCCCCACCAATAGAGCTCTTAAAACACTCACTGTATTAGTCAGGGTTCTCCAGAAAAATAGACCAATATGATTGATCAATCTATCTGTCTATCCACCTCTATCTCTATCACTGTATTATCATCTATGATGTATTTTAAGGAATTAACTCATGCGATTATGGAGGCTGAGAAATCCCACACTCTGCTTCTGCAAACTGGAGACCCTGGAAGGCTGGCGGTGTAACTCTGAGAACTGGGAATCTGATGGTGCAAGTCCCAGGAGAGGGCAGAAGACTGATGTCTCCACTCAACCAATCAGGCAGACAGAGCAAACTCTCCCTCCTCTGCTTCTGTTGTTCTATTCAGGCCCTCAATGGATTGGATGACAGGACTGGATGAGGACCCCCACACTGGGGAGGGCCATCTGCTTTACTCAGCCACTGATTCAAATGCCGGTCTCATTCAGAATCACTCTCACAGACACAACCAGAAATAATGTTTTACGTAGGCACTCCATGCCCCAATCAAGTCAACACATAAAAATAACCATCACGAGTCTACCCCTTGTCAACTTGACACTCATCCTCATCTCCTGAAACCATACTTAATCTCCAAATAATGACAATAACAAGATAATAATTCTGCCTAATATGATACATCTATCCTGTGTGCCACCGAAAATGCACAAACTCTTTCCCAGAAAAGGATAGGAATGAGTGATGTTTAGTCTTCTCTTTGATATTCTTCTGAAACTTAAAGACTGTGATGTTGCGGAGACAAAAGTGAGTCCATCTTGAATGCTGATCTGCCATACTGACTTCTTACTAACCCCAGTCTCATGAATGCCTCTGATTCCTACTTTATTTACTGTCCTTGGTGTAAGAACATGTACACACTATAAATCCTGCCTTTAGGTCAAGGCAACCTTGATATTACCACACAAATCACAGGCTATGACGCACACAGCATTCTTGCCTGTTCTGGAGGGCTGCTGTGTTAGGCCGTCCCTGCATTACTATAAAAAATACCTGAGGCTAGGTAATTCGTAAAGAAAAGAGGTTTGGGCTGGGCGCGGTGGCTCACGCCTGTAATCCCAGCACTTTGGGAGGCCAAGGCGGGTGGATCCCCTGAGGTGAGGAGTTTGAGACCAGCCTGGCCAACATGGTGAAACCCCGTCTCTACTAAAAATACAAAAAAAAAAAAAAAAAATTAACCAGATGTGGTGGCAGGTGCTTGTAATCCCAGCTACTTGGGAGGCCGAGGCAGGAGAATCTCTTGAACCTGGGAGGCGGAGCTTGCAGTGAGCTGAGATTGCAATTCTCCCACCTGCAGGCTGCAGGCTGTACAAGCATGGCTCTAGAATCTGCTTCTGGCGAGGGCCTCAGGAAGCTTACAATTACCGTGGGAGCTGAAGGGGGAGCAGGCATGTTACATAAATAAAGTGGGAGCAGGAGAGACGGGGAAGGGGTGGGTGCCATACACTTTCAAACAACAAGATCTCACATGCAGTCAGGTGAGAGCTCACTTATCACCAAGGGGATGGTGCTGAACCATTCATGAGGGGATCTGCCCCCATGATCCAATCACCTCCCACCAGGCCCCACCTCCAACACTGGGAATCATTGCAACATGAGATTTAAAGGGGACAAAAATCCAAACTATATCAGTTGCCTTGAATTGTCTCTATAGAGCATAGAGCCCCTTTCCCTTTGGTAGGTGAGCCTTGTGTCTGGGGAGGAATCGTGCTGAGATCTACCTGTCTTGCTGATGCTCAAGACTAAACTACTGTGTATAAGTTCCCTCATAAATCACCCTTCATTGACAAACTGGTTCATCTGCCTCATTCCTTGGTTTCTCTGTTCCTTTGGCATTTGAGGGCTGCTTTGCATATATGACACTTTCATAGAGCAGATGTAAAATTTTTGTTGTTATTGTTGGTTTTTTGTTTGTTTTCTATAGAGACAAGGTCTGGCTCTGTTGCCCAGGCTGGAGTGCAGTGGTGCAATGACAGCTCACAGCAGCCTCATCCTCCCAGGCTCAAGCGATTCTTCCACCTCAGCCTTCTGAGTAGTCGGGACAGCAAGTGCATGCCACTACACCTGGATACTGTTTTTTGTTTTTTTTCTGTTTTGTTTTTAGTAGAGATGAGGTTTTGCCATATTGCTCGGGCTGGTTTCGAACTCCTGGGCTCCAGCAATTTGCCTGCCTTGGCCTCCCAAAGTTCTAGGATTACAGGTGTGAGCCACCATGCTCAGCTGTTGTTGTTTTCTGAGATAAGGTCTCACTCTGCTGCCCATGCTGGAGTGCAGTGGCATGATCATAGCTCACTGCAACCTCTACCTCCTGGGCTCAAGAGATCCTCCCTCTACAGCCTCCCAAGTAGCTAGGACTACAGGCAAGTGTTACCACGCCTGGCTATTTTTTTTTTTAATTTTTGTAGAGACAGGGTCTCCCTATGTTGCCCAGGCTGGTCTTGATCTTCTGGGCTCAAGTGGTCCTCCCACCTCAGCCTCTCAAAGTGCTGGGATTACAGACATGAACAACCACACGCAGCCAGATATAAAATTAACAATACTTAAATCCTATGATACAAAGTCAATACATCTTATGTTACATGATAAAATGAGAGGAAAGAAAACAAAGATATTTGCTACACAAACGTGTTCATAATAAAATAAGGAGGAGGCCGGGAGTGGTGGCTCACACCTGTAATCCCAGCACTTTGGGAGGCTGAGGTGGGCAGATCACGAGGTCAGGAGATTGAGACCATCCTGGGTACGGGTGAAAACCCGTCTCTACTAAAAATATTAAAAAAAATATTAGCCGGGCGTGGTGATGGGCACCTGTAGTCCCAGCTACTCAGGAGGCTGAGGCAGGAGAATGGCATTAACCCAGGAAGTGGAGCTTGCAGTGAGCCGAGATCACGCCACTGCACTCCAGCCTGGGTGACAGAGGGAGACTCCATCTCAAAAAATAAATAAATAAATAAATAAATAAATAAATAATAAAAAAAATAAATAAATAAAATAAGGAGGAAATATAACAATTACAGTCCTCATTTCTGTAACCAGTCATGTGGTCATGGCTGTGTATTTATTTATAACTATCTTCCTCCACTACCCCATTCTGTATTCCTTTTGCCTTCAGCAAACACCTCAGGTGGTCATGGTTCTTTATTTGGTGTTGTGATCCAAACCTTCATTCCTGAAGGACCTGGGCCATATATAGTCCTGTCTGGATTGGATTGTTGTATATTTTTCCGTTCCACTTAATCAGAGGGCGTGGTCATACTGAGAGATGCTCTGCAGGATCTCATGAATTGCAGACATACTCTTTCTTACCTCCATTGTGGAGTAGTAGTCCAAGTTTCCCTTGGTAGTCAGAATCAATTTATCTAGCCACTAGAGGATTCCCTTCTTTTTTTGTTGATTCAGGGTATTAAGGAGCCCAAAGTGGCTGGGCAGTAGCCTTAACTTCCAGCTCAATGCAATTATTGTTGTGTCTCCAGATGGAAGCATTCCTTCTTCTGGAACTAAGAGCTCTAGACCAGCAGAGCATAAAGTTGTGAGAACAGGAACCAAAAATTTTGCTACTGGGTCACTAGAAGTAATAGTGGTTCAGCTGGGCACAGTGGCTCATGCCTGTAATCCCAGTGCTTTGGGAGGCTAAGGCAGGAGGATTGCTTGAGGCCAGGAGTTTGAGACCAGCCCAAACAGCATAGGGAGACACTGTTTCTAATATATATATATATATATACATTTTTTTTCTTTGTTTGTTAAACAAGCTGGGCATGGTGGCAAGCACTTGTAGTCCTAGCTACTTGAGAGGCTGAGGTGGGAGGATTGCTTGAGCCCATGAGTTTGAGGCTATAGGGAGCTATGGCCATGCCACTGCTCTCCAGCCTGAGCAACAGAGCAAGACTCTGTCTAAAAAAAAAAAAAAAAAAAAAATTGGTGAAGGGTGCCACTCCCATTTCCACCCTTGATTCCTGACTGTGATTTCCTGCTGTAAGAGAAACAGCACCATGGCCAGGCGCGGTGGCTCACACCTGTAATCCCAGGACTTTGGTAGTCCGAGCCGGGTGGATCACCTGAGGTCAGGAGTTCAAGATCAGCCTGACCAACATGGCAAAACCTCATCTCTACTAAAAAATACAAAAATTAGCCGGTGTGGTGGCAGGTGCCTGTAATTCCAGCTACTCAGGAGACTGAGTCATGAGAATCGCTTGAACCCGGGAGGCAGATGTTGCAGTGAGCCGAGATCACACCATTGCACTCCAGCCTGGGCGACAAGAGGGAAACTCTGTCTCCAAAAAAAAAAAAAAAAAAAGAAAGAAAGAAAAAAGAAAAACAAAACAAACAGCACTGTTTTTGGACGCTGATTCAGAGCATATACAGCCTTCTGGTGAACCTTGCCCTAGCCCTCCTAGCTGGTACTGTAACTAAGTCTTCAAAAGACCCTTTCACTGTTTCATCAAACCAGCTACTTCAGAATGGTGGGAAAAGACCAGTGAATTCCATGAGCTTGAACCCATTGCTGCATTCCTTTTGCTGTGTGTTCGTTGATGAGAAGCAATGTTGTGTGGAATACCAATACCATTACAATGGATAAGACATTCTATAAGCCCACAAACGGTAGTTTTGGTAGAAGCATTGTGTGCAGGGAAGGCAAATTAATATGCTGAGTAAGAGTTTATTACAAGCCCACACAGTGGTGTGCACCTGTAGTTCTAGCTACTTGGGAGGCTGAGGCAAAGTGGGAAGATTTCTTGAGAACAGGAGTTCAAAGCTGTAGTGTGCTATAATCATGCCTGCAAATAGCCACTGCACTCCAGCCTGGGCAACACAGCAAGATCCCATCTCTAAAAATAAAAAATAATAATTAAAAAAAATTTTTAAAGAATCTATTACAGTAAGAACAAAACACTGTCCCTTCCATGATAGAAGCAGTCCAGTGTAATCAACCTGCCACTGGGGAGCTGGCTGATTTACCCCCCGGGGAATATCAGGGACTCAGTCTTGGTCTCTGCTGCTGATGGATTGGGCACTCACCAGTGGCCATAGCCAGGTCAGCTTTGATAAGTGGTAGTCCATATTCCCAAGCCCATGATTAACCTCCATCCCTGACCATGGCCACTCTGCTCATGAGCCCACTGGCTGATGAGGGGGTGGCTGGAGAAAGAGGCTGATGGCTATCCACAGAATAGGTCATCCTATCCACTTGATTTTTAAAGTCCTGCTCTACTGAGGTCACCCTTTAGTGAGCATTCACATGGGAGACAAATATCTTATGATTTTTGCTCATTCTGCGAGGTCTATTCACATACCTCTTCTCCAAATTTCCTTGTTACCAGTTTTCCAATCATATTCCTTCCAAGTTCCTGAACATCCAGCCAAACCATGGTCCACAGCCCATGGGATTGGTATATAATTGCGTGTCTGACCATTTCTTCTTCCAAGCAAAGCATGCTGCCTGAAGTTTTGCCACTGGGAAGATTTCCCTTCACTGCTGTCCTTAAGGGATGTCTCAGAGAGAAGCTGTAGTGCTGTCCACTTTCAGATGGCACACACGTATTGTGCAGAACCACCTGGAAACCAGGCCTGTCCTATCTTCCTCTGTCAGCTGATTATAGGGACCTCCCTAAGAGGCCATAGGTACAGAACGGGAGACAGAAGGCAGTGTAGCGGGGCGGGGGACCGTTGGTATTTGTGCCAGTCCTTCATTAACTTACTTGTGCCTTCAGGGCCTGCTTGAACTCAATCATGTATATACCACTTCCATTTGATGGTGGAGTGCTCCTGTGCACATCCAAATTTATGGCATTGGAGATCAGATAGCCCCCAGTTTGTGATGGGTAGCTCAAGTCGCATTGTAACTTGGTGGCCATGGTTGAGCATTCAGTCTTTTTTTTTCCCGAGATGGAGTCTTGCTCTGTCACCTAGGCTGGAGTGTAATGGCGCAATCCTGGCTCACTGCAACCTCTGCCTCCAGGGTTCAAGTGATTCTCCTGCCTCAGTCTCCCAAGTAGCTGGGATTACAGGCACATGCCACCATGCCCGGCTAATTTTTGTATTTTTAGTACAGGTGGGCTTTCACCATGTTGGCCAGGCTGACCTCGTGATTCACCCACCTCAGCCTCCCAAAGTGCTGAGATTACAGGTGTGAGCCACCACGTCTGGTCAAGCATTCAGTCTTTACCAAGGCTCAGGAGCAGGCCAAGAGCTGTCTCAAAAGGAAAGTAAGCTGAAGGATGGCAGGGCTCTGCTGCAAAATTCTAAGGATCTGAGCTATAATCCACCTACAGGAACCTGCTAAAGACTCCAAACAGCACCCCTGTCTGCCACTGACCCTTCAGGCACCATTGGCTCTGCTGGATCATATGGCCCAAGGGGCGGAGCAGCTTGCACAGCAGCCTGGACCCATTGCAGAGCCTTGTCCGTTTCTGAGTCCCACTCAACACTTGCAGCTTTTTGGGTCACCCAGTAAATAGATTCGAATATCACACCTAAATGAAGAATATGTTGCCTCCAAAATCCAAAGATACCCACGGGGCATTGTGCCTGTATTCTGCCTGTAGGAGGGGCAGATGCAACAACTTCTCCCTCACCTTAGAAGGGACATCTCAACATGCCCCACACCACTGGATCTCTAGAAGTTTCACGGAGGTAGAAGGCCCTTGAATTTTTGTTGGATTTATTTTTCACCCTCTGACATGCAAGCGTCTTGCCAGTGAGTGTAGAATAGTTGATACTCCTTGCTTCCTGGGTCCAATCAGCACGGTGGCTTCAGTGTAATGGACCAGTGTGATGTCTTGTGGAAGGGAAAGGCAATTCTTTGGGAATTTAATTTTGTTTTATTTTTAATAATTTTTGTCATACATAGTAGGTGTATATATTTATGGGGTACATGAAATGTTTTGATACAGGCATGTAATGCATAATGATTACATGGGGAATGGGGTTCCATCCCCTTGAGCATTTATCCTTTGTGTAACAATCCAATTATAGTTTCAGTTATTTTAAAATGTACAATTATTGTTGACTATAGTTACCCTGTTGTGCTATCAAATAGCAGGTCTTATTCATTCTTTCTAACTACTGTTTTTGTACCCATTAATCATCCCTACCTCCCACCTCCCCCACTACCCTACCCTTCCAAGCTTCTGATAATCACCCTTCTACTCTCTATGTCCATGAGTTCAGTTGTTTTGATTTTTAGATCTCACAAATGAGTGAGAACATGCAATGTTTGTCTTTCTGTGTAAATTTTGACATAGGGCTAGAGAGTTCACATATACCCCCCAGGCAGGACCTGAAGGTATATTGCTGGCCTGCCTGCTGAAAGAAAACTGCTCTTATGGGCCTCATGGACAGGAATTTGAGGGAAAGGCGTTTGCCAGTTCAATAGCTGCAAACCAGGAACCAGGGGATGTGTTAATTTGCTTAAGCAATGAAACCACATCTGATACAGCAGCTGCAATTGGAGTCACCACCTGGTTAAGCTTGTGATAATCCACCATCATCCTCCAAGATCCATCTGTCTTCTGCACAGGCCAAATGGGCAAACTGAATGGGAATGTGGTGGGAATCATCACCCCTGCATCCTTCATGTCCTTGATGGTGGCACTAATCTCTGCAGTCCCTCTAGGAATGTGTTATGCTTTGGGTTTACTATTTTCCTAGTTCAGGCCAGCTTTAGTAGCTTCCACTTGGCCTTTCCTCCCATAATAGCCCTCACTCTGCAGGTCAGGGAAACAATATGGGGATTCTGCCAGCTTCTTTGTATGCCTATTTCAATTACACATTCTGGAACTGGAGAAATAACTGCAGAATGGGTTGGGACCCACTGGGTCCACTGTGAGGCAGACTTGAGCTAAAACTCCATTAATTACCTGACCTCCATAAGCCCCTACTCCCACTGGTAGGCCACAGTGGCATTTTGGGTACCCCAGAATTGGTAACAGCTCAGAGCTGGTGTCTAGTAGTCCCCAAAAGTTCTGATTATTTCCTTCTTCCCAATGCACAACTACTGTGGTTACAGGTCCCTGGCTATAGGTCCCTTTGGGGAAGACTGGGAAAAAGATTAATAGCATACATTTTTATTAGCCAGGCACAGGGGTTTGAGCCTGTAGTCCCAGCTAGTCGGCAGGCTAAGGTGGGAGAATCATTTGAGCCCAGGAGTTTGAGACTGCAGTGAGCCATTTAATCCCAGCAGTTTGGGAGGCTGAGGTGGGCAGATCATGAGGTCAAGAGTTTGAGACCAGCCTGGCCAACATGGTGAAACTCCGTCTCCACCAAGAATACAAAAATTAGCCAGGCGTGGTGGTGGGCACCTGTAATCCCAGCTACTGCACTCCAGCCTGGGCAACAGAGTGAGACTCTGTCTCAAAAGCAAAAACAAAAACAAAACAAAACACACACACACAAAGATAGATTTTTAGGAGTACTGGGGTTATTCTTCAACAGGTCCAGGTATCCCCTTCATTCAAGTGGTCCTGGGTCAGTAAAGTGGCTGATGTCCAGCAATTCACTGAGGGGTTATGAATCAATTTTTATGATACATGTTAAACTTTTGTTCATCTGACCTAGAAATTTTCTGCATATACAGATCAAGTAAGAAAATATTTCACTTCTAGGAACACCCTGATAAACTTGCCAATGCCAAAGGTCTTCATGAGTCAGACTATTCTGATTGCTGCCTTGATTCTGCTGTTCATCATGGCAACCACACCCCCCTTGCCTCTGTTGGTTGAGTCCCAAAACTTGGAACCTGCCACTCTGGGCAGGGGTGGGATCCAATGACTCCCATTGCATTTAGGCTTCCCGATTCTGTGAGTGCAGTTTCCATCGAAAGGCCAGGCCTACAGAGTAGGGTGATCACAGAGCTCTCCAAGGATGTGCTCCCCTCATGATGTTATGTTTCACGGTACTAGTGAAAGGTGTGTCTTTTGAACCTTCCCAGTGTGGGTGAATAGGCCTTAAATGACAAATTCACTCTAGCATGCCAATCTCCCTAAGCTTCTGAATTCCTTTCCCTACATAAAACCAAGGCAGGTACGGCATTTCCAATTTGCTCACCATGGACCAGGTTTTGGTCCATGTTTTCCATGTTTGAGCCAACCAACTGAAGTGTTAGAGCTTTTTCTTTTCTTTCCTTTTTTTTTCCCCCAAGACAGAGTCTTGCTCTGTCACCCAGACTGGAGTGCAGTGGCTCGATCTCAGCTCACTGCAACCTCTGCCTCCTGAGTTCAAGCAGTTCTCCTGCCTCAGCCTCCCGAGTAGCTGGGATTACAGGTGCCCGCCACCACATCTGGCTAATTTTTGTATTCTTGGTAGAGACAGGGTTTCACCATGTTGGCCAGACTGGTCTCGAACTCTTGACCTCATGATCTGCCCTCCTCAGCCTCCCAAACTGCTGGGATTACAGGCGTGAGCCACCTTGCCTGGCCTTTTTGTTTGTTTGTTTGTTTTTTGACAGGGTCTCACTCTATCAGCCAGGCCAGAGTATGGCTCACTGCAGCCTCGACCTCCCAGGCTCAAATGGTCCTCCTACCTCAGCCTCCTGAGTAGCTTGGACTACAGGAACACACCATCATGCCTGGCTGGCTTTTTTTTTGAGATGGAGTCTCACTCTGTCACCCAGGCTGGAGTGCAATGGCACGATCTTGGCTCACTGCAACCTCTACCTCCCGGGTTCAAGTGATTCTCCCACTTCAGTCTCCTGAGTAGCTGGGACTACAGGTGCATATCAGCATGCCCAGCTAATTTTCATATTTTTAGTACAGATGGGGTTTCACTATATTGGCCAGAGTGGTCTCAAACTCGTGACCTCAAGTGATCTGCCCACCTCAGCCTCCCAAAGTGCTGGGGTTACAGGCATGAGCAACTGTGCCCAGCAAGTAATTTATAAATTACACTTTACCATAGGTATGTGTATATAGAAAAAAGCATAGTATATGTAGGGTTCGGTACTAACCACAGTTTCAGTCTTCCACTGGGGGTCTTGGAACATATTCCCTTAGGCTAAGAGGGGACTACTCTACTTGAGTTTTCTAATTTATATGGACAGAAATGGGAGAGCATGTGTGAGAATGGATACTAAGGGTATGCGATGATGGTGGAAAGAACATAAGGTTGGGTCAGGCTAAATTAATTGATTTGGGCCCACTAAGCAGAGATTCTGCCTTTAATTCTTCAGTTTAGGGAGTTAGAAAGGCTCTACGACAGGTGTGGTGGCTCAAGCCTGTAATCCCAGGATGCTGGGAGGCTGAGAAGACAGGATCCCTTGAGCCCAGGACTTTGAGACCAGCCTGGGCAACATAGCAAGACCTTGACTGCACTAAAAAAAAAAAAAAATTAGGCCAGGCATGGTGGCTTGAGCCTGTAATCCCAGCACTTTGGGAGGCCAAGGCAGGCAGATCACCTGAGGTCGGGAGTTTGAGACCAGCTGGTGCAACATGGCAAAACTCTGTCTCTCCTAAAAAAAAAAAAAAAAAAAAAAAAAAATTAGCCAGGCGTGGTGGTGTGTGCCTGTAGTCCCAGCTACTCAGGAGGCTGAGACAGGAGAATCACTTGAACCCAGGAGGTGGAGGTTGCAGTGAGCTAAGATTGTGCCACTGCACTCCAGCCGGGTGACAGAGTGACACTCTGTCTCAAAAACAAACAAACAAACAAACAAAAATTAGGCACCGGAAGAGATTAACAATAACTAATAATAAAATAGAACAATTATAACAACATGCTGTAATGAAAGTTGTCAGTCACTGTAGTCTAACTTGCAATTTGAGGTGTGACAGCAAAACTAGCATGAATTTCATTACTTTTTCCTTCTTCACAGTTTCACAGATAAAAGATTTGTTCTTACTATAGATCTTAGCAACCTCAACATATGAGTTTTTTTCTTTCCTTATTAAGTTGAGCACTTTCACCTCCTTACTTAGAAGAAGTACTTGACAGCTTTTCTTTGGCATATCTGAATTGCCAGCATCACTACTCTTACTTTGGGGCTACTATTGAGTGAAATAAAAGCCACTTGCACACAAACACTGTGATACCATGACAGTCAATCTGATAACTGAGACAGCTACTAAGTGAAAATGAGTGAATAGCATACACAGTGCAGGTATGCTGGACAGAGGGATGATTCGCACCCTGGGTGGGATGGTGTAAGTTTTTTTTTTAATTTATTGTGTTATTTTATTTATATTCTTTATTTCTTTTAAACAACCCTAAGTCCATTTAGCAATGACACGATATTTTATCACACTACTCAGAACAACACGCAATTGAAATTATGAGTTGGTTGGGCATAGTGATTCATGCCTATAATTCCAGCGTTTTGGAAGGCCAAGGTGGGAGGCACCATTGAGGCTAAGAGTTCAAGACCAACGTGGACAACACAGTGAGACCACCATCTCTACAAAAACAAAACAAAACAAAACAAAACGATACAAAACAAAAAAATTGGCCAAGCTTGGTGGTGCACACCCGTAGTCCCAGCTAACTTGGGAGGCAAGATGGGAAGATGGATTGAGCCCAGGAGTTCAAGGCTGCAGTGAGCTATGATCACACCACTGTACTCAAGCCTGAGTGGAGAGCAAGACCCTATCTGTCTCAATAACAAAAGAAAACAAAACAAAACAAAAACAGAAAAAAAAGTATGAGTTGCTTACTTCTGGAATTTTCCACTTAATACTTTTGAATCATGGTTGACTGTGGGTAACTGAAACTGTGGAAAGCAAAGCCATGGATTGGGGGGACTGCTGTAGTTCTTTTGGAGCATCGCATCCCTCCTCTTGGGTCACACTTTGTACTTCGCCTTAGGGACCTACTGGTACTTGGGTCTAGTTACAGGTCTAGAAGCAAAGGGGGTTGTTGAGGTGGTCCCGTAACAGAATCAGCATAGTCTTGCCTGTCAACTGCCTCAGTGGAGGCCTTTACAGTTTCCTCAGGCAATGCAGAGTTAATTCCCTGAGATGGGGCTGGGAGAGTGATGGGGAGACCCATACCACTGGGGTAGGGAGGCCTCTTCCACTGGCAATGGAGATACATCAGACTTTCGGGGCTCAATGTCTCTTATCAAGGTCTTCCCGCACATCCCTATTTCAATTTCCAGGATCCTATTGTTTCCCAATCAATATGCTCACTTTAACAGTAGATGCCCTGTGAGGCTGGATACAATTCAGTCAGTCACAGAATGAGGTTCTGCATTTGATTTTCAGCAGTCTCAGCTCTGTGGCTATAGGAGACAGAAGTCTTCTTCAGGCTCACATACGAGCTCTAAAGAAATCTGCTTTACCAACGCTGTCACAGATACACCCAGAAATAATGTTTAATCTGGGCACCCTGTATCCCAATAAAGTTGACACATAAAATTAACTATCACACACCAAGACCCCAAAGTGGCTTGTAAACTGAGCAAGTTTGTTTCTAGAACAGTAGAAATAAAAGACATTTTGGCTGGGCAAGGTGGCTTATGCCTCTAATCCCAGTGCTTTGGGAGGCTGAGGCAGGAGGGTCGCGTGAGTCCAGGAATTCAAGACCAGCCCATGGTAAAACTCTGTCTCTAAAAACAAAAAACAAAAAACAAAAAAAAAAAAAAAAGAAAAGAAAAAATTAGCTGGGTATGGTGGTGCATGCCTTTAGTCCTAGCTACTCAGGAGGCTGAAGTGGGAGGATCATCTGAGCCCAGGAGGTTGGTGGAGGCTGCAGTGAGCCATGATTGGGCCACTGCACTCCACCCTGGGTGACAGAGTAAGACCCTGTCTCAAAAATAAATAAATAAATAAATTTGGATTACCCTGAACAAGATACAAGCTTCAACATTGCTAATTATTTTTAAGTCTCACTGAAAAATATTTCCCTACTTGGAATCCTCCTGGTATTTATGAAGGAGAAAAATAACATGAAACAATAACATATATTTTGTGCAAAAAGGGGAAGGTTTGTAAATGGGGCCTAAGATTATTCATAACTGGAGCAAATGCTTCATAATGTAAATGATGAAGATACTAATATTAAGAAACTATTATTTATGGTTTTTACTAACTCCAGAATAAAGTACTTTAATCACATACTGTCAAAAATTTAGTTGTAATGACAGCTTGTTTTTTTGAGACAGGGTCTTGTTCTGTTGCCCAGGCTGGAGTGCAGTGGCAGGATTATAGCTCAACCCAGGAGTAACCTTGAACTTCTGGGTTGAAGGAATCCTCCTGCCTCAGCTTCCACAGTAGCTGAGACTACTGGTGCATACCCCACCACACCCAGCTAATTTTGTCTTATTGTTATTTATTATTATTATTATTATTTTGAGAGGGAGTTTCCCTCTTGTTGCCCAGGCTGGAATGCAATGGCTCGATCTCAGCTCACTGCAACCTCTGCCTCCAAGGTTCAAGTGATTCTCCTGCTTCAGCCTCCTAAGTAGCTGGGATTACAGGAATGTGCCACCATGCCTGGCTAATTCTGTATTTTTAGTAGAGACAGGGTTTCACCATGTTGGTCAGGCTTGTCTCGAACTGCTAACCTCTGGTCATCCGCCCGCCTCGGCCTCCCTAAGTGCTGAGATTATAGGCGTGAGCCACCACGCCCAGCCTATTTTATTTTTTGTAGAGATGGGGGGTCTCATCATGTTGCCCAGGCTGGTCTTGAACTCCTGGCTGAAGCAATCATATCCTCCTCAGCCTCCCAAAGTGTTGGGATTACAGGCATGAGCCACCACATCCTGCCTTAATGACAATTATTAATAATACCAGGTAGTAGTTGTGGAATTTCCCTCCTGTTTTGTTCAAGTTAATAAATCAAGGCCGGGCATAGTGGCCCACACCTGTAATCCTGGCACTTTGGGAGGTCAAGATGGGAGGATTATCTGAGGCCAGCAGTTCAAGACCAGCCTGGGAAAACCTGCAGATTTACCAGGGAAGTAGGAGGCTGGACTAACATAGTAATGCCAGCCCAGGTGGGAGGATTGCTTGAGGCCAGAAGTTCAAGACCAGCCTGGGCAACGTAGGAAGACCCCCATCTCTACAAAAAAATGAAAAAATTGGCCTGGCATGGTGGCACATGCCTGTAGTCCCAGCTACTTACAAGGCTGAGGCAGGAGGATCACTTGAGCCCAGGAGTTCCAGGATGCAGTGGGCTAAGGTCACACTACTGCACTCTAGCCTGTGACAAAGTGACACTTCAGTTCTAAAAAGAATAAATAACTAAATGAAAACACATTTAAATTTGCATGATTCTTGGGTAGTTTTCTTTCTTATTTCTCTACTAAATTTTTACTCTGTAGAACTTTGGCATTTCAGTAAATCTTACAAGTTAAGACTATCAATTCAACATCTTTCTTGCCTAGGAAGAAAAATATTGAGAATGAACGGGGTGCTAAATTGTGGAGGAACATGTCTGGGGTTGTGATAGCTGCGTTTTTTGGCTTATCAATGTTGACGATTTTCAAGACTCCAATAAATGTCTGCTCTTTTGTTCTAAATAGCAAAATGAAAACGCTGAGTAAAATTGATTATTGAAATTGGTGTTGTCTATTTTTTAAAATGCAGTAGTAGATTATTTGGGATAAAACATTGAAGATTTGTTGGGGAAAGTGAATGCAGTTGTTCCTTGAACTGTGTGAGTTCACTTATATGTGGATATTTTCAATAAATATATGGGAAAAATTTTCAGAGATTTGGGACAATTTGAGAAAACTTGGAGAATAGCCTAGAAATGGCAAAAAAAAAAAAAAAAATTAAAAAAGTTGGCCAGGTGCAGTGGCTCATGCCTGTAATCCCAGCACTTTGGGAGGCCAAGGCGGGTGGATCCCCTAAGGTCAGGGGTTCGAGACCAGCTTGGCCAACATGGTGAAACCCCACCTCTACTAAAAATACAAAAATTAGCTGGATCTGGTGGCACACCCCTGTAATCCCAGCTACTTGGGAGGCTGAGGCACGAGAATCACTTGAACCCAGGAGGCGGAGGCTGCAATGAGCCGAGGTCACGCCCCTGCACTCCAGCCTGGGTGACAGAGTGAGACTCTGTCTCAAAAAAAAAAAAAAAAATTAAGAAAAGTCAGGTAGGAATGCACAAGATATGTGTAGACACTAGTGTATTTTATCATTTACTACCATAAAATATGCACAAACCTGTTATAAAAAGTTAAAATTTGGCCAGTGCGGTGGCTCACACCTGTAATCCCAGCACTTTGGGAGACTAAGGCGGGTGGATCACGAGGTCAGGAGCTCGAGACTAGCCTGGCCAACATGGTGAAACCCCGTCTCTACTAAAAGTACAAAAATTAGCCGGGTGTGGTGGCAGGCACCTGTAGTCCCAGCTACCCAGGAGGCCGAGGCAGGAGAATTGCTTGAACCCGGGAGGCAGGGATTGCAGTGAGCCGAGATCGTGCCACTGCATTCCAGCCTGGGCGACAAGGCGAGATTCCATCTCAAAAAAAAAAAAAAAGTTAAAATTTGCCCAAACTGATGCACAAATATACTTACAGATTATACATGGCATCACTCACAGTTGAAAAAAATGTAAACAAACAAAGATGCGATAGTAAATCATAACTGAAAAAAATTACCTGTAGTACATAGTGCAGTACTATAATAATTTTGTAGTTACTTCTAGTTGTTATTGAGAACATCTGCTTAAAACACCAGGTACCATTAATCATCTGTGTGAGCAGTTGTCTCTTTGGCAAACTGTACAGAGCAGTGAAAAGTGATCTCTCTCAGTTCTCGAGTAGAAACCTTGTATCACTTATGGGACCCATTCTAATGATGCTGGAAGTGCTCCCAAGGAGCAGAGGAAAGTCTTGACATTAGAAGAAAAAGTTGAATTGCTTGCTATGTACCCTACCCAGATTGAGGTCTGCAGCTGTGGGTGCCTGCCATTTCGGATAGATGATTCGTCCTGTAAACAGATGACATGAAGTTAAGGTATCAACAAATATAGTACAGTACTGTAAATGCATTTTATCTTCCTTATAATTAATTTATTTTGAGATAGGGTCTTGCTCTGCTGCCCAGGCTGGAGTACGGGTGGCACGATCTTGACTCACTGCAACCTCTGCCTCCTGGGCTCAAGAAATCCTCCCGCCTCAGTCTCCTGAGTTGCGACTACAGGTGTGTGCCACCACAGCCAGCTAATTAAAAAAATTTTTTTGTACAGATGAGATTTCACTATATGCTCAAGCTGGTCTCTAATTCCTGGGCTCAAGTGATCCTCCCACCTCAGCCTCCCAAAGTGCTGAGATTACAGGCATGAACCACTGGGGCTGGCCTCTTATAATTTATTTAGTAACATTTTATTTTATTTCCTTTTTTTTACATTTTATTTTCTTTAGCTTACTTTAAGAATACACTATAGGCTGGGGGCAGAGGCTCATGCCTGTAATCTCAGCATTTTGGGAGGCCGAGGCAGGCGGAACACCTGAGGTCAGGAGTTCGAGACCAGCCTGACCAACATGAAGAAATCCCGTCTCTAATAAAAATAGAAAAATTAGCCAAGCGTGATGATGCATGGCTATAATCCCAGCTACTCAGGAAGCTGAGGCAGGAGAATCGTTTGAACCTGGGAGGCTGAGGTTGCGGTGAGCCGAAATCATGCCATTGCACTCCAGCCTGGGCAACAAGAGCGAAACTCCATCTAAAAATATATATATATATATAAAATAATTTTTTAAATAATAATATAAAATAGTATAAAATTATTTACATTTTATATCACTATATAATATATAAACATAGTCTCACTATGTTGCCCAGGCTGGTCTCAAACTCCTGGACTCAAGAAATCCTCCCACCTCAGCCTCCAAACTGTTGGAATTACAGGTGTGAGCTATGGTGCACAGCCTGGTTTTTTTTTTTTTAGAGACAGGATCTCTCTCTGTTGCCCAGGCTGAAATGCAGAGGTGTGATCATAGCTCACTGAAGCCTTGAACTCCTGGCCTCAAGCAATCCACCGGCCTTGGCCTTCCACAGTGCTGGGATTACAGGCATGAGCCACCACACTTGTCTAGTAGTTAAAATTTTGAGGAATCAAAAGTTATATGCTGGCCAGGTGTGATGGCTCACATCTGTGATCCCAACATTTTGGGAGGCTGAAGTGGGGAGGACTGCTTGAACCCAGATGTTCAAGACCAACCAGGGCAATATACTGAGACCCCTTCTCTAAAAAAAATAGAAAAAGTTAGGTGGGTTTGACAGCACGCGTCTGTAGTCCCAGCTACTCAGGAGGCAGAGGCAGGAAGATTACTTGAGCTCGGGAGGTTGAGACTGCAGTGAGCCGCCATCATGCCACTGCATTCCAGCATGGGCAGCAGAGTGAGACTGTGCCTCAAAAAGAAAAGCTACACGCCGATTTTCAATAGTGCGACTGAGGTCATTACCCCAACCCTGAATTGTTCAAGGGTCAACTGTACATTTTAGTGTATGCGAAATACCCAACTGTTTTACTTTGGGCTGCATAATTTTTTTCTTTAAAAATTTTTTTTTCTTAAAATTGATGGGGTGCCCAGGCTGATCTCGAACTCCTAGGCTCAAGGGATCCTCCCACCTTTGCCTCCCCTGTAGCTGAGATGATAGGTTTGTGCCACCATGTCCAGGGAGCTGATTGATTGATTGATTGATTGATTTTGAGATGGGGTCTCACTCTGTCACCCAGGCTGGAGTGCAGTGTTGTGATCTCAGCTCATTGCAACCTCTGCCTCCCAGGCTCAAGCGATCCTCCCACCTCACCTCCTGAGTAGCTGGGACTGCAGGCACAGGCCACCATGCCTGGCTAATTTTTTGTATTTTTAGGAGAAACAACATGTTGCCCAGGAAAGTTTCAAACTCCTGGGCTCAAGCAATCTGCCCACCTTGGCCTCCCAAAGTGCTGGGATTACAGGAGCGAGCCACCGCACTCGGCCCCAGCTGAATGATTTTTAAGGTACCTTCCAGAAGACATGCTTTATAATTCTATACCATGGCACACATCCGACACTCAATCACAGTGCCTCATCTTGTTGCACCCAGAGCAGGTTCCTGACCCAGGGCCTTGGTGTTTGCCATCCCCTCTGTCTAATGGACCATTCCTTAGATGGTCACAGCCCACTCCTTTGCTTACCGCTCGGCTCAAATATCGCTTCCTCAGAGCAGCCTTCCCTGATTAGCCTATCTAAAAATAGCATACTGTCACTGTCCTTTAGCCTGCCTTCTTTTTCTTCATCGCATTTACCACTGTCTGACTTTATAGGCTTCCCTTGCTCACTGGCAAACTAGGTCCACCAGGGCAGGGACCTCATCAGAATTGTTCGTTGCTGTATCCCCAGAATCTGGCATCTAATAGTTGCTCAAGACCATATTTATTGAATTAATTGAATGAATTGCAATTTGAGTTTAAATATTTACTTCTTTTTGCCTCCTCAACCAGACAGGAAATTCATGGAAGGCAGCCAAAGGCCCTGGTTGCTTATTTATCTCCTCTAAAGCAATTAGCTCAATTCTGCATGGGTGACAGACATTCAACCAAGATTTGCTGAAGGCCTTGAAACAAGGATAAGTTACACAGCTAACCAACATGCATTCTTTCCAGGTGAATGAACACAGTAATGCCTTGTCTTTAGGCCCACACATCACAGTCTACAAAGTTTTTATTTTTATTTTTGAGACAAGAGTCTCCCTTTGTTGCCCAGGCTGGAGTGGAGTGGCATGATCTTGGCTCACTGCAACTTCCCCCTCCTGGGTTCAGGTGATTCTCCTGCCTCAGCCTCCCAAGTAGCTGGGATTACAGACACACGCCACTACGCCTGGCTAGTTTTTTGTACTTTTGGTAGAGATGGGGTTTCACCATGTTCACCAGGCTGGTCTTGAACTCCTGACCTCAAGTGATCTGCTCACCTCGGCCTCCCAAAGTGCTGGGATTACAGGCATGAACCACTGCGCCTGGTCATAAAGGTTTTTTGTTTGTTTGTCTCTTTGTTTGTTTTCAGACAGAGTTTCCCTCTTGTTGCCCAGGCTGGAGTGCAATGGCACGATCTCGGCTCACTGCAACCTCCGCCTACCAAGTTCAAGCAATTCTCCTGCCTCAGCCCCCTGAGTAGCTGGGATTACAGGCATGCACCACCATGCCCAGCTAATTTTGTATTTTTAGTAGAGACGGGGTTTCTCCATGTTGGTCAGGCTGGTCTCCAACTCCCAACCTCAGATGATCCACCCATCTCGGCCTCCCAAAATGCTGGGATTACAGGCATGAGCCACCGTGCCCGGCACCACAAAGTGATTTTTATATTTTTTTCTATAGAGGTGGGGTCTTGTCATGTTGCCCAAGCTGGTCTCAAACTCCTGAGCTGAAGCAATCTGCCCACTTTGGCCTCCAGAAGTGCTGGGATTATAGGCTTGAGCCACTGCACCCGGCCTACAATGTATTTTTATGTATGTTAACTAATTTTTAGCATTTTGCCAATACTTTAGTAGTTCTTAACCTTTGCCTGAGGAAATCAGCACTCAAATATAACAAATGTTAATTTCTTGCACATGCTATTACTAATTTTGAGTACCTTGAAAAAACTTAGATATCAATGGCATTTAATGTGTTCTAGAATGTCTGAATAAATATTTTATTTTATTTATTTTTTTGAGACAGGGTTTCATTCTGTCACCCAGGCTACAGTACAGTGGTGCAATGTCGGCTCACTGCAACCTCTGCCTCCTAGGTTCAAGTGATTCTCCTGCCTCAGCCTCCCAAGTAGCTGGGATTACAGGTGTGCGCCTATGAGGCCCAGCTAATTTTTGTGTTTTTAGTAGAGATGGGGTTTCACCATGTTGTCCAGGCTGCTTTCAAACTCCTGACCTCAAGTGATCCATCTGCCTCTGCCTTCCAAAGTGCTGGGATTACAGGTGTGAGCCACCGTGCCTGGTCCTAAAGAAATATTTTAAGAGACTGGAATATATACCTGTATTTCAACATGTACATATGCATGGAGAGATTTTTGGATGAATGTTTAACAATTTTCACAGTGGGCATTTCTGTTGGTGGGACCTTGATAACATCTGTTTTTTTTTTTTTTTGATGGAGTCTCGCTGTGTCACCCAGGCTGGAGTATAGTGGTGCAATCTCAGCTGACTGCAACCTCTGCCTCCCGGGTTCAAGTGATCCTTCCACCTCAGCCTCCAGAGTAGCTGGGACTACTTGTGTGCGCCACCACCCCGGCTACATTTTTTGTATTTTTAGTAGAGATGGGGTTTCACCATGTTGGTCAGGCTGGTCTCAAACTCCTGACCTCAAGTGATCCTCCTACCTCAGCCTCCCAAAGTGCTGGGATTACAGGTGTGAGCCACCGCGCCCAGCCAATAATGTTTAGTGTTTTGGGCTTTCCATTGTTCTTATTTGAATTAAAAAGAAAAATGTTTTCCTGACCTTATGTCTTGAGATTGAATTTAAAAATTTTATTATTATTACTATTATTATTATTATTTTTACAGGCAGGGTCTTGCTATATTGCCCAGACTGGTCTCAAACTCCAAGCCTCAAGCCACCTTCCGGCCTAAACCTCCCAAAGCACTGGGATTATAGGTGTAATCCACCATGCCTCTCCTGAATTTTTTTTTTTCAAGCAGGGTTTAAGAAAATATATTTAAATTTTTTAGTTTTATTTCCTTTTCTTCTCTTTTGAGACAAAAATCTCGCTGTGTTGCCCAGGCTGGTCTTGAACTTCTGGGCTCAAGTGATCTTCCTGCCTCAGCCTCCCAAAGTACTGGGATTACAGGCATGAGCCACTGCGCCTGGTCATTTTTATTTTTATTTTTAAGACAGGATCTCACTCAGGCTGGAGTGCAGTGTCACAAACATGGCTCACTGTAGCCTCGACCTCCTGTGCTCAAGCCATACTCCCACCTCAGCCTCCCGAGTAGTTGGGACCACAGGCACTCGCCACCAAGCACAGCTAATTTTATTTATTTATTTATTTATTTATTGAGACGGAGTCTAGCTCTGTCGCCCAGGCTGGAGTGCAGTGGCACGATCTCGGCTCACTGTAACCTCTGCCTCCCAAGTTCAAGTGATTCTCCCACCTCAGCCTCCTGAGTAACTGGCCTTAGAGATGTGGGCCACCATGCCCGGCTAATTTCTTTTTTTAAGTAGAGATGGAGTTTCACCATGTTGGCCAGGCTGGTCTCAAACTACTGACCTCAAGCGATCTGCCTGCCTCAGCCTCCCGAATTGCTGGGATTACAGGCGTGAGCCACCACACTTGGCCTGAAAGCATGGATCTTAAGTACCCAGCATCCTGAGAAGACAGAGTTTACAAAAGTATGTAAATCAAATGTATCTCTGATACTTTGCTGAAGAAAGCCTTTTACTTAACATACTTAGGATATTACTATGGTGTAACTGATGAATTAGCATCTGATAATAGTTTGGATATCTGTCTCCTCCAAATTTCATGTTGAATATTTTTTTCTTTTTTATTACCTTGATCCTACGTTAAAGGAAAAGGCCCAGCTCATTTTTAAATTTTTTGTAGAGACAGAGGTCTCACCATGTTGCCTAGGCTGTTCTCAAACTCCTGGCTTCAAGTAATCCTCTCACCTCAGTCTTCCAAAGTGCTGGGATTACAGGCATGAGCCACTGCATCCTGCTGAGAGAGAGAGAGAGATAGATATATATATATATAATTTTTTTTTTTTGAGACAGAGTCTCACTGTGTCACCTAGGCTGGAGTGCAATGACGCGATCTCGGCGCACCAAAACCTCTGCCTCCAAGGTTCAAATGATTCTCCTGCCTCAGCCTTCCAAGTAGCTGGGATTACAGGCATGTGCCACCACACCCGGCTAATTTTTTGTATTTTTAGTAGAGACGGGGTTTCACCACATTGGCCAGGCTGGTCTCGGGAACTCCTGAGCTCATGATCTGCCCGCGTCAGCCTCCCAAAATGTTGGGATTACAGGTGTGAGTCACCACGCCCGGCCAGAGATTCAATTTTTAAAACAAATATGAGGTCAGCAAACAAAATCTATTTCTATACAATGTTTTATTTTTGTCAGTGTAAATAACACAAAAAATACGGCTACTTATTTTCCTGGCTATGTAATAATTAGTACATAGCAAATTTCATTCAGGGAAAACTTTTTTTTTTTTTTTTTTTTGAGATGGAGTCTCGCTCTGTCACCCAGGCTGGAGTGCAATGGCGAGATCTCGGCTCACCACAACCTCCACCTCCTGGGTTCATGTGATTCTCCTGCCTCAACCTCCTAAGTAGCTGGGATTACAGGCATGCGCCACCACACCCGGCTAATTTTGTATTTTTAGTAGAGATGGGGTTTTTCCGTGTTGGTCAGGCTGGTCTCGAACTCCCGACCTCAGGTGATCTGCCTGCCTTGACTTCCCAAAACGCTGGGATTACAAGTGTGAGCAACCGCCCCCGGACAGAGAAAACTTTTAATACTGATTTCTAGTAAAGCAACAGCAACAATCAAATTGAATGAATCAAAATTCCGAAGGGTTTTTTTTGTTTGTTTTTGGTGGACAGGAAGTAGGATTTACTGGGGAGTATTAAGAGGGGGCAGCACAGTGGAAGCCCTCACGAGGGCAGGGCACGCCACTTGTCCAGAGGGCCATGATGGGGATGTACTTGACCCCACAGTCATCTGCGATGAGCCGCTTTTCAGCCACCATGTCTTCAAATTCATCCGCAGTGAACTTGGTGAAGCCCCACTTCTTTGAAATGTGGATCTTCTGGCAGCCAGGGAACTTGAACTTGGCCCTGAGCAGGGATTCAATCACATGCTCCTTATTCTGCAGCTTGTTGCAGATGGACATGATAACTTGGCCAATGTGAACCCTGGCCACAGTGCCCTGGAGCTTTTCAAAGGCACCTCGAATATCTGCCTGGAGCCTACATTGGCGTAGTGCAAGGTCAAAGACATGAACATACATCTGAAAGGCCTGTCTCCATGGTCCCTTAGAGCAGCCCATACAAGAAACAGGCTGCATAAACTACCAAGGAAGCTGTTGTTTGCAGCTGAAGGGTCTTTGTGTGTTTTCCGTATTTCTGGTCGTGCTATTTATTCTCTTACCAAAAAAAAAAAAAAAAGTAAGGTCAGGCGTGGTGGCTCACCCCCTTGTAATCCCAGCAGTTTTGGAGTCTGAGGTAGGAGGATCGCTTAAGTCCAGGAGTTCCAGACCAGCCTGGGCAGCGCAGAGCAACTTCGTCTCTATGCCATGTTGACGCGTGCCTATAGTCCTAGCTACTCGGAGGCTGGGGCAAGAGGATCGCTTGAACCCAAGAGGCCGAGCCTGCAGTGAGCTGTGAATGAGTCACTGAACTCCAGATGACAGAGCAAGAGTTAGTCTCGAAAGAAAGAAAAAGGTAGAGCGACACTTAGTTCTTTGATAGTTTTCCACTATTTGTCATAAAAACTTTCCAGGATATTGAGCTCCCAAAATGGAAGGCCAATATCAGGCATCAGGGACTTGTTCTGGACGTTGGACCAACCTTAAAGGGCCCACATAGAAGCTGTTCACTTACTTTCTTTTAGTCTCTTGATTTAAAATACTTAACATTCCCCTTTCCTTGGCTTTTTAACCACTGAGATTTGAAAGACATGCAAATAACGACCTAGTGGACAATCTTTGCTGATGCTAAATCTTCATTTTAGGATTAAAAGGTTTTGGGTTTTCTTAAAATTTAATGCTGAACTCAGAAGAGCTTTCTAAGGCTGTTGGTGCACCTTAGGGCAGGAGAGCGTCTTTGCTACGCCGCGCAGGAGTGTGTCTGCTTCTCTGTGCATCTACACGTGTTTGCGTGTCCCTGTAAAGTGGGTTGAGTGTGCGGCTGCGGCTTTCCGCCCTTGGCTCACACTCTCAGTCTTAGTGGTCTCCCCCAGGGCTATGCATGGGGTACAGGTTTCTGTGGCCTCAGGCCGGGGTGAGGGGTCCCCCACCCCGGCCAGGGCGCAGCAGGGCGGGGCACACGTAGCCGTGCAGGGTCTCGCGCAGCCCGCGTCAGGACCCCGGGGCACACGCTCGGGCAGGGGGCGTGTCCCCACGCCACCAGAAAAAGTGTTATAGGCTGTTTTTTTTTTTTTTTTTTTTTTTAAAAAGAAAGTGTTTTAGAAAGCAGGCAGAAGCCAAGACGTCAGGAAGGGTTGCGAGGGCCCGGGATCCGGCGGCCACAGGGATGGGAGGGGCGAGGAGCGAGGGGCGGAGTGGCACCTCCCACAACGCGCTCCCTGCGGGGCGGGCGGCAACCTCCATGCGGCCTCGTCCACGCTCAGCACCGGGGAAGCCGAGGCGGAGAAGCCGCGCGCGCCTCAGAAGCTCCCGGACGCCCAGGTACGTGGGAGCACTCCACAGATGGCGCAAGTACGGTTGGGCCAGGCGGTTGCGGCCCCGTCGCGCCGCGGCCTCTGTGACGCACGGCGAGGCCTCCCGGGCTGCTGCGCGGCGCAGCGGGGGCGGGGCGAGCGCGTGAGGGCGGGGCGGTGGGGGGGGGGGGCGGAGCGAGAGGGGCGGAGCCGGCAGAGGCCCCGCCCCGGGGCCGGAGGAGCGAGGACGCTACGGAGCAGGCGCGTCTCGCTGCCGCCGCTGCCGCCGCCGCCGCTCGCTCTTCTGTGGAGCCGCCGCCGCCGCCGCCGCCATTTGCACGGGGACCCCAGTGACAGGGGCTCGGCGGAGGGGCGGAGGGGCGGAGGGAGGGGGGGAGGGCCCGCGGAGCCCCCGAGGGCGGGAGCGACGCCGCCGGCGCCGGCCGGGCTCCCTGCGCGACCGCGCCGCCCGCGGCGGGCCCCGAGCAGCAGCAGCAGCAGCAGCGGCAGCAGCGGCAGCAGCAGCAGCAGCCGAGGCCGGGCGTGCGCCTGAGGCGGCGGCGGCGGCGGCCCTGCGGGCGGCCGGGAGGGGCGGGGGCAGCGGCCGCCGCCGTTTGATGGATCCGAGGATCGCCTGGTTTCAGCCAGAGCAGCTCGGACCGTCCAACAGTCTGTGGATGCAGATCTGGGAGACGACCCAGGGGCTGAGGAACCTCTACTTCAACCACCACTGTCACAGCAGCGGCGGCGCGAGCGGCGGCGGCGGCAGCAGCAGCAGCAGCAGCACGGCCACCGGCGGGAGCGGCAGCAGCACCGGCAGCCCCGGCGGCGCGGCCTCGGCCCCGGCCCCGGCCCCGGCCGGCATGTATCGCTCCGGGGAGCGCCTGCTGGGCAGCCACGCGCTGCCCGCGGAGCAGCGGGACTTCCTGCCCCTAGAGACGACCAACAACAACAACAACCACCACCAGCCCGGGGCCTGGGCCCGCCGGGCGGGCTCCTCGGCGTCCTCGCCTCCCTCGGCGTCCTCGTCCCCGCACCCTTCGGCCGCCGTCCCCGCCGCCGATCCAGCCGATTCGGCCTCGGGCAGCAGCAACAAGAGGAAGCGCGACAACAAGGCCAGCACGTATGGACTCAACTACAGCCTGCTGCAGCCCAGCGGAGGGCGGGCCGCGGGGGGCGGCCGAGCAGACGGCGGCGGGGTCGTGTACAGCGGGACCCCGTGGAAACGGAGGAACTACAACCAGGGAGTCGTGGGGTGAGTGCTGGCTCTGCGGCCCGATGGCCTGGCCGGTGCGAATGCGCAGCCGGGCACACGCCCACAGAGGGGGGTTGTGAGGGTCTAGGAGCGGCCACCCCCACGGCCTGCCTTCGCTGCTGTTGCACGGGGGTGCTGCTGGCCATCCCCAACCCCCCAGTCGTTCACACCTTTCCCCAAGCCTCCTTAGCCGTCCACACCCTCCGTCTCCTGTCCTCCCTTAGTCGTCCACACCTTCCTCCCCTCCCTCTTAACCGTCCACACCTTCCCCAGGCCCCCCCCTTTATCCATTCACTCTCCTCCCATCCCCCTTAGTTAAACACATCTACCCTTGACCACCACCCCGCCTCCAGCCCTCCACACCTTTTTCCCCATCATCACAACTCAAGATGAGACCGCTTAGCACGGGCCTATCATTCATTCCCTGAGAACATTGGTGTGTGAGTGTTTTTTGATGGTGCAGGACCCGGAGGTGCTTTCCTTGCCAAGAATAGAAACATCCAGAATGCTCCTCCCCATCCCCCAATCCCAGACAGCAATTATGTCAGCCCTGTAAGGCATTGCCTGCTCTTGACCCTTTGGCCCATCTTTTTATTTTTAAAAAATTCCCATGTCACAGATGCCCTGTCTATGCAGAGGGTGGCGTGGGATGGGTGACCACTAAGTTTAGGCTGGTGAAGGTGGTGAGCCCTTCTGAGGCCCTGATAGAACTTTCCAGGAGTTCATGGTCCGCGGCTCCAGCTTCTCACTGTAAAGTTGTCATCCTGGCAGAGGCAGCCAATGCTTTTCATTCTAGGGGGTAGAGATTTATGCTAATGAGTGAATATTGCACCACTAGTGACTTTCTGTTTAAAGTTCAGCTCTTAGAAAATGGAATCTTACCTGACCCCTAGTGAATTATGTACATAAGCAGGGAATGTTTCCAACTAGATCTCCCTTCAGAAGAGTCCCTGTGCTGGAATAGGTCACTGAATCTTATTTGTTTTGTAAAACAAAGCTTTTGGGTCTCGTGGGTGTGTGTGTGTGTGTGTGTGTGTGTGTGTGTGTGTGTGTAGCTTGAGTATGGAGAACCGGCTTTCAAATTGCTTTTCATTTTTCAGGTTGTGTTTTACATTGAGGGCTTTAGCATGCAAATGAAATTACCAATTAGTAATCCCATGTGAACCTTTTCCTGGATTTATTCATTCAGATCTGCCCTGCTTTGGCTGAGAGAGAGAGTTCTGTGTACCTTTTTGAAGGTCTGGATAAAATGAGTTGGTGGGTTCCATCTGCTTCCAGTGGGCTGGTGTCTGCTCTATGCTACTATTACAACTCCTACCTTTTGTGGAAAATGCAGTCAAGCGTTCTAGGACTGGTGCTGTGGTACATGTCAAACCTGCCCTCACATTCCAGAAAGGGAACCCTTTTAGGGTTGAGTCCTCTGTTGCTAAGCTTCAAGGGTGCTCTCCATGGTCATCACGTTTTATTAAAGGCTTGTGGTTCCATCCTGTTAGCATTTCCAAGTCTACGCGTAAACCTGTGGTTTAGTGACAAGCAAATTGATGTTGAGGGTTTCTGGTAGTTTCATTTCACAGGAGTAAGCTCCAGTTAGGTAATCACTGTCAACGAAAACCTTGAAGTTCCTTAATTGCATTTTACTGAAGCCTCTTTGCATGTGTCTAGCAAAAGATATAAGTCCAAGATGCTTATTTTTTTTTTGATAAATTAGAAATTGTCCTCTCCTCTACTTGCTATTTAATGCAGAAGATACTCTAAAAGGTTCATATTTATACTTAGAAGCAAGATGTTCTTGTTCCTGATTCAAATATATTGCCCTCAAAGGGATTAGGAGAGGAATTTTCATTTCCCGGAGGGATTACTGTTTAAAAACTGGTTGTAAACCTCTTTAAAAACTGCTTATCACTTCACCAGATTTTCCATTCTTTTGCCTCCTCCCTTAGAGGATGTCAGCAGTTAATTTTTTTTTTAAATTAAAAAAAGTTCAATTCTGAGACCTCCTAGTTTCAAAAAATACATTAAACAATTCCCAAGAGTGTTAAGAGTGTCTGGGTGCTTAGAAATTCTTGCTTTGATTCATGTATTCTGATTTTTTTTTTTTTTTTGAGACGGAGTTTCGCTCTTGTTGCCCAGGCTGGAGTGCAGTGGCTCGATCTCAGCTCACCGCAACCTCTGCCTCCCAGGTTCAAGCGATTCTGCTGCCTCAGCCTCCCGAGTAGCTGGGATTACAGGCGCTTGCCACCACGCCTGGCTAATTTTTTATTTTTAGTAGAGACGGGGTTTCTTCATGTTGGTCAGGCTGGTCTCGAACTCCTGACCTCAGGTGATCTGCCCGTCTTGGCCTCCCAAAGGACTGGGATTACAGGCATGAGCCACCGTGCCCGGCCTCATTATCCTGATTTCTTTTTTTTCTTTTGAGACTGGGTCTCACTCTGCTGCCTAGGCTGGAGTGGAGTGACGTGATCATAGCTCACTGTATCCTCTAACTCTTGGGCTCAAGTGATCCTCCTGCCTTAGCTTCCTGGAGTAGCTGGGACTACAGGCACATGTCACCACACCTGCCTAATTTTTTTATTTTTACTTTTTGTAGAGATGGGGCCTCCATTTGTTGCCTAGGCTGGTCTTCAACCGGCCTCAAGCAGTCCTCCCACCTTGGCCTCACAGAGTGCTGGGATTATAGGCATGAGCCACCATTCTCGCCAGTATCCTTATTTCTTAACTTTAGAAAGTTTTTCTATTTTTAATATAGGTATTTAAAAAAATCTGAATTCAGAGTGCACCTCGATGTTATGCTGTTCTGAGATTAAATATACTAAAACTGTTACCATTGTTTTCTGAATTCTTAAGATGTGACTGATAGTTAGCTAATAGGTTAACACATTGTGGTGGTTCTTGGCCTCTGAACTGATAGTCCAGATGGGGAGAGGAGACCAGAAAGCATGTGAAAATGGACTAGAACCATGGGACAGCTATATAGTCTCTCGCAGCTGTCTTTTGTGTTCTCTGCTTCCACCAAATTGGTTGATTTATTTAGAATGCTGACCTCTTGCATTGCCTAAGTCCTTGATGTTTTTGGTTTCTCCTCTGAACTCTCAAAGGTACTCACTTCATGCTCTTGGTATAGCCCACTTATGTTTAACTTTCCTTTTATTATGTGTTCCCTCTTACACATGACATGGACATTTCTTTAATATGTAGAGTAAGATATTGGATTTCATCCTAAAGTCTTCAAAATAAAACTCTTGAGCTCATCATCTCAGACTTCTTCATGTACCCACAGACCAGGGATTTTGTTTGCTTTTTAAAACATTTTTTTATTTTGTGTTTTATTATTTTTAAATTTTAATTTAATTTTATGGAGACAGGGTCTCGCTCTGTTGCCCAGGCTGGAGTGCAGTGGTGTGATCTCGGCTCACTGCAGCCTTTGCCTGGGCTCAAGCCATCCACATGCCTTGGCCTCCCAGTGTGCTGGGATTACAGGTGTGAGCCACTGTGCCTGGCCTAAATTTATTTTTTTAATTTTTTTTGAGACAGGGTCTTGCTCTGTCGCTCAGGCTGGAGTGCAGTGTCATAATCATGGGTCACAGCAGCCTTGGCCTCCCAGGCTGAAGTGAACTTCCCACCTCAGCCTCCTGAGTAGTTGGGACTACAGGCGAGTGCCACCATGCCTGGCTCATTTTGGTTTTTTTTGTAAAGATGGGGTCTTGTCATGTTGCCCATGAAGGTCTCCAACTCCTGGTCCAAGTGATCCTCCCGCCTCCGCCTAGCAAAATGTTGGGATTACAGGTGTGAGCCACCATGCCTGGCCTTATTTATTTATTTAATTATGAATGAATGAATGAATTAATGAGAGGGAGTCTTGCTCTCTTGCCCAGGCTGGAGTGTGGTGGCACAATCTTGGCCCACTGCAACCTCCGTCTCCCAGGTTCGAGCAATTCTCCTGCCTCAGCCTCCCGAGTAACTGGGATTACAGGCGCCCGCCACCATGCCCAGGTAATTTTTGTATTTTTAGTAGAGATGGGGTCTCACCATGTTGGCCAGACTGGTTTCGAACTTCTGACCTCAAGTGATCTGCCCACCTTGGCTTCCCAAAGTGTCAGGATTACAGGCATGAGCCACCATGCCTGGCCTGGCCTTTTATGTTTTAAGTTGCTTCCACTGATTCTCTTGGGCTTTGCTCCCCTCCAGAACTGGCCATGGTTTAGGATGCTGTCCACCTGCTGCTGCTTGTCCATGAAAACGAGCCATAAACCCTTTTCTTTTGAAAGACTTAATTGTTTATCACTATGGAGAAAGAGGGGATGGCAAGAAGTAGCAAATACAGGGAATTTGCAGAACTTGGTCTTGAGCCCTGGGTCCAGAAACTTCTTCTGGAAGGTGCTTGGTGTTTGTCCAAGCTCATGATAGGTTTCTGTTGGCTGTACTGCCAGATCTGTAGATGCTTTTTTAAGGCTTGGATGACTTGTTCAAAACAATGTTTTGGAGTACAAATTTGGCTGTGGGGACATCAAGACCTTGTTGGGAAACTTGGGTTTAAGGTACAATTTCTTAAACTAGGATGGTGGGAATGGGGATGTGAAGGGAGAATGAATGTGAGAGGTATTACAGGGTAAGGATGGAGATGATTCAGATTCCTTAAGTGGATTTAATAATCACACTGTAGCTTTGAACTTGAGTGACTGGGGAAATATTTGTGGTGTTTTTGGAAATAAGGGCCAGAAGGACTATTGGTTTGGGTAAGAAGATAGTAGGGGGATGTATAGGTGGACCTGCTAGTGGGGAGCTGAGATTTGGAGGGCTGAGATGTAGTGCTCTTCACTGCCGTAGGGCAGTATCCTCTTGTATGTGCCATCCTCTAGTGCCCATTGTTCATCATGTCATAGTAAGCCCAAGATGTTCATGCCTTTTTTCAGCACTGCATTAGGGCTTATATCTGCTTCTCTTTCTCTCTCTCTCTCGCTCTCGCTCCCTCCCTCTCTCTCTCTTTCTGTTTTTTTTTTTTTTTTAGACGGAGTTTCACTTGTGTTGCCCAGGTTGGAGTGCAGTGGCGCGATCTTGGCTCATTGCAACCTCTGACTCCCGGGTTCAAGCAATTCTCCTGCCTCAGCCTCCCAAGTAGCTGGGATTACAGGCATGTGCCACCATGCCTAATTTTGTATCTTTAGTAGAGATGGGGTTTCTCCATGTTGGTCAGGCTGGTGTCAAACTCCCAACATCAGGTGATCTACCTGCCTCGGCCGCCCAAAGTGCTGGGATTACAGGCATGAGCCACCGCGCCCGGCCTCTCTCTGCTTATTTCTACACAGTGTTACCAATGAGATTGGTGTTACTGCTGGGCTCCAAAGCAATCAGACAGATTAAAGTAGATTGAATATGAAAGAATTTAGAGGCCTTTTTCCAAGTGATTTGTGCTCTATTTAATTTCTGTGCATTTGCAGATATAGCCCACAGTAATTCTTAGTGAACTAGAACCTTCAGGTTATTGAATTTTACTGATTTGGGTACTGACATGCGCTTTTAAGAAGACATTAGGTTTTCTATAGTGTAGATTGTACACTAACAATATAATTCATATTTAAGAATGTCTCAAAATTTAGTATACTGTGTTCAACTAACTTAACTTTCTTTGTTTTTTTTGTTTTGTTTTGTTTTTGTTTTTTGAGACGGAGTCTTGCTATGCCACCCAGGCTGGAGTGCAGTGGCGTGATCTTGGCTTACTGCAACTTCAACACTCCTGGGTTCAAGTGATTTTCCTGCCTCAGCCTCCTGAGTAGCTGGGATTACAGGCACCCGCCACCACACCGGCTAATTTTTGTATTTTTAGTAGAGACGGGGTTTCGCCGTGTTGGCCAGGCTGGTCTTGGACTCCTGACTCAAATGATCTGCCTGCCTTGGCCTCCCACAGTGCTAGGATTACAGACATGAGCCACTGCGCCCGGCCGCTAACTTAACTTTCATTCCACAACTTCCATCTTTTATCCAAAATCTGTGATCATTGAATACTGTCACCATTAATCATTGGCATTTCAGTGTTTGGACTTTTTTTTTCCCCCTTCGTCTTTGTGGACTCTTTTTTAACACTCATAAAGTTTTAACTATTGAAAAGCAAAGGAAACGGTGAGTGACTTTTTGGAGTCTGTCTACCCAGTGGTCACACAAAAGGCTTACTACATTACAGGAAAGATAGGATGGGAAAGGGATACTAGAAAATTCTAAGTCAGGAACGGGGGTGTGTATTAGAAAAATTCTGATCCTGGCATGCCAGATGGCCTTACATCTCAATTTCTTCCGTGAAATTCCTGCCAACAAATCATAGTGTTAGAAGTACAGAAGGGTCCATGGGAACAGAATTTAAGGGCTCCGTTGGTGATACGGAACTGATCAGATGGTTCTCACTTGTTCTCAGATAACCTGTATACTGAATATCACAGGAAGGGTATAGACGTCATGGCAGTGGTTAGATATTCTTGCACCTGCTGAAGCTGAGAAAATTAAAGTAATTTTTTTTCCTGTGGAAAGTAGAAAATCAAGCTTTTGTATGATTTCACACAGCTTTCTATTCTCTCTTTTGTTGACTCTGTTAAGAGTAACATTTAGTGGTGGAAACTATTTCAGGATCACACCCACAACACTAGAGACTGTATTAATCACTTACACACACATAGGTATAGAGTAATCTTGAAGGGGCTGTAGGCCAAAGATAATGCTTTTTTGAAGAATTAGAGACTAGTTACCAGCACCTGGTATTTGCTGTTTCCTACAGAGCTGACTGGACAGCCTAGAGTCTGCTGAGGAATTCAGAGGATGGCCAGTAGAATGTTCTTTCCACCCCAGAATATTTGGTAGGGACTCAGCTGCTGTGGAATGCCAAAAAGGCTTTGAGTTTGTTTCACTATTCTTAAGATTACACGTAATTGTTTTTTTGTAAGAGATTATATATATTCAAGTTGAGGATGGCTTTGAGTTAGACTTTCCTTAATTTGGAATCACACAGCAGATGATACATTTATTTCCATCTGATAAGTTACTTGATGATGTAAAAAGACATTTGAGTTAAAGATTTTTGGGAAAAAAGCTGAATGTTGAGCCATTTATGTTGTGTACTGGTTCCCTATTCACTTGGACAATTTTAAGTCTTAAAACAATCTTAACCATGTGCACAAGAGATTTCACATAGTATTTGGTAATTAAATTAAGGAATTCTAGCTCAAGTCATGCTTTTTGCTGAAATAGTTGTATATATTTAGTGCGGAAACCTGTGTTTTCAAATTAATGTAATAAAAGTTTCAATAAAATGGAAGCCTTTATTACCGTGTTTCAAATGCTATGCTAAACCTTTTCCATTTGTTATTATATTAACCTCCTCATACATAGCCCTACTAATTTTTTTACTTTCTATTTTGAAATAATTACAGATTTATAGGAAGTTGTGAAAAATAGTACAGAGCCCATGTTCCCTTCACCAAGTTTCACCTAATGGTAGTAGCTCACATAACGATAATTTAATGTCAAGAACCAGGAAATTGTCATCGTTGCAATCCATAAGCCTTTTTTAGATTTCACCAGTTTCACATGTATTTGTGTGTGTGTGTATATATATAATTGTATGCAATTTTATCATGTGTAGATCTGGATAGCCACTGTAACAGTCTATAGTTCTATATACAGAGCTACTCCATCACCTCAGGGCTCCCTATGCTACCACTTTATAGCCGCACGCACCCTTCCAGCAACCACTAATCTGTTTGCATCTCTGTAATTTTGCCATTTTGAGAATGTTATATAAATGGAATCATACAGAATGTAACTTTGGCTTTTTTTCTTTTACCATACTTCCTTTGAGAGCCATCCAAATTGCTGCATGTATCAGTAGTTCATTTCTTTTTACTATTGAGTAGTAGTCCATAGTATGGCTGAACCACACAATTTGTTTAACCATTTACTTATTGAAGGACATACCAGAAGGGTGGTTTCCAGTTTTTTGGCTATTGCAAATAAAGCTGCTATAAACATTCATGTATATAAATATTTTTATGTGAATATAAAGTTTTCATTTTGGGGGAATAAATGCCCAAATGTTTGGATTGTATGGTAAGTGCATGTTTGGTTTTTAGAGAAACTGCTGAACTATTTATTTTCTAGAATGACTATATCCTCTTATATTCCTATCAACAATATATGAGATATCCAGTTTCTCTGCATCCTTGCTAGCATTTAGTGTTACCACTTTTTTATTTGAGCGGTTCTAATATGTGTAGTGATAGCCTGTTTTGCCTTATATTAATCAATAAAAATAGCCTCATCTAATCTTAACTTTTTTTATTTTAAAACATCTTGGCAGTATTGAACTTTCTCAATGAAAAATCTCTAAAATTGTGACTTGAAAGGCTTTAATTTTCCAGTTTTTCTTTGGTTTTACTCTTAGCAGTAACATTTTAACTTTTTTTTGTCTTTGAAGTAATTTTCAGTGTTTCCTTTACATGTTGCTTTTTCTTAGAAACTAGTTACTAGCATGAAGTAGATCTTTAGCCTCGTTTTCTAAAAACATAAAAAAGTAAAACTGTGGGGTTTATTTCAAAATTGAGAGTCCTGTCTTTTCATATGAGGATATTTTATAGTCTGTTGGCTTGGCTATATTTTAGGGAGTAAACCTGTGGTTAGTGGTTTGTTGTTGGTGGTGGTAAAGTTTTCTTACAGTATTTTTATACCTGAATAATACCTTTAGACTCTATAGAATAGATACTTGATCTTCAAATCTATCCTAGAATAAATTGTTTTATCTAAACAGCTTTGTGACCTGAGAATTGGGACTTAGTCCCTTAGTTTTCCCTTACTGGCCCTTTGTAGTCACTGTTTTGATTTTGTGAAAGTAACTTAACTCTTAGCACTGTCAGGTATTGTACATTCCTGCCAAAGCAAGAATAAGAATACATAGGATTGTGTTTTAATTCTATAATTAGGTGACTTTTGGCTAATTTCCAGGAACTTGGACTTAATAAAGTACTAGTGATAAGTTTGGAAATTTTAGTGTCCTTGTTCTTTGAAGTTATTCACCCTTTACTTTCTTGTTTGTTTGGGGTGTTTATACTACTGTCCCTAAATATAGCTGAAATAAAGGAAGAAAAATAACCCCTGTAATATCACTACCAGGATATAATTTCTTTTTTTTTTTTTTTTTTGAGATGGAGTCTCGCTCTGTCGCCCACCATCTCGGCTCACTGCAAGCTCTGCCTCCTGGGTTCACGCCATTCTCCTGCCTCATCCTCCCGAGTAGCTGGGACTACAGGCGCCCGCCACCACACCCGGCTTATTTTTTGTATTTTTAGTAGAGACGGGGTTTCACTGTGTTAGCCAGGATGGTCTTGATCTCCTGATCTTGTGATCCACCTGCCTCGGCCTCCCAAAGTACTGGGATTACAGGCATGAGCCACCGCGCCCGGCCTGATATAATTTCTGTTAACAGTTTGATGTAAATATTTTTTGACTTTTTAGTGTTTTTATATATATATATATTTTATGTTTTTCTTTTATCAATACGCACTCTTACTGTGGGAATAATTTTAATGTTTTTAAAGAGTTGGGTTTTATTTGTTTATTTTATTTTATAGAAATGGGGTCTCGCCGGGTGCGATGGCTCACGCCTGTAATCCCAGTACTTTGGGAGGCCAAGGCAGGAGCATCACCTGAGGTCGGGAGTTCGAGACCAGCCTGACCAACATGGATAAACCGCCTCTCTACTAAAAATACAAAATTAGCCGGGCGTGGTGGCACGTGCCTGTAATTCCAGCTACTTGGGAGGCTGAGGCAGGAGAATCACTTGAACCCGGCCGGTGGAGGTTGCAGTGAGCAAAGATTGTGCCATTGCACTCCATCCTGGGCAGCAAGAGTGAAACTTCATCTCAAAAAAAATAAAAAATAAAAAAGAAAGAAAGAAAGAAATGGGATCTCACCATTTTGGCTGGTTTTGAACTTGTGGTCTCAAGCAGTCTTCCTACCTCAGCATCCCAAAGTATTGGGATTACAGGTGTGAGCCCATCCTGTTTGTTGTTGTTCTTTTGTTGTTGTTGTTTTTAGATGAAGTCTCCCTCTGTCACCCAGGCTGGAGTGCAGTGGCGCTATCTTGGCTCACTGCAAGCCCCGCCACCCAAGTTCAAGCAATTTTCTGCCTCAGCCTCCCGAGTAGCTGGGATTACAGGCGCCCACCACCATACCTGGCTAATTTTTGTATTTTTAGTGGAGACGAGGTTTCACCATATTGGCCAGGCTAGTCTTGAGCTCCTGACCTCGTGATCCACCTGCCTCGGCCTCCCAAAGTGCTGGGATTACAGGTGTGAGCCACTGCGCCTGGCCTGTTGTTGTTTAAATAAAAGAAATTTATTCTCTTACAGTCGAGGCCAGAACTTAGAACTGGTTTTCAATCTAAATTTTTTTTCTTCTTTGGGAGAAGGGCATCAGAATATTGTGGATATACTTTTTTGACTTAAAAAAAAAGGTTTTACTGGGCTGGGCATGGTGGCTCACCTGGGATTAACTGCCTGTAACCTTGGCACTTTGGGAGGCTGAGGCAGGTGGATCGCTTGAGTCCAGGAGTTCAAGAGCAGCTTGGGTGACATGGTGAAACTCCGTCTCTACCAAAAAAAAAAAATTAGCCAGGCATGGTGATGGCGTGCCCTTGAAGTCCCAGCTACTTGGGAGGCTTAGCTGGGAGGATCGCTTGAGACCAAGAGGCAGAGGTTGCAGTGAGCTAAGTTCATGCCACTGCACTCCAGCCTGGGTGACAGAGCGAGACCTCGTCTGAAAAATTTTTTTTTTTTTTTACTAATATGACAAACATCTTTTCATTTCAAATATATTTCTATACCATTTTTAATATCTCATTGCCTTTAGAATGACCTTGTATTCATAGTACATATGTATGTGATATTCCATTTATTTATTTTTTTTCTTTTGTCTTTTTTTGGTTATATTCCATTGATTTAATGTACCTTAATTTATCTTACCAATTTCTTGTTGACCATTTTGTTTCCAGTCTTTTGTTTTTTTACCAGACATGGATTAAGCTGAGCCTTTGCCCCAGACGACATTATTTCTTTTTTATCAGCAAAATATGCGTGTAATGAAATTAGAATTAAAAGGCAAAAAAGGTTATCCTTTATTTTTCTACTTATTTTTATTGAGATAGTAATTCACATACCATAAATTTAACCCTTTTAAAGTGTACAGTTCAGTGGTTTTCATATATTAGAAGGTTGTACAACCATCGCAACTAATTCCAGAACATTTTCATCACCCCAGAAAGAAACTCTGAACCCATTATCACTCCCCACTCCCTCACACACCCTAACCCTGGCAGTCACATATAGACTCTCTGTCTCTGTGGATTTGTTTACTCTGGACCTTTCATATAAGTGGAATCATAACAGTTTGTGGCCTTTTGTGCTTGGCTTCTCAAACTTATCTGTTTCCAAAGGTTATCTGTGTCGTAGCATGTGTCAGTACTTCATTCCTTTTTATGGCTGAATATTTTATTGCATGTATATGCCACATTTTGTTTATCCATTCACCTGTAGAAGGACATTTAGGTTGTTTCCATTTTTTGGCTGTTATGAATATTACTGCTGTAGACGTTCATGTACAAGTTTTTATGTGAACGTGTTTTCATTTTTCTTGGGTATATACTTAAGTGAGGAATTCCTGGGTCTTAAGTTAACTCTCTGTTTAACATTTTGAGGAACTGCCAAATTATTTTTTAAAGTGGCTGTGACATTTTATATTCTACCAGCAGTGAATGAAATTTCCAATTTCTCCACATACTTGACAGCACTTTTTTTTTTTTTTTTTTTTGAGGTGAAGTCTTGCTTTATTGCCCAGGCTGGAGTGCAGTAGCATGATCTTGGCTCACTGCAACCTCCACCTCCCAGGTTCAAGCAATTCTTGTATCTCTCAGCCTCCCGAGTAGCTGGGATTACAGGCGCATGTCACCATGCCTGGCTAATTTTTGTATTTTTTATAGAGACAGGGTTTTGCCATGTTGGTCAGGCTGGTCTTGAACTCCTGATTTCAAGTGATCCACCTGCCTTAGCCTCCCAGAGTTCTGGGATTACAGGCGTGAGCCACTGCACCCAGTCTGCACTTTCTTTATTATCTGTCTTCTTTATTATAGCCAATCTAGTGGGTATGAAGTAAGTGTGTCATTTGTGATTTTGATTGTTAGTGGTGACTAAAAATGTTGAATATCTTTACATGAGCTTGTTGGCCATGTGCACATCTTTGTTGGAGAAATATCTATTCAAATCTTTTGACTATTTTAAAATTGGGTTATTTATCTTTTTATTGTTGAGCTATAGGAGTTCTTTATTTTATTTTACTGAGACAGGGTCTTGCTCTGTCACCTAGGCTGGAGTGTAGTGATGCCATCTTGACTCACTGCAACCTCTGCCCCCACCCCAGGCTCAAGTGATCCTCCCACCTCAGTCAGCATCCCACAGCTGGGACCACAGGCGCATGCCACCATGCCTGGCTAATTTTTTTTTTTTTTTTTTTTTTGTATTTTAGTATAGACAGAGTCTCACCTTATTGCCCAGGCTGGTCTCAAACTCCTGAGCTGAAGCAATCCGCCCATCTCAGCTTCCCAAAGTGCTGGAATTAGAGGCATGAGCCACTGTGCCTGGCCTATTTTATTTTAAAGATGAGGCCTCACTTTGTCACCCAGGTTGGAGTGCAGTGGCGTGATCATAGTTCACTGCCATTTTGCCCTCCTGGGCTCAAACAGTACTCACGACTCATCTTCCTGAGTAGCTAGGACTGCAGGCATGTCGCTAGCATGCCCAGCTAAAACAGTTCTTTATATTCTAGATCGGGGTGTCCAATCTTTTGACTTCCCTGGGCCACATTAGAAGAAGAAGAATTGTCTTGGGCCACACATAAAATACACTAACAGTAATGACAGCTGATGAGCTAAAAAAAGAATTACCAAAACATCTCATAATGTTTTAAGAAAGTTTACAAGTTTATGTTGGGCCACATTCAAAGCCATCGTGGGCCTCTGGCCGTGGGTTGGATGAGCTTGTTCTAAATGCTAGACCCTTATCAGATGGATGGTTTGTAGATATTTATCGCATGCTGTGGGTTTTTTTTTTTTACTTTCTTTTAGGTTTTTTTTTTTCTTAAATAATTAAACTGATTAAAAGCTTTAATCTTTTCATTTTCTTGATAATGTCTTTTAAAGCACAAAGTTTTGTTTCAATGATGTCTAATTTGTCTATTTTTTTTTCTTTGGTTGCTTGTCATACGTAAGAAACTGTTGCTAAATCCAGAATGCTGAAGATTTACTTGTGAACTTTGTTTCCTTCTATGAGTTTTATAGTTTTAGCTCTTGTATTTAGGTCTTTGATACATTTTGAGGTTTTTTTGTTGTTGTTGAGACAGTCTTGCTCTGTCGCCCAGGCTGGAGTGCAGTGGTGTGATCTTGGCTTACTGCACCCTCTGCCTCCTCGGTTCAAGCAATTCTCATGCTTCAGCACCCGAGTAGCTCGGATTACAGGCGTGCACCACCAAGCCTGGCTAATTTTTGTATTTTTAGTAAAGAGGGGGCTTCACCATGTTTGTCAGGTTGGTCTTGAACTCCTGGGCTCAAGCAATCCTCTCATCTCGGCCTCCCCAAGTGCTGGGATTACAGGCATGAGCCACCACGCCCAGCCTGTTTTGAGTTCATTTTTAAAATATGGTGTGAGGTAGAGGTCCCATTTCATTCCTTTGCCTGTGGGTATCCAGTTGTCCCAGAACCATTTGTTGAAATGACTCTTGTTTCCTCATTGAGCAATGTCGTGAGACCCTATCTCCATAAAAAATAATTAAAAAAAAAAAAGAATGCAGAAGGAAACAGTTTTGCCAATTTTGTAGTATTTACTGACAATTTGCATATGTCTTTACATTCTTTAGCTATTTATTTTTCTTTTGAATTACTGCCTTTGTTCATTTTTCTTTTGGAGTTGTTTGTCTTTTTCTTATTAATTTGTAAGAGATTTTGCAAATATATACAATTTCTTTTCTCTTTTTTTTGAGATGGAGTTTTGCTCTTCTTGCCCAGGCTGGAGTGCAGTGGCATGATCTTGGCTTACTGCAGCCTCTGCCTCCTGGTTTCAAGAGATTCTTCTGCCTCAGCTTCCTGAGTAGCTGGGATTACAGGTGCCCACCACCACACCCAGCTAATTTTTTTTTTTTTTTTTTGTATTTTTAGTAGAGACTCGGTTTCATCATGTTGGCCAGACTGGTCTCAAACTCCTCACCTCAGTTGATCCACCCACCTTGGCCTCCCAAAGTGCTGGGATTACAGTTGTGAGCCACCGTGCCTGGACCTCCCACATTATTTTGAAACAAATTCCATATCACATAATTTCTTTTTTTTGAGACAGAGTCTCGCTCTGTCACCCAGGCTGGAATGCTGTGGCGTGACCTGTGCTTACTGTACCTTCTGCCTCCTAGGTTCAAGCGATTCTCCTGCCTCAGTCTCCTGAGTAGCTGGGATTACAGGCACGCACCACCACACCTGGCTAGTTTTTGTATTTTTAGTAGAGATGGGGTTTCAACATGTTGGCCAGGCTGGTCTTGAACTCCTGGCCTCAGGTGGTCCGTCCACTTCGGCCTCCCAAAGTGCTGGGATTACAGGCTTGAGCCACTGCACCCAGCCAATATCATATAATTTCATATAAATAGTTCTTTGTGTATCTTTAGATAAGGACTTAAAAGAAGGCATAATCGTAACACCATTATTAATACCTAAAAGAAGTGAGCAATAAATAATTCATTTGCCGTATCAAATATCCAATGTTCATATTTCCTCCATTGTCCCATAATAATTTTTAAAAGTTTGCTCAAATCAAAATCCAAACAAGATTATTTCAAAGCATTGTTTGAGGTACATTTTAAATCTTAATTTATAGATTTCTCTGCTGTCTCTTTTCCCCCATATTTATTTGTTGAAGAAACCAAGCGTTGTTTCCTGTGGACTTTCCTACTCTCTGGATTTTGCTGGTTATATTCCTCTGGTATCAGTTTACTATGATCCCTTTTTCCCCTGTATTTTCTGTAAATTTGTAACTAGATCTAGAGATTTGTTTAGATTTTGTGGGTTTTTTTTTTTTTTTTTTTTTTTTTTGCAAAAATGCATCATAAATGGTGGTGTGTACATCTCTCAGAAGACACATATCTTAATGTCTTTTTGTGGTATTAGTTATTAATGATTACTGCCTATATTTATTAATTCATTATTTGGATTGTAAGTTTATGATAGTCTCTTGATGCTTTTTCTGTTGTTAGCTGGAATGCTTCTAAAAGGAGAAGGCTTTCCTCTTCAAGCTACTTGGTTGTCTTGAGGGTTTGCTTCTTATAGGGAAAGCAGGCTAAGGGTGAAAAAGGAAATAGTTTCTAACTGGGTCTGTTAATGAGCTGTCACCCCAGGCAAAGAGAAGCAAGGCAGGTCACAGGAAAGTGAAGTGGGCTTGGGATGATTGGTGCCCCATGCGTGCATGCATGAAGGGAAGTTAATCCTCCCTGTAGTGAACTCTACTGGGCTTTTGGTCAGTAGCCAAGACTGTCAAGGAAGACCTTTGTCAGAAGCCATACCTGGCCTTTGCTTTTAGCTGTTGGTAGCTGAAGGAAACCAGAACAGACCTATGACCTGTGAACTTCTGCTCAGTAGACAAAGTTCTCTCAGCCTAAATTCAGTAAGCAGGAGTAAGATGCTTGCTTTCCCTTGAAGTGAAACGTGAATTATATGTTTCTTCAACTTGTGCTAATATTCTTTTTTTTTTTGAGATGGAGTCTCACACTGTCTCCCAGGCTGGAGTGCAGTGGTGCAATCTCCGCTCACTGCAACCTCAGCCTCCCGAGTAGCTGGGATTACAGGCGCCTGCCACCACGCCTGGCTAATTTTTTGTATTTTTAGCAGAGATGGGGTTTCACTATGTTGGCCAGGCTGGACTTGAACTCCTGACCTCACGATCTGCCTGCCTCGGTCTCCCAAAGTGCTGGGATTACAGGCGTGAGCCACCACACCTGGGCAACTTGTGCTAATATTCTTAACCTTCATGTGAATCATTCCTGCCCTCAGGCTAGCATAACCCATACAGCCTTCCTTATAGGAAGATTTCCTACTGGGAGTGAATTTGTCCAGTGATTCCCCCAAGATATCCCCCAATCAAATATTTTAAAAGTCATCATTTACATGTAAAAACTATGTAACAAGCATGGTAGCAGCAGCGTTAAAGAAATGGCAGTATGGCCCCTGTAAGGGAAGGCTCCAGAAGATGAGCCGCACTCAGCCTCTAGGTCACAGCTACCTTAGGAGTTTGCAGTTGTTCCTGGGGAAGTCAGTAGACAAAGCTATCTCTCAGGCCTGGGCAAGATAGGGATTTTTTTTTTTTCTTTGAGATGGAGTCTCACCCTGTCATCCAGGCTGGAGTGCAGCAGCATGATCTCGGTTCACCACAACCTCCACCTCCTGGGTTCAAGTGATTTTACTGCCTCAGCCTCCTGAGTAGCTGGGACTACAGGTGCGGGCCATCATGCCTGGCTCATTTTTGTATTTTTAGTAGAGATGGGGTTTCACCATGTTGGCTAGGCTAGTCTCAAACTCCTGACCTCAGGTGATCCACCTGCCTCCCAGAGTGCTGGGATTATAGGCATGAGCCACTGTGCCCAGTGTTTTTTTTTTTTTAATTGTAGTGACAGGATCTCACTTTGTTTCCTGGGCTATTCCCAAACTCCAGGCCTCAAGCCGTCCTCCTACCTTAGCCTCCCAGAGTGCTGGGGTTACAGGTTTGACCCACTGTGCCTAGTCTCAGAATTCATGTTTTTAAAAGTCACTCTGTGCCAGGCTCATGCCTGTAATCCTAATACTTTGGGAGGCTGAGGCAGGAGGGTTGCTTGAGCCCAGGAGTTTGAGACCAGCCTGGAAACCATAGCAAAATCCTAACTCTACAAAAAATACAAAAAATAGCCAGGTGTGGTGGCATGCACCTGTAGTCCCGGTTACTTGGGAGGCTGAAGTGCAAGGATCGCTTGAGCCTAGGAAGTTGAGGCTGCAGTGAGCTGTGATCATGCCACTGCACAACAGCCTGGGCAACAGAGTGAGAAGTAACTCTGGCTGTGGTGGGGAAAGTGGATTAGTGGAGAATGGAAGCTGGGAAACATGGTGGTTCTTGCTAAGTCAGTATCAAGGGATCACAGATGAGGGGGCTATTTCGTCCTAATAAGGGCCTTGGTCTCCCAGATAGTCATGGATTTTTCTATTTAGAAGCTCCTTCTCAGTTTTTCTTGCCCAAGGCATATACGGTTGATATTTGTACAACACAGGCTGGATCTGTATGGGTCCACTTATATGTGGATTTTTTTTCAACCAAACTTGGATTAAAAATATAGTTGTAGGCCAGGCACAGTGACTTATGCCTGTAAGCCTAGCACTTTGGGAGCCCAAGGCAGGCGGATCAGCTGAGGTCAGGAGTTTGAGACCAGCCTGGCCAATGTGGTGAAACCATGTGCCTACTAAAAATACAAAAAATAGCTGGGTGTGGTGGTGTGCACTTGTAATCCCAGCTACTCAGGAGGCTGAAGCCAGAGAATTGCTTGAACCCGGGAGGTGGAGGTTGCAGTGAGCTAACGCAGCAGAGGTTGCAGTGAGCTAACGCAGCAGAGGTTGCAGTGAGCCAACGGGGTGGAGGTTGCAGTGAGCCAAGATTGCACCACCACACTCTAGCCTGTGTGACAGAGCAAGACTCTGTCTCAAAAATAAATAAATAAAAATACAGTGTAGGCCAGGTATAGTGGCTCATGCCTATAATCCCAGAACTTTGAGAGGCCAAGGCAGGCAGATCAGTTGAAGCCAGGAGTTTGAGACCAACCTGGCTAACATGGTAGAACCCCACCTCTACTAAACAGAAGTACAGAAATTAACCAGGCATAGGTGGTGCATGCCTGTAATCCCAGCTGCTTGCTAAACTGAGGCAGGAGAATTGGGAGGCAGAGGTTGCAGTGAGCTACGATTGTGCCACTGGACTCCAGACTGGGTGACAGAGCGAGACTCTGTCTCCAAGAGAAAAAAAAAAATTGTACTTACAGGACATGAAACCCACCTGTACGGTGTGCTGACTGGGAGACTGGAGTATGCATAGTTCTTGGTAAACAAGGGGATTCCTGAAACCAATCCCCTGAGTATATGGAGGGTTGACTATATATTTTAATAGAATTTATTACTTTTTTTTTTTTTTTTAGCAGTTTTAGGTTTATGGAAAAATTGAGCAGGAGTACATAGTTTCTCTATCTCCCTCACATTTCCCCATTACTAGCATCTTGAAATAGTGTGGTACATTTGTTACAACTGAAGAGCCAAATATTGATACATTACTGTTAACTAAGGTCCGTAATTTACTTTAGAGTTCACTCTTGGTGTTGCAGTTTCTATGAGTGTTGGCAAATATATCATGACATGTATCTAGCATTATAGTATCATATTGAGTAGTTTCACTGCCCTAAAAATCCCCTTTGTTCCACCTTTTCATCCCTCCATCTACCTGAACCCCTGATAACCACTGATCCTTTTACAGTCTCTATAGTTTTACCTTTTACAGAATGTCATATAGTTGGAATCATACAGATTGGCTTCTTTCCATGTTCCTTCCTGGCTTGATAGCTCTTTTCTTTTTTTTGAGATGGAGTCTCGCTCTCGCCCAGGCTGGAGTGCAGTGGCGCAATCTTGGCTCACTGCAAACTCTCCGCCTCCTGGGTTCAAGCAATTCTCCTGTCTCAGCCTCCCAAGTAGCTTGGACTACAGGCGCATACCTCCCCTGCCTGGCTAATGTTTGTATTTTTGGTAAAGGTGGGGTTTTACCATATTGGTCAGGCTGGTCTCAAACACCTGTCCTCAGGTGATCCACCCACCTCGGCCTCCCAAAGTGCTGGGATTACAGGCGTGAGCCACCCTGCCCTGCCAGCTCTTTTTTTTGTACTGCTGAATAATACTCCATTGTATAGGTGTATGAGTTTATCTATTCACCTTCTGAAGGACATTTTGGTTGCTCCTAAGTTTTGGCAATTATGCATGAAGTTACTATAAACATCTGTGTGTAGGTTTTTGTGTGGTCATGTTTTTAGCTCATTTGGATAAATACCAAGGAGCACGATTGTTGGATCGTATGGTAAGAGTATGTTTAGTTTTGTAAGAAACTGCCAAACTGTCTTTCAGGGTGACTGTACCATTTTGCATTCCCACCAGCAATGAATCAAGTTCCTGTCGCTCCACATCCTCGTTAGCATTTGGTGTTGTCAGTGTTTTGGCTTTTCACCATTCTAATAGATATGTAGTGATATCTTGTCTTACTTTGCAGTTCTCTAATGACGTATGATGTTGAGCATCTTTTCATCTGCTTATTTGTTGTTGTTGTTGTTGTGTTGTTCATTGAAATGGAATCTCGCTCTATTGCCCAGGCTGGAGTGCAATGGTACAATCTTGGCTCACTGCAACCTCTGCCTCCTGGGTTCAAGTGATTCTCCTGCCTCAGCTCCCCAGGTAGCTGGGATTACAGGCGCCCGCCACCATGCCCGGCTAGTTTTTGTATTTTTAGTAGAGACAGGATTTCACCATGTTGGCCAGGCTGGTCTTGAACTCCTGACCTTAGGTGATCTGCCCGCCTCGGCCTCCCAAAGTGCTGGGATTACAGGCGTGAGCCACTGCGCCTGGCTTTCATCTGCTTATTTGATATGTGTATATGTTATTTGGCAAAGTATCTGTTCTGATCTTTTGCCCATTTTTTAATCAGATTGTTCTTTTATTGCTTCTGGGGTTCTTTTTGTTTGCTTTTTTTGAGACAGAGTCTTGCTCTGTCGCCCAGTCTGGAATGCAGTGGCATGATCTCAGCTCACTGCGACCTCTGCTTCCTGGGTTCAAGTGATTCTTGTGCCTTAGCCTCCCAAATAGCTGGGATTACAAGCATGTGCCACTGCACCTGGCTAATTTTTGTATTTATAGTAGGGACAGGGTTTTGCCATGTTGGCCAGGCTGGTCTTGGACTCCTGGTCTTCAGTGATCCACCCACCTTTGCCTCCCAAAGTAATGAGATTACAGGCGTGAGCCACCATGCCCGGCTTATTGTTAAGTTTTAAGAGTTCTTTGTATATGTGTATTTTTTGATTCTTTTAAAATTAATACTTAATAAAATAATTGTACATATTTATGGGATGCATGTGATATTTTGATACATGCATACAATGTGGATCAAATCAAGGTAATTAGAGTATTACCTCAAACATTTGTCATTTCTTTATGTTGGGAACATTTCAAAATGTCTAGCTATTTTGAAATATACAATAAATTATTATCTATAAGTCACCTCATTGTGCTGTCAAACATTAGAACTTATTCTTTCTACCTGGCTTTATTTTTTTTACCCCTTAACCAACCATTCTTCATCAGCTCCCCGTCTCCCCTACTCTTTTTTTTTTTTTTTTTTTTTGATACGGAGTCGCTCTGTTACCCAGGCTAGAGTACAGTGGCACAATCTCGACTCACTGCAGCTTCCGCCTCCCAGGTTTAAGCAATTCTCTGCCTCAGCCTCCCGAGTAGCTGGGATTACAGGCGAATGCTACCACACCCGACTAATTTTTATATTTTTAGTAGAGATGGGGTTTCACCATCTTAGCCAGACTGGTCTTGAACTCTTGACCTCCTGATCCACCCGCCTCAGCCTCCCAAAGTGCCGGGATTACAGGGGTGAGCCACCATGCCTGGCCCCTCTTACTCTTTTCTTAGCCTCTGGTATCTATCATTCTACTCTCTACTTCTATGAGATCAACTTTTTTTTAGCTCCCACATATGAGTAAGAACATGTAATATTTCTCTTTCTGGGTCTGGCTTCTTTGTATATTTTGGATAATAAGTCTTTTATTAGATACGTGTTTTGCAAATATTTTTTCCGAGTCCGTGACTTATCTTTTCATTCTCTTAAATAGTGTCTTTTGCAGAGCACACATTATACATTTTAGTGCAGTCCAGTTTACCAATTCTTTCTTTGATGGATTTTGCTTTTGGTATTGTGTCTAGAAAGTCTTCGCCAAACCACAGTCATCTAGAGTTCCCCTTATATTATCTTACAGGAGTTTTATAGTTTTTGTTTTACATTTAGGTCTGTGATCTATTTTAAGTTAATTTTTATGTGAAAGATATAAGATCTATGTCTGGATTCTCTCTTTTTTTGAGATGGAGTCTCGCTTTGTCGCCAGGCTGAAGTGCAGTGGCGCGATCTCGGCTCACTGCAACCTCTGACTCCCTGGTTCAAGGGATTCTCCTGCCTCAGCCTCCCGAGTAGCACATGACACCACGCCCAGCTAATTTTTGTATTTTGAGTAGAGACGGGGTTGCACCATGTTGGCCAGGATGGTCTTGATCTCTTGACCTCGTGATCCGCCCGCCTCAGCCTCCCAAAGTGCTGAGATTACAGGCATGAGCCACCACGTCCGGCCAGTTTTTTTGTTTTATTTATTTATTTATTTGAAACAGGGTCTTGTTCTGTTGCCCAGGCTGCAGTATAGTGACACCATCAAGGCTTCGTTGCAGCCTTGACCTCCTAGGGTCAAGTTATCTTCTTGCTTCAGCCTCCTGAGTAGCTGGGACTACAGGTGAGCACCACTCTGACCAGGTACTTTTTAAATTTATTTTAGAGACAGGGTTTTACCATGTTGCCCAGGCTGGTCTTGAACTCCTGGGCTGAAATGCCCCTCCTACCTTGGCCTCCCAAAGTGTTGGGATTACAGACATGAGGCACTCAGCCCAGCCAATATAATTCTTTTTTTTTTTTTTGAGACAGTCTTACTCTGTTGCCCAGGCTGGAGTGCAGTGGCATGATCACAGCTCACTGCAACCTCTGCCTCCTGGACTCAAGCTGTCCTCCCACCTCAGCCTCCCAAGCAGCTGGGATTATGGGTGCCCATGACCACACCCAGCTAAGTTTTTAAATTTTTTTAGAGATTGAATCTTTCTTTTTCTCAGCCTGGTCTCAAACTCCTGAGCTCATATGATCTGCCCGCCTCCGTCTCCCAAAGTGCTGCGATTACAGGCATGAACCACTACGCCCAGCCTACAATTTATTTGTAATCCAAGTTTTATTGAAAAAAAAATCCACATATAAGTGGACATATGTAGATCCAACCTGTGTTGTTCCAGTGTCAACCATATATACCAATAATTCTTTTTTTTTTTTTTTTTTTTTTTTTTTTTTGAGATGGAGTCTTGCTCTGTCGCCCAGGCTGGAGTGCAGCGGTGCAATCTCATCTCACTGCAACCTCTGCCTCCCGGGTTCAAGTAATTCTCCTGCCTCAGCCTCCTGAGCAGCTGGGACTACAGGCATGCACCACCACGCCCAGATAATTTTTGTATTTTTAGTAGAGATGGGGTTTCACCATATTGGCCAGGCTGGTCTCAAACTCCTGACCTCAAGTGATCCACCCGCCTTGGCCTCCCAAAGTGTTGGGATTACAGGAGTGAGCCACTGTGCCTGGCCTATAATTCTTTACGTATATTGTTAGATTCAGTTTGCTAGTATTTTATTTAGCATTTGTGTATCTGTGTTCATGAGAGGTATTGTTCTGTAGTTTTCTTTGGTTTCTTTTCTGTCTGGTTTAGGGTAATGCTGGCCTCATAGAATAGGTTAGGAAATATTTCCTCTGCTTCTGTTTCTGAAAGAGAATTGAGGTAATATCTATTTTTTTTTTTTTGAGATGGAATCTTGCTCTGTCGCCTAGGCTGGAGTGTAGTGGCGCAATCTTGGTTCACTGCAACCTCTGCCTCCCAGGTTCAAGTGATTCTCCTGCCTCAGTCTCCTGAGTAGCTAGAATTACAGGCATGCACCACCATGCCTGGCTAATTTTTGTATTTTTAGTAGAGATGGGGTTTCACTATGTGGGCCAGGCTGGTCTTGAACTTCTGATCTCAGGTGATCCACCTGTCTTGTCCTCCCAATGTGCTGGGATTACAGGCGTGAGTCACTGTGCCTGGCCCGAGATAATATCTAATTTAACAGTTTGGTAGAATTCACCAGTGAACCCATCTGGGCCTGGTGCCTTTTGCTTTAGAAGGTTATTGATTATTGATTCAATTTCCTTAATAGATAAAGGTGCATTGAGATTGTCTTTTCTTCTTGGGTAAGTTTTAATACATTGTGTCTTTCAAGAAATTGTTCCATTTCATCTAGGTTATCAAATTTGTGGGATTAGAGTCCTTCATAATATTTCTTTGTTTTGCTTTTGGTGTCCATAGGTTCAGAAGTGATGGCCCTTTTTCATTTTTTCTATTAGTAATTTGTGTCTTTGCCCTTTTTTTTCTTTGTTAATCTGGCTAGAAGCTTATCAATTTTGTTGATCTTTTCAAAGAACCAGTTTTTGGTTTCACTGATTTTTCTCTATTAATTTTGTTTTCAATTTAATTGATTTCTGCTCTAATTGGTTTTCTTCTGCTCACTTTGGATTTAATTTTTTTTAGTTTTTCTAGAAAACTAAGTTTTTAAGTGAAAACTGAGATTATTGATTTTTAGATCTTTTTTCTAATGTTTACAGTTAACACTGTACAATTTCCTGTAAGCACTGCTTTCTCTATATCTTACAAATTTTGATGTCATATTTTCATTTTCATTTAGTTAGAAATATCTCTTGAGACTTCTTTGACCCATCTGTTATTTAGAAGTGTATTGTTTAATCTCCAAGTATGTATTTTGGGATTTTTCTGGCTATCTTTCTGCTGTTGATTTCTAGTTTAATTACATGTGGTCTGAGAGCATACCTTGTATGCTTTCTATTCTTTTCAATTTGTTAAGGTGCTCTTTGTGGCTCAAGGTGGTCTACTTTTTTTTTTTTTTTTTTTTTAAAGAAAAGCTGGCCAGGTGCAGTGGCTTATGCCTGTACTCCAGCACTTTGGGAGGCGTAAGTGGGAGGATCACTTGAGGTCAGGAGTTTGAGACCAGCCTGGGCAACATATAGAGACTTCACTTGCACAACAAATTTTTAAAATATTAGTTGGGTATGGTGGCATATACCTGTATATGGCTGAAGTGGGAGGATTGCTTGAGCCCTGGAGGTTGAGGCTACATGAGCCATGATCGCACCACTGTACTCCAGCCTGGGCAACAGAGTGAAATTTTGTTCTCTCTTGAAAAGAAAAAAAAAGTTGATGACATAAAGTTCATTCATCTTTTTTGTATGTGACTTCAAAATAACTACTGATGGTTAAAAAAAAAATCAGAATGATGCAACCCAAGTGTCCATCAATGGATGAATAGATAATATGTGGTGTATGAATACAATGGGCTACTATTATTCAGCCTTTAAAAATAAGAAAATGCTGACACTGCTGTAACATGGATGAACGTTCAGATCATTATGCTAAATGAGAAAAGCCAGACACAAAAGGACAAATATTGCATGATTGCACTTATATGAGGTATCTGGAATATAAGAGTCATAGAAACAGTAATTCAGTAATTAGAATAATGCTTGCCAGGGCCTGTGGGGAGGAGGGAATGAGGAATTCATGTTTAATGGGTACAGAGTTTCATTTGGAAAAGATTAAAAAGTTATGGAGGTGGATGGTGGTGAGGATTGCACAACAGTGTGAATGTACTTAATACCACTGAACTGTACACCTAAAAATGATTAAAATGGTACATTTTATGTTACATATGTTTTACAACAATTTTTACAGATGGAAAAAAATTATAAAAAACATCAGGATGGTGTTGACAGTGAAAAGGTTAAAGAGTTACTTTAAAAATTTACTTTATTCCAGCCGGGTGCGGTGGCTCACACCTGTAATCCCAGCACTTTGGGAGACCGAGGCGGGTGGATCACCTGAGGTCAGGAGTTTGAGACCAGCCTGACCAACATGGAGAAACCCCGTCTCTACTAAAAATACAAAATTAGCCAGGTGTGGTGGCGCATGCCTGTAATCCCAGCTACTTGGGAGGCTGAGGCAGGAGAATCGCTTGAACCCGGGTGGTGGAGGTTGCAGTGAGCCGAGATCTTGCCATTGCACTCCAGCCTGGGCAACAAAGCGCAACTCCGTCTCAAAAGAAAATTTTTTTTTTTTACTTTATCCCAAATGTTTATATTTACTTTGGGGCTTATGTGACCAGTTTAATTTTCATTTGTAATTGACTTGATAGAACACACTAATGTTCAGTTAAGATTTCTTATGGTGTGGTGAGGAGTAGGATTTTTATGTAAATAAGCCCAAAATTGTATATATGAGGTTAATCTGATATTTGCAGAAGATATTCATGCATTACTGTAAGGACCACTCTGCTTATTCATTTGACCGATTTGTTACAACATGGTTAGAAATCATCAAGGTGTTTGAGATCAAAGGATCTTCAGAGGTGATTTACTCCAATCCTTTTTTAAAAAATTAATAACTTGAGCCTCAGAGAAGTTAAGTGACATTACCAAGTTCTGCTGTTAGTATAGTGACTTTATCTTTACCTGAATCCAGGGTTTCTTAGCCCTAGTCTGTAATGTGTCCTAGTGTGCCTCTAGAATCTGGTCCTGTCAGCCCAAGTCTGTTAAATCAAATAAAACCAGGGCTTGGTGCTTCACCTTGTCTTCTGCCATACCGTTGGGTTTCCTGTGGACCATGCAGATAATGATGATGGGCTCAGTGGGCTTGATAGTGATAACTCCTAAAGCAGCTCCTTCTAAGTGCGGTTCTCAATCTGAGGAAGTTAAAAAAAAAATTAGTGACTAGAACCCACTTCTCAGGTACTCTGATAAAATACATTTGTAGGGGAGTGATAGTTTTCACTTTCTTTTTTTCTTTTTCTTTTTTTTTTGAGATGGCGTCTCGCTCTTTTGCCCAGGCTGGAGTGCAATGGTGCGATCTCAGCTTACTGCAACCTCTGCCTCCCAGTTTCAAGTGATTCTTCTGCCTTAGCTTCCTGAGTAGCTGAGATTACAGGTGTGTGCCACCATGCCTGGCTAATTTTTGTATTTTTATTAGAGACGGGATTTCACCATGGTTGGTCAGGTTGGTCTCGAACTCCTAACCTTGTGATCTGCCTGCCTCAGCCTCCCAGAGTGCTGGGATTACAGGCATGAGCCACTGTGCCCAGCCTTCACATATTTTTTGAAATAATAGGCCAGTTGCGGTGGTTCATGCCTGTAATCTCACACTTTGGGAGGCCGAGGTGGGCAGATCACTTGAGGCCAGGAGTTCAAGGCCACCCTGGCCAACATGGCGAAACCCTGTTTCTACTAAAAATACAAAAAAATTAGCCGGGTATGATGGCATGTGCCTGTGGTCCCAGCTACTCTGGAAGTTGAGGCATGAGAATCGCTTTAACTTAGGAGGTGGAGGTTGCAGTGAGGCAAGATCGTGCCCCTGCACTCCAGCCTGGGTGACAGAGCGAGACTCCATCTCAAAAAAAAAAAAAAAAATCGTATGCAGTAAAGGTTGAAAACTGCTGCCCAAAGGCGCTATTAAACTATAGGTTCCCAAACCTGGCCAATTGTCAAAATCCCTCAAGAAGGGGCAGTGGGGTCTAAGGGACCCCATTGCTGTAGAGGAGATTAGTAGTCCAAGAGTGAGATGAACTGTTGGAAGTCCTCAAACTTCCAAACTATTAAAATAGAATAGTTTTGCTTCCTTAAAATAGAATAGTTTTCTTCCTCACTGATTTTTCTGTATTGATTAGAACCATAACAAGTGAATTAAACAACTACAAAATAGTTATGTGGGCCACAGACATTATTGTAATGAAGTGAAGTTTGGCTCAGGCCTTGTAACACAATTGCTTTTTGGATTAAAAGTAAAAATATTAAATTGTGAAATTATGTGTAAGTTTTAAAAAATTGGTCTTGTACAAAAGTGTTGGGTTTTTCTTTGTTTTTAACTGGATTTGTTTTTAAGCAAGACAGAATATTTATATTGTTGGAGAGTCACAAAGGAGGTGTGTTTGTGGATTTAAATGTGGAGACAGTGTGCCTTGAAATGCCCTTTATCAGTCTGATTCAAGCCACCTGCAATCATGGATTTGAACTTTTTTTTTTTTTTCCCCTGAGATAGGGTTGCCTAGGCTGGGGTGCAGTGGTGTGATCTTGGCTCACTGCAACCTCTGGCTCAGCCTCTTGGAGTACCTGGGACTATAGGCACACAACATCATATCCAGCTATTGTATTTTTTTTTTTTTTTTTTTTTATAGAGACAGAGTTTCACCATGTTGTCCAGGCTGGTCTTGAACTCCTGAGCTCAAGCAACTCACCTGCCTCGGCCTTCCAGAGTGCTGAGATTATAGGTGTGAGCCACCATGCCCAGCCTTCACTTTATTTAAAAACCATAGTTTTTAAAAGCCACATTCCTACTGATGAACACAGAGGTTGTTTCCAGTGTTTTCATTTGCAGGGCTGTAGTGATTGTTTTTGCACATGCCTCTTTATGTACATGTGCTGTGTCTTCTGGGACAGAGAGTGGACATTTTAAGTGTTTTATTGGTCCTGCTAAATTGTCTTTCAGCCAAACTGCTGCAGAGGTGATGGAGATGAGGTGGGTACTCAGGAGAATTATGCTCAGTGCTTGTGTGCTAGTCACTGACCTGGAAACATTTTATTAAAAATGCTAGATTAGGTTAGTGATGTAAATACCAGGTGATAGTAACCAGAATAATTGTGTCAAAACATCAAGAATCATCAAGAGATGCCAGGCATGGTGGCTCATGCCTGTAATCTCAGCCCTTTAGTAGGAGGCCGAGGTGGGCAGATTGCTTGAGCTCAGGAGTTCAAGACCAGCCTAGGCAACATGGTGAAACCCTGTCTCTACCAAAAATACAAAAATTTGCTGGATGCAGTGGTACGTGCATGTGGTCCCAGCTACTCAGTAGGCTGAGGCGGGAGGATCGCTTGAGCCTGGGAGGCAGAGGTTGCAGTGAGCCAAGACTACACTACAGCCCGGGCAACAGAGTGAAACCCTGCCATAAAAAAAGGAGAAAAAGAATCATCAAGAGAAAACTTAATTTGATGTGCTCTGCGTTTTCTTTGGTGCTTCATGTCAGTGTTAGAAACTATAGGTTGTATATTTATTAATTTTTCTCCTACATTTGTTCAACTTGACTAAAATATTAACTCCAAATGCCTAGAATTTCAAAATACCTCTTCGTTATAAAGTATCAACTATTTCTTAGTCCCCTTAAGCTGATAGTATTGTGTCATTGTAAAAGATCCCTTGTGAAAAATAATTTTTGTCAACATGAAAGGTCTTAATGTGTCTCCTAGTTTACATTTTACATGGTCTTTTCCATGTATTTATATAGTTGACATATATAGCTTTTTTTGTAAATACACTTTCCTATGTGAACATGCCAAGGTTTACTTAAGCATTCTCTTATTCTTGGACATCTAAATTGCTTCTTATTTTCTATTGTAAATAAAGTGCTAGAAGCTTCTTTCCTGAAAAGTTATTTACTTTTCACCTAGTATTTCCATCTGTGTTCCTCAAAATAAGATTGCTGAGATTCATGTATGTTGCCAGAAAGATTGTGAGGTTTAACAGTGAATGAGGAAAACTTTTAACACTCAAGGTCTACCAAGTACAGCAAGTTTTATTTTACCTTTTTTTTTTTTTTTTTTTTTTTTTTTTTTTGAGTTAGGCCAAGTTGCCTAGGCTGGGCTCAAGCAATCCTTCTGCCTCAGCCTCCGGAGTAGCTGGGATTATAGGTGTGCAGCACCACACCCGGCTTTCTTGTATTTTTTTTTTATTTTTATTTATTTATTTATTTTTGAGATGGAGTTTCACTCTTGTCACCCAGGCTGGAGTGCAATGGCCCAATCTCGACTCACCGCAACCTCTGCCTCCCAGGTTCAAGCGATTCTTCTGCCTCAGCCTCCCAAGTAGCTGGGATTACAGGCATGTGCCACCACACCCGGCTAATTTTTCTATTTTTAGTAGAGACGGGGTTCCTCCATGTTGGTCAGGCTGGTCTCAAACTCCCGACCTCAGGTGATCCACCCACCTGAGCCTCCCAAAGTGCTGGGATTACAGGTGTGAGCCACCGTGCCTGGCTGCTTTCTTGTATTTTATCTTGCTGTAGCGGTTGTGGGATTTTTGCCTGGTGTGTTCATTGGAGTGTGTGTGTGTGTTTTGAGATGTATGACTGTGTTGGTTGTGTTGTCATACTTTGAAGGTTCATTAATGTGCTGGTCTTTCTATTTTTCTTGTTATACTTAGTCACTTAAAAACCCTTTTTTTTTTTTTTTTGGAATTCTTATTTTTACAGTACTTTGAATTCCTGTTTTATTAATCACCTTCTTATCTGAAAGTGAAGTAATAGTGTACTTGGCACCATTGAATTAGAAAATTGTGTGTCCTTGGCCAGAAGATCACATACACAGGAACTCGATAAGTTGAGAGATTTAGCCGTTTCAGAAATGGGCATTTGTGTCTTCCAGTGGAGAAGCATCTGCAAAAGAATTGGGCAGATTTGGCCAGGCGCGGTAGCTCATGCCTGTAATCCCAGCACTTTGGGAGGCCGAGGTGGGCAGATCACCTGAGGTCAGGAGTTTGAGACCAGCCTGGCCAACATGGTGAAACCCCGTCTCTACTAAAAATACAAAATTAGCCAGGCGTGGTGGCTAACCCATTTAAAGTGGGTGAATTATATCTTTTATGTTTTAATGTATTCCTAGAGTTGTGCAACCATCACCAGAATAAGTTGTAGAACATTTTCATCAACCCAAAAAGAAACTTTGTATTCATTAGTCGTTCCTCCTCATTTCTCCCCTAACCTCCCAGCACTAGGCAACCATCAGAATACTTTTTGTCTCCACGGATTTGACTGTTTTGGACATTTCATATTAATGGAATGCACAATACAGTAGTATAATACATTAATTTTGGAAGGCCAAAATTAATGGCTTTTGATGTCTGCCTTTTTTCACTTAGAATAATGTCTTCCAGGTCCATCTGTGTTATAGCATGTATCATTACTTTATCCTTTATGTGGCTGGGTAATATTCCATTGTATGGTTATACCATGTTTTGTTTATCTATTCATCAGTTGATGGACATTTAGGTTGTTTTCCATTGACTATTAAGAGTAATGCTGCCGGCCGGGCGCGGTGGCTCACGCCTGTAATCCCAGCACTTTGGGAGGCTGAGGCGGGTGGATACGAGGGTCAGGAGATCGAGACCATCCTGGCTAACACGGTGAAACCCCGTCTCTACTAAAAAACAAAAAATTAGCCGGGCGTGGTGGCGGGCGCCTATAGTCCCAGCTACGCAGGAGGCTGAGGCAGGAGAATGGCGTAAACCCGGGAGGCGGAGCTGGCAGTGAGCCGAGATGGCGCCACTGCACTCCAGCCTGGGCGACAGAGCGAGACTCCATCTCAAAAAGAAAAAAAAAAGAGAATAATGCTGCCATCATGCTTGAGGGTTTTTTTTTATTTTGTTTTGTTTTGTTTGTGGGGGGAGCGGAGGGCACAGTCTCACTCTGTTACGCAGGCTGGAGTGTAGTAGGCTTACTGCAGCCTCCTCCGCCCCCTGGTTCTAGTGATTCTTGTGCCTCAGGCTCCTGAGTATCATGCTGCAATTTTTGTGTGAGCATACATTTTTCATTTCTCTTGGGTCAATATCTAGGAGTATCCCCACTTTTGGTTCTGAGTGTTAATTGAGCCTGTTGTGTTCTCACATTCCCTGTACTTAGATGGAAATAGTGCTTTGCCTAAAAAGAAAATAAAAGACCTGATTGTGCAGGCGAGTGAGAAAGAGAGAGAGGCGCTAGGGTTATTTCCACCCTGATACTCTTTGGGTAGTCTTGGTATGACTAGCAAAGAAGCAAGCTCCAAGTTGTAGTTTGCTTCCAAGTTTCTGGCTTCTGTGGGAATTTCTGCATCTAAGTAATGACAATTTTCAGTTACTTGCAGTAAGTAAATTATCAACCAATCTTACTGTGTATTACTAGCCTAGTAGGAATTTACTTGTATATCGAGAGGAATGCTGCAGCTTTCACCTTACTTCTAATGGGGATTAATGCTTACTTAACTTGCAGTTTTGGAGGCAAGTACAAAGTACAGGACCAATTATGGTCATGAAGTGAGAGAGAAGTCTGGCTAGTGAATGGTGATTGGCAACTCCAGTTGACTGTTCATGGCATCTTAGATCTGTGAGGAGGGAGGAGGGAAGGAAAGTTCAAGCTGGTCTTTATGGTAAGTTCTGGAACATTTCCCTGTGTCAATGGGTCATCTGTTCATTCACTGTGTAAAATGGTTGAGGGAAGTTTTAATTTACATGCTTCCTTATTGTGTAAACCTTTGATTTTTAGTGATTTCAGAGTTTGTTTTTATAATTACTTAACACGTGAAGAGGATGCAGAGTAACGTATCGAAGCTCTGGTTACCTTCCACTGGGATTTGACACATTTGATTTCCTTTATTCCCTCCTTCCTTCCCTTCCTCCCTCTCTCTTTTCTTAAGGAATGCAACTACTCAGATTCACCTGCACACCCTTGGCATACCTCTCACTCCCCCTTACCCCCACTTCCTCAGAGGTGACCTGTCCTCAGAGGCAAATGTGTGCCCTTTCCATCCGTACTTTTATGCTCTCATCTATGTTTACATCTATTAGTACACTATTGTCTGTATTTTTAAACATTACATAAATGGTGTAATTTTTACTTTTAATTCTGTAGTGGTGTTTCTCAAATTAAGTTCTGCACAAAACATTTTTATAGATATCCAGTGTTAGCTTAACGTTTTTCTTATTGTGGTAAAATATACATAAGATAAAATTTACCATTTTAGCCATTTTTAAGTTTACAAGTCAGTGGCATTAAGTACATTCACAGTGTTGTATAACCATCACCATTGTCCATTGCCAGAACTTTTCATCATCCTAAACAGAAACTCTGTACTCATTAAACAATAGTTTATCACTCCTTCCCTGCAACTAGATGCTGGCAATCACCATTCTACTTTCTATCTCTATCAATTTGCCTCTTCCATCTAAGTGGAATCCTACATATTTGTCGCTTTGTTTCTGGCTTTTTTTTCTTCTTGTGATGCTTTGTTTTAATTATGTTCCTGGCTTTCATCATCTAGCAGGCTGATTCCAAGGTTTGTCCATGTGGTAGCTTGTATCACTTTAATGTTTTTAGAGATAGTTAATATTACATTGTTTATATATACCACATTTTGTTTTTTCATTCAACCTTGATGGACATTTGAATTGTTTCCCCCTTTACCTGTTGTGAATAATGCTGCCGTGAACATTGATAACCAAATATTTGTTTGAATCTCTGATTTCAGTTCTTTTGGTTCCATACCTAGGAGTGGAATTGCTGGATCATATGATAATTCTATGTTTAACTCTTTGAGGGATGGCCAGACTTTTCCACCATAGCTAAATCATTTTACCTTCCCACAAGCAAAGTTCAAGGGCTCCAGTCTCTCCCCATAAGGTCCTTTGCACTTTTTTTTTTGAGACGGAATCTCACTCTGTTGCCCAGGCTGGAGAACAGTGGCACCATCTTGCCTGACCTCAAGTGGCACCTGCCTTGGCCTCCCAAAGTGCTAGGATTGTAGGCGTGGGCCACTGCACTCTGCCAATTTTTTAATTTTTATTTTCATTTATTTTTCTTTTTTTAATTTTTAATTTTTTTATTTTTTGAAGGGATAAGGTCTCACTTTGTTGCCCAGGCTGGTCTTGAACTCCTGGCTTCAAGCAATCCTCCTACCTCGGCTTCTCAGAGTGCTGAGATTATAGGTGTAAGCCCCTGCACATGGCCTTTACTCTCTTGATAGTGTCCTTTGATGCACAAAAGCTTTCAATTTTGATGAAGTTTATTTTTTATCTTGTTACCTGTACATTTGGTGTCATATATCTAAGAGACCATTGCCAAATGCAGTGTCATGAAGCTTTCCCTCAGTGTTTTCTTTCTGCAGTTTTATGATTTTAGCTCCTAAGTTTAGGTCTTTGATCCATTTTGAGTTAATTTTTGTATACAGTTTGAGAGTCACACTTGAGGCTCTGGGCGCAGTGGCTCACGCCTGTAATCCCACTACTTGGGGAGGCCGAGGCGGATGGATCACCTGAGGTCAGGAGTTTGAGACCAGCCTGGCCAACATGCCGAAACCCTGTCTCTACTAAAAATACAAAAATTAGCCAGGCATGGTGATGCATACCTGTGGTCCCAGCTACTTGGGAGGCTGAGGCAGGAGAATTGCTTGAACACAGGAGGCGGAGGTTGCAGTGAGCCGAGATTGTGCCACTGCACTCCAGCCTGGGCGACAGAGCGAGACTCCATCGTGCGGGGTGGGGGGTAAAAGTCAAACTTGAGTCTTTTGCCTGTGGATATCCAGTTTTCCCATCACTATTTGTTGAAAAGACTATCCTTTCTCAACTGTGAATGGTCTTGGTACCCTAGCTGAAGTTATTTTTATTATTATGTTACTTAGGAATGCACATAAGGCCTGGCACGGTGGCTCATGCTTGTAATTGCAGCACTTTGAGAGGTCAAGGTGGGAGGATTCCTTGAGCCGAGGAGTTTGAGACCAGCCTGGGCAATATAGCAGCAAGACCCCATCTCTATATTTTAAAAAAAGAAGAAAAAAAAACCTCTGATGCATAAAATATTTAAACTTGTATGCATTCTTTTCTTTCTTTATTTTTTAAAAATTGAGACAGCAGCTTACTCTGTTGTCCAGGCTGGTCTTGAACTCCTGGGCTCAAGCAGTTCCTCTCACCTTGGCCTGCAGTGCTGAGATGACAGGTGTGAACCACTACACCTGGCCTGCTTACAGATTATAAAAAGAAAATAAGTTTACAAGTTAAAGACAGATAAAATGACAAAATCAGTAAAATTAAAATTACTTTTATGGAGCCGATGATGTTTATTCCAGTTGCTCCTCTCATTGTGAATATGGTATTGTTGCTGTGGCAGATTTGGAGGCCGTGGCAGATTTGGAGGCTTTGGCAATGGCTTCTGTTACCTTGCCATGAGGTAACTCAGTTCCCTCATCACTTTTCTCTGAGAACTATAAAACCTTGGAGGGGTGCCTTCTGCCCTTCGCTTGGCATGTATATTATGCAGGGATCAGGTCTTACTCCGTTCTTGATTGTTAGTACAAATTAGTTAAAATTGTATTGTTTGGCCTTAGCCTGATGGTAAACACAACAGCACACGTGGGCTGTGAAATCTCTGGGCAGCTCTGTGTTTCTAGGGAAGCATCTCGATGATCCAGAACAGGCTTATACTAATGTTTTAGTGTAATTTTGAAATGAAAACACAGCATTTAAAAATTCTTATAGAGAATGTATAGACCTTGAGAAGTGTTAGCAGACCCAGTTTACGACATGTCTCAATATTATGAAACATTGCTTTATTCCCTATCCTGCTTGTACATTTAATTTTTTCATCCAGTTTTAAACAACTTGGGTACTGTGGCCTGTGCCTGTATTCCCAGCTACTAGGGAGGCTGAGGCAGGAGGATTGCTTGAGCACAGGACTTTGAGGGCTGTAGTGAGCTGTGATTGTGCCTGTGAATAGCCATTGTGCTCCAGCCTGGGCAACATAGCAAGACCCTGATACCTTGGGTTTTTAAAAAACAAAACAAGATACATGCTGACATTTCTGGTTTGGCAGGCAGAGCTTGTTCTGCTCCCCACCCTCCCTTTTCCCATAGTAACCATTTATAGGACATCTCACTGTTGTCTACTCTGTGTTGCCTCTGCTTCCCTGCGTGGTAGATCTAGGAATCTTAGGATTTCTTAGTTTTAGCTGGTGATCCGTATCTTTTTCTTAATTCCATTGTAACTTCAGCTTTTCTTATTGCTTGTAGGAAGGCTGTTTCCATTGAATACAAACAAAATAAAAGCTTTTATTCTTAATCTTAGAGATAGGATGTTTGTATTTAAAAATAATTGTGCTGTCAAAATTCTGTCAAGTTGGCTTTTACCACATTAGTTTTTTTTAATGTGGTTTATATGACCCTGGAGTACCTTGTCTTCTCACTGTTAAATTCTCAACTGAGTTGTCCCTATTTAAAGTGTGAGACTGTGCCAGTTTGATTTTAAAATATTGCAAGTGCGTTATGGCAAGATAAAACTGCAAAGAAAGAACCTTCATGTCCCTTTGATTATAAATGCTTTTGGCACTTGTTTCTACTTTTTCCTAATGTTTTTTGAGGAAAGAACCTCCAACTCTCCAGACAGGTCTGGGGGCAAATGACTAAAACATGAACTGAGGCCCTGGGCTGTCTCTGTGAGGATATCCCCTCTATTCTCTCTGAAATGTCCCAGCATGTGGTGCATTTCTTGTTAGTGTGGACTCCTCTGTATATAACACATCTTATTTATCTTCTGTGCATAACATGAAGTAGTGCCCTAATGCAATTCCAGGATGTAATTCAGCATTTCTATAAAAATACAGTGTTTTTCTACATTTGCATCAAAAAATAACCAGATAATTATATTTATTAAGAAAATAGCATTTTTGGCTGGGTGTGGTAGCTCACGTAATCCCAGCACTTTGGGAGGCCGAGGCAGGCAGATCACTTGAGGTCAGGAGTGAGGCAGGCAGATCACTTGAGATCAGGAGTTCGAGACCAGCCTGGCCAACATGGTGAAACCCCATCTCTACTAAAAATGCAAAATTAGCCTGGCGTAGTGGTGCATGCCTGTAATCCTAGCTACTCAGGAGACTGAGGCAGGAGAATCACTTGAACTTGGGAAGGGGAGATTGCAGTGAGCTGAGATTGTGCCACTGCACTCCAGCCTAGGCAACAGAGTGAGACTCTGTTTCAAAAAAAAAAAAAAAAAACAAAGAAAAGAAAAGAAAGAAAGAAATGTATTTTTGGTATTTGTTTTCACAAACTAGAGCATTTATGTGAAATAACATTGCTAGTATTGATATTATACCATAGTATAATACTTAGTTCTTCAGCGATGTATCTCTGCTGATCAGCTACATGATATCTACTTGAGCTGTTGGATTTTTTTTAAGAACAGTGCATTTTTGAATGCTTTTGAAAAATTGTAGTAAAATACATAAAACAACATTTACCTTGTAAGCATTTTAATTGGTACAATTCAGTGACATTAAGTACAGTCCCAGTTTAGTGCAACCACTGTTACTGTCTAGTTTCAGAACGTTTTTGCCCCAGATGGATACTCTGTACCTGTTGAACATTCAGTCCTCATGGCCCAATAATCTTTATGTCTGTATAGATTTGCCTATTCTGCATATTTTATATAAATGGAATCATGTCTTTTGTGTCTGGCTTCTTTTACCTAGCATAGTATTTTCAAGGTTCATCCATGTTGCAGCATGTTTCAATACTTTGTTCCTTTTTATGTCCATTGTATGGATATGCCACATTTCGTTAATGACAATTCTTTTGGGTAGCTACATTTTAAAACATTATAGTAGAATACATATAGCATACAATTTACTATCTTAACCATTTAAGCCTGCAGTTCAGTGGCATTAAATACATTCACGTTACTGTGCAATTATCACCACCATCTGTTTGCAGAAACTTTTCATCTCCTCCATTTGAAACTCTGTATACATTAAACATGAACTCTCCCTTCTCCCCTTCCTCCAGCCCTGGCAGCCACCGTTCTACATTTTTATCTTTCTGACAGAGATTTTACTACTCTAGGTACCTCACATAAGTGAAATCAACCAGTATTTATCCTTTTGTGACCAGCTTATTTCATTAGCTTAATGTCCTCAAGGTTCATCCATGTTGTAGCATATGTCAACATGACTTTCCTTTTAAGGTTGAATAATATTCCATTGTATGTATATGTCACAATTTGTTTCTCCATTTATCCATCACTGGACATTTGGGTTGCTTTTACCTATCGGCTGTCTTGAATCATGTTGCTATAGCTGTACAAGTATCTATTTGAGTTTCTGCTATCAATTCTTTAAGTATATGCCCAGAAGTGGAATTGCTGGATCATATGGTAATTCCGTGTCTGGTTTTTTTTTTGAGGAAGTGCCATGCTGTTTTCCACACAGCTGTACCATTGTACATTCCCCCCAGCAATGTACGAGGGCTCTGATTTCTTCACATCCTTGCTAACACTTAGTATTTTTTTTGATAGAATAGCCATCCTAATGGCTACTTTTAAAGTATGTTTAACATTATTTATTTATTTTTAATTTTTTTTGTAGAGATGGCATCTTACTGTGTTGCCCAGGCTGGTCATGAACTCCTGGGCTCAAGCAGTCCTCCTGCTTCAGCCTCCCAAAGTGTTCGGATTATAGGCGTGAGCCACCATGCCCAGCCCAAATTTAAATATATAACTAAACACATAGCAGCTAACACCAAGCCTTTAAAAATATCATTAATAGGCCAGGCGCAGTGGCTCATGCCTGTAATCCCAGCACTTTGGGAGGCCGAGGCGGGCAGATCACCTGAGGTCGCGAGTTCGAGACCAGCCTGACCAACATGGAGAAACCCTGTCTCTACTAAAAATACAAAATTAGCCGGGCATGGTGGCACATGCCTGTAATCCCAGCTACTGGGGAGGCTGAGGCAGGAGAATCACTTGAACCTGGGAGGCGGAGGTTGCGGTGAGTCGAGATCGCACCATTGCCCTCCAGCCTGGGCAACAAGAGCAAAACTCCATCTCAAAAAAACAAACAAACAAACAAAATATATATATCATTAATAGGCCGGGCATGGTGTCTCACGCTTGTAATCCCAGTGCTTTGAGAGGCCGAGGTGGGCAGATCACTGGGGTCAGGAGTTCGATACCAGCCTGGGCAACATGGTGAAACCCTGTCTCTGCTAAAAATACAAAAATTAGCCACGCATGGTGGTAAGCACCTGTAATCCCAGCTACTCAGGAGGCTGAGGCTGGAGAATGCTTGGACCTGGGAGGTGGAGGCTACAGTGAGCTGAGATCACACTCCAGCCTGGGTGACAGAGCAAGACTCTGTCTCAAAAAAAAAAAAAAAAATCATTAATAAATGTGATCTTTTTTCTTCCTATACAACAAGTTGTCAAGCAAGTATGACCTTCTTAATTGACCCTTTGACATGAACTGGGATGAGATCGTGGAGGATGTTGAGGAGACAGTTGTTACCATAGTGCACTTCTAAAAACTTTAATTCTATAGATTTCTTTAAAATTTTTTTTAAAATTATTATGAGTACACAATAGGTGCATCTATAGATTTCATTACCCTCAAATAAATGTACAAGGCAATGCAGAGAAATGCACAGTGTAACTTGGTAGACTTGACCTATCAAGTTACTGTTGAATATATTATGGAGCCTGTGTATTACCAGGGGCAGCAGACTTTTCCTGTAAAGATAGTTGTTTTCAGCTTTGTTGAATCTGTGGTCTCTGTCTTAACTACAACTGAGAAAGCCATTGACAATATATAGATGAATGTACATGACTATTCTAATAAAACTGTGTACACTGTAATTTGAATTGCACATAATTTTCATGTGTCTCCTGTATAATTCTTCTTTTGACTTCTTTTCAACCATTAAAAAATGTAAAAACAGGCCAGGCGTGGTGGCTCATGCTTGTAATCCCAGCACTTTGGGAGGCTGGGTGGATTGCTGGAGCCCAGGAGCTTGAGATCAGCCTGAGCAATGTGATGAAACCCTGTCTCTACAAAAAATTAGCTGGGCATGGTGTTATGTGCCTGTGGTCCCAGCTACTTGGGAGGCTGAGGTAGGAGGATTGCCTGAACCCGAGGAAGTCAAGGCTACAGTGGTTTGTGCCACTGCACTCTAGCCTAGGTGACAGAGTGAGACCCTGTCTCAGTGAATGAATGAATACATTATTAGCTTGTGGACTATACAAAAATCAGAGGCTGGAGGTGAGCTGGGTATGGCCATTGGGTGTGGTTTGCTGACTTCTGGTAGAGAGGAATTAGGAGATGTTAAAGGTGGTGGAACTGTCAGATACTTGCATTCTTTTAGAAATACTTTGGAGTTAGCTTTTTGGTTCAGGCAAAGGACCAAAGGGTTAGGAGAGTCAGGCCGGTAAAGAGGAGTGGTGGGCCCATAGCAGCAGTTCCTGGAGTTTTTTTTTTTTTTTTTTTTTTGTGAGACGGAGTTTTGCTCTGTCGCCCAGGCTGGAGTGCAGTGGCACGATCTCGGCTCACTGCAACCTCTGCCTCCTGGGCTCAAGCAATTCTCCTGCCTCAGCCTCCCGAGTAGCTGGGACTACAGGTGCCCACCGCCACGCCCGGCCAATTTTTTTCTATTTTTAGTAGAGATGGGATTTCACCGTGTTTGCTAGGATGGTCTCGATCTCCTGACCTCGTGATCCACCTGCCTCGGCCTCCCAAAGTGTTGGGATTACAGGTGTGAGTCACCGCGCCTGGCCAGGTCCTGGAGTCTTTAAGAGGAGGTTTGTCTGATGGTTGGTTGGACAAAAGCCTGGGCATGTTGTCACCTTCCATAAGTGTTTGTGGGAATGTAGGTAATGAGGAGGAGTAAAGGATTCCTGAAGGATGAGGAGGAGGGCTGGTGGCTGCCATAGGAAGTGATCACTGTTTTGGCAGACCTGTCTTAGAGTAATGACCGTCATACTCTCTCATTGCCCTTGTGAACTCATGAAATCCCATGGCTGCTAAAGCTGAAGGTCAAGTGGGGACTTCCCGGCCACTGGGCTTAGCACCCCACAGAGCTGTGGAGTGGGCATTAATGTCCCTTTTTTATAGATGCGGAGACTGAGAATGAGGACTGTTGGTAACTTTTGAAAGGGCACTCAGCTAGAAAAGTCTGAGCCAGGATTTCAAGTCCCATGGCTTTACCTCTGTGGTCCTAATATTTGGTGTGTTCAAGTGAGATCTGTTTTTTTCCTATTTCATTTTGATTATTGATTTTCATAAATTTTTTTCTCTTTTGAGATAGTATCTTCTCTCTCTTTTCTTTTTTCTGTTCTTTCTTTCTCTTTTCTTTCTTTTTTTTTTTTTCTCTGAGACGGAGTCTTGCTCTGTCGCCCAGGCTGGAGTGCAATGGTGCAATCTCAGTTCACTGCAACCTCTGCCTCTCGGGTTCAAGCGATTCTCCCATCTCAGCCTCCTGAGTTGCTGAGATTACAGGCACCTGCCATCTTGCCTGGCTAGTTTTTGTATTTTTGTAGAGACGGGGTTTCATCACGTTGGCCAGGCTGGTCTTGAACTTCTGACCTCAGGCGATCCACCCGCCTCTGCCTCCCAAAGCGCTGTGATTATATGCATGAGCCACCATGCCTGGCCATTATTTCTTTCTTTCTTTCTTTTTCTTTTTTTCAGGTTCATTGAATTTGCTTTGAGACAGGGTCTTGCTCTGTTGCCCAGGCTGAAGCGCAGTGGTGCAGTCATGGCTCACTGGAGCATCAATTTCCTGGGCTCAAGCGATACTTGCACTTCAGCACCCCTCCACCCCCACCCGCTCCTTTCCCCCACAGTAGCTGGAACTACAGGCGCTAGCCACCGTGCTTGGCTAATTTTTTTTTTTTTTTTTTTTTTGAGACGGAGTCTCGCTCTGTCACCCAGGCTGGAGTGCAGTGGCGCGATCTCGGCTCACTGCAAGCTCTGCCTCCCAGGTTCACATCATTCTCCTGCCTCAGCCTCCCAAGTAGCTGGGACTACAGGCGCCCGCCACCATGCCCGGCTAATTTTTTGTATTTTTTAGTAGAGACGGGGTTTCACCGTGTTAGCCAGGATGGTCTCGATCTCCTGACCTTGTGATCCGCCTGCCTCGGCCTCCCAAAGTGCTGGGATTACAGGCATGAGCCACTGCACCCGGCCTGGCTAATTTTTAAATTTTTTTTTGTAGACTGCCCAGGCTTGTTTAATTGATTTTCTATGTGATCTTAGGGAAATCGATTATTTCCCATAAACATTTTTTTAATTAGAAGTTAAATTCTGCCTAGTTTGATTCACAGGATTATTGTGGATGACTGAAACAGAGAATAGGTAAGAGCTTCTTTGAAAAATATGAGGTACCATACAGAAGTTAGATGCTTTGTCCTGGTGATACCCCCTCCAAAGCACAGCTAAGGAAATGTGGAAGGCACTCTTATCTCATCATATAGCTTTGAAAGCCTAGCATTGAAAGTACGAACTTGATTCTTTTGGAGAAATCCTTTGGCTCTCAGTGAGTTTACTTTCTATTAATGACTGTGTTAAGCGGAATGAAAACTGAAAGAGGAAAGGGGAGGAAGTCAGAATTAAGCAGGAAGAGTGAGCCCATAGCAGAGTCCAGATTTAGACCCCAAGCTACTTGGAATGATACTGGACAATTATGGGTGTGTTTAATGATGGTCCTGAGTCATGAAAACAAAAGGAGGCTTTAAATTATGTCTGGCTTAGTGTACAGCATATTTTTGTCATTATTCAAGTTTTAGCATGTAAAGAGGAAAGTGTGCAGTACTTATGCATATCATTTTCATTAATGAAACTAAATGAGGCCTCTTTAAAATTATCAGTGTTCACAGTATCTTCCAAAAGACATGTAAATGTATAAAGGTATAAAAAATATACATATAAATTTTACAATTTTGTGAGCTATATAGTAGATCTCTTATTTTGTCCATAGGTCTTAAAGATCTTATACTGTATTCAGGAATAAAGATAACTTCAGTGGGAGGCCTTTACAGGGCTAATGAGTAAGCATTATTTTGATAAAGTTCTGTGTTGTCTACAATAGATATAGTAGAAATACTCTTGGAATGGTAATCATCCCAGGCCCTGCTTTGGAGCGGAAGAAATAGTCAATGTAGAACTTTACAGTATATTGTACACAGATGTGCCTGCTAATAACTTCTGTAGACAGCAAAGTTTAAGAGAAATTAGGTGGTAAATGCAACATATGTATCTAAATAAATTTGGTCTGAGGGATTTGATAAGATGAAACAGTACATAGTCCAGAAAATTTTTATACTCAAAGAATTATAGAAAATATCTGAAATGTTTTCAGTTTTGTGCATATCCAGAAAATGTCATCCTGTGATCTGCTGGTTGGCAGCCCAATGGCAGTATTAGATGTATTGTTTTTATTTTGTTTTGTTTGCTATTTATTTGGTTAAGAGAGTTACCTAATTAGGAGTGTGAAAAAAAAGATTTATTATAGTAGTGGGCTTTTGTTTGACTTAAAACATTTTTGTTGTTACCACAGTATGAGTGCCTTGTTTGTGAAATTTGTTTACCGGGAAGCCATATACTTAGAGTAGCTTTTAGTTTATCATTATCATCATCATCATCATCATCATCATCATCATCATCATCTCCTTCATCATGAAAGGAAGAAGCTACCAATGTTGCTTTATTCTGCAAAAAATACAATAGATGCTTGTTGAAAGTATGGAGTGAAATCTTAAATATGTCTGTTAAAAAGAGTACAACTGGCCAGGGGTAGTGCCTCATGCCTGTAATCCCAGCACTTTGGGAGGCCAAGGCGGGCAGATCGCTTGAGCCAGGAGTTTGAGACCAGCCTGGGCAACATGGTGAAATCCTGTCTCTACAAAAAAAAAAAAAATAGACAAAAATTAGCTGGGTGTGATGGCATGCAGCTGTAGTCCCAGCTACAGTGGGGCTGAGGCAGGGGGATTGCTTGAGCCCAGGAAGTAAAGGCTGCAGTGAGCTATGGTTGTGCCACTGCATTCCAGTGTGGGTAACAGAACGAAACCCTGTCTCAAAAAAAAAAAAATAGTACAACTTTAAGCAGGATGTGGGCACATGCCTGTAGTCTCAGCTACTTGGGAGGCTAAGTCAGGAGAGTCACTTGAGCCCAGGAGCTTGATGCTGCAGTGAGATGTGATTGTGCCACTGCCTTCCAGCCTGGGGATGATAGCAAGACCCCATCTCTAAAAAAAAAACAAAAAACAAAAAAAAAACAGAGTACAACAACCTTTGGTAAACTTGGAATATAAAGGTGTTTCCTTAACCTGTTAAAGAGCTGATAAAGAGTGGTACTTTCAAACCAGTACACATTATGTGAAACACTAGAGACACTTCCCATTTGTTAAAAGAAAAACCTTAGCCAAATTAAATTTAAGTTTTTTTTGGAGACAGAGTCTTGCTTTGTCACCCAGGCTGGAGTGCAGTGGTGCAAGCACAGCTCACTGCAACCTCCGCCTTCTGGGTTCAAGTGATTTTCCTGCCTCAGCCTCCTGCGTAGCTGGGACTACAGGTGTGCACCACCACGCCTGGGTGATTTTTGTATTTTTTGTAGACATGGGGTTTTGCCATGTTGCCCAGTCTGGTCTTGAACTCCTGGGCTCAAGCAATCTGCCTGCCTGGGCCTCTGAAAGTGCTGGGATTACAGGCGTGAGCCACCATGCCATTTAATGGTTTAATTGAGCAAAGAATGATTTGCAAATTGGGCAGCCTCCCGAGCCAGAGTAGGTTCAGAGACTCCAGCACAGCCATGTCGTGGAAAAAGATTTATGAATGGAAAGAGGAAAGTGATGTACCGAAAACGGAAGTGAGGTACAGAAACAGCCGGATTGGTTACAGCTCTGAATTTGCCTTATTTGAACACAAGTTGAGGTTTGTACAGTTGGCCACCTTTGATTGGCCAAAACTCGGTGATTGGCACAAGAGCAGGTTATAGTCTGTTTACATCTCCATTTTGGTTATAGTTCATTATGGACAGAAAAACCTGTAGGTCAAACTTAAAATATGTAAGGAGACAGTTTTAGGCTAAACTTGATTTAACACATTAAATCCGTAACAAGACAGGATGCCTGCCCTCACCATGTTATTTGATCTTATTTTAGTAATTCTAGCCAATGTAGTAGGGCAAGAAAACTGCCTGCTTGGCTACAAAATAAACACACAAAAGTCAGTATCTGTAATATGTGACAGAAAATATAATTAAAAAAAAAAAAAAAAGCCGGGCACAGTGGCCCATGACTGTAATCCTAGCACTTTGGGAGGCCAACGTGGGTGGATCTCTTGAGCTCAGGAGTTCAAGACCATCCTAGGCAACATGGCAAAACCCCGTCTCTACAAAAAATACAAAAAAATTAGCCACGTGTGGTGGTGAGCTCCTATAGTCCCAGCTACTTTGGAGGCTGAGGTTGGAGGATCATTTGAACCTGAGAAGCACAGGTTATAGTGAGCTGAGATCACGCCACTGCACTCCAGCCTGGGTGACAAAGTGAGACTCTGTCTAAAAAAAAAAAAAAAAGAAGAAAAGGAAAGGAAAGTAAAAGAAAAAATAATTTCACTTACTAGAGCATCAAATCCCTAAGATAATTTAGAGCAAAGCCAGAAAAGTGAAGAAAATATAAAAATCTTTACAGTGGGTTGCATTTTAAAAAAAAACTTGAAGATATCAGATCAACTCACTAATGTATTAATTAATATAATTTAAATTAAAATCCCACTGATTTTTTTGTGGGGAGGGTGGGAGAGTCATTTGTTAAAATGATTCTAAAGAGCATCTGGAAGAATAAGCAGGCAAGAATAGCCAAGAACATTTTGAAAACTAAAGATGAGTTTGGAAGACGATTGGTTTTGTACTGTCAACTACTTATAGATTTTACATGAATTTTAAAGGGTAATCTGAGCCCTCGAATAGACAGAAATAGCCATAGATCTGAAAGAACACTTAAGACCTGATCCAGCTATCCATGAGAGTATATATAATCAAAGTCTTTGTGTGTGAATCAGGAGTCTTTCAGGTGCAAGGTAAATAAACTCATAATTGCTTACGCAAAGGTGGTATTTGCTTTAGTGACTCCAGAGAAAGCTCAAGTGCCTATCTCTCCCCTGACTTTGATTCTTTTTGGGGTTGGCTCCATTCTCTCCTGTTGCTAATGGCTTCCTTTGTGCAGCCAGAGGAAAGGAGGTGTGGTTTTTTGATACTTCCAGGCTTCTATTTTTATAGCTTGAGATCAAAGAGGGAAGTGACCTTCCTTAGAGTCAGTGTGTAAAGTCCTAAGGAAGATACCACGTGGGGTGCTGGGGCCATGTGCCCATCCCTGGCCCATGACCATGGGGATGCTACACTAACTGGGGGCCACGCATGGCTGTTCCTGCCCTGAACTGCCAGCTGGCTTTGCAGTGCAGCCTCACCAGAATCACATGGAATAGTAGGGATATGAATTGTTTCCCAAAGAAAGTGTGTGGGGTGGTAGAATTACTAGTGGGGGAGTAAGGGGACAGGCCATTGGGCATACTGGAGCAGCATTTACTCAGTCATTGAGAAAAGGATGGAACATTCAATAAAGGGTGCTGGACACATTTGTGCTCTAAAAATTTTGTGTTTCACCTATTAATTTATCCCTCCCCTTAGCCCCTGGCAAACACTGATCTGTTTACTGTCTCCATAGTTTTGCCTTTCCCAGAATGTCACACCCTTGGAATCATACAGCATGTAACCTTTTCAGATTGGCTTCTTTTACGTAGTAATATGCATTTAGGATTCCTTCATGCCTTTTCCTGGATTGATAGCTCATTTCTTTTTAGTCCTGAATAATATTCCATTCTATGGATATACCACAATTGATCCATTCACCTACTGAAGGTCATTTTGATTGCTTCCAAGTTTTGATAATTTAAAAAATTTTTTAAGACAGGGTGTCATTGTGTTTTCCATACTGGTCTCCTGAACACCTGGGCTGATGTGAACCCCTCTCCTCAGCCTCCTGGGTAACTGGGATTACAGCTATACACCACTGTGCCCAGTGTGACAATTATGAATAAGGCTGCTGTAAACTTCTGTGTAGGTTTTTTTGTGTGTGGACATTGGTTTTCAGTTCATTATGGTAAATACCAAGGAGTGCAGTTGCTGGATTGTATGGTAAAAGTATGTTTAGTTTGCTAAGGAACTGCCAGCTGGGTGTGGTGGCTCATGCCTGTAATCCTAGCATAATGGGAGGCTGAGACAGGAGGATCCCTTGAAGCCAGGAGTTCGAGACTAGCCTGGGCAACATAGTGAGACCTCATCTCTACAAAAAATTTAAAAATTAGCTGGGCGTGGTCTTATGTGCCTATAGTCCTAACTGCTTGGGAGACTGAGGTGGGAGGATCACTTGAGCCCAGGAGCTGGAGGTGGCAGTAAACTGTGATCATACCACTGCACTGCTGCCTGGGTGACAAAGCAAGACCCTGACTTAAAAAAAAAAAGAGAAAAGAAAAAAAGATGAGTCAGAGGGTAAGGAAGCAAAAATAAGTAAATAAATAAATAGAAGAGAAAAGAAAAAAGAAAAAACTGTCTTTCAAAGTGGCTGCGCCATTTTGCATTCCTACCAGCAATGAATGAGAGTCTGTTGTTGCACATCCTCACCAGCATTTGGTGTTGTCAGTGTTCTGGATTTTGAATATTCTATTAGGTATATAATGCTGTCTCACTTGTTTTAATCAATGATATATGACATTGAGCATCTTTTTAATATGTTTACTTCTCATCTATGTATCTTCTTTAGTGAGGCCTTTGTTTAGGTCTTCTGCCCATTTTAAAAAATGGGTTCATTTTCTTATTGTTGAATATCATGAGTTCTTTGTCTATTTTGAATACCTGCCTTTTGCTTTATTTTTGTGTTTTTTATTTTTTTTTTTTATTGAGACAAGTTCTCACTCTGTTGCCCAGGCTAGAGTGCAGTGGCATGAACATGGCTCACTGCAGCCTCAACTTCTCCCAGCCTCAAGCAATCCTCTTGCCTCAGCCTTCCGAGTAGCTGGGACTATAGGCACACACCACCATGCCCTGCTAATTTAAAAGAGTTTTTTTTTGTAGAGGTGGGATCTCGCCATGTTACCCAGGTGGTCTTGAACTCCTGGCCTCAGGCAATCTTCCAGCCCTCAGCCTCCCAAAGTGCTGATTATAGGCCTGAGCCACTTAGCCTAGCTCAGAATTTATTTTTTATTTGTTAATTTTGAAAAAATATAGGACCTCATAAAAGTCAGTCTACATTTGTACACATTATGTTTTTGGTGAATATGTAAATGGATTCTTTGTGAATCAATTTGGTTTTGTTTTTTTGCTTTTAAAAATACCAGCCCTGGGCTGGATGCGGTGGCTCACGCCTGTAATCCTAGCACTTTGGGAGGCTGAGGCAGGTGGATCTCCTGAGGTCAGGAGTTTGAGACCAGCCTGGCCAACATGGTGAAACGCTGTCTCTACTAAAAATACAAAAATTAGCTGGGCGTGGTGGCGCATGTCAGTAATCCCAGCTACTTAGGAGGCTGAGGCATGAGAATCGATTGAACCTGGGAGGCAGAGGTTGCAGTGAGCCGAGATCGCGCCACTGCACTCCAACCTTGGCGATAGAGCAAGACTCTGTCTCAAGAAAAAAAAAAATGCCAGCAGTGGCTGGCTGAGGTGGCTCACACCTATAATCCCAGCACTTTGGGAAGCCAAGGCAGGTAGATCTCTTGTGGTCAGGAGTTCAAGACCAGCCTGGCGAACATGGCGAAACCCCATCTCTACCAAAAATACAAAAATTAGCTGGATGTGGTAGTGCGCACCTGTAATTTCAGCTGCTGGGGAGGCTGAGACATGAGAATCACTTGGACCCTGGAGGCAGAGGTTGGAGTGAGCCACTGTATTCCAGCCTGGGTGAAAGAGGGATACTCTATTTAAAAAAAAAAAAAAAAAAAGCGGGCTGGATACAGTGGTGCACACCTGTAACCCTAGCACTTTGGGAGGCTGAGGTGCTCAGATTGCTTGAGCTCAGGAGTTTGAGACCAGCCTAGACAACATAGTGAGACATCGTCCCTAAAGAAAAAAAAAAAATACCAGCACTTAGCCAAAAGATTTCAACAGTGCAGAAAAAGAAAGTTGTGATATCTTTTCTCCAAATTAGTCTTGTTTTCAGTTTCATTATCCAAGTAACCACTACTAATAGTTAAAACATTTGAAATACGTGTGGGAGCTTGTCCTATTTAATATAAATTATTTATTGAGCAAATAATCACCACTAGTATGTTTTGGATACTGGAATTTTCATATGTAGGAGTCCTTGAATGTAAGGTGCCCCTTTGGTAGTTCTGTGCTTCTTTTACCTGTACTGTAACATAGGGAAAGATGTTACAAATGGTTGTATTTTTAACAGAGCAGTATCTATTCTTAAACACCAGCCCTTCCACTAAAGGTAAACAACAAATGAATACATAAATGAAGTTTTGGTATTGGGATTATGTGGGTTAAACACATCCATATTTCATTATTAATATTTAAGAATATAACAAACTTTTTATTGGCATTTGGACCTTGTAGCTAAGGAAAGATTAAACTTTGTTTATTTGTGCTTTGTTTTTTTTCTTCACTCAGATATTTGAGGATTTCCCATTTGAGGAATACATTTATTAATCAAGCTTTAGTTTCAAGATCCTTGATCTTAGGGAATACCATCAACCGTTCTTCTTTAAGCTTCCTAACTTTGCCCAAATTTGGTTAGAACTACTCAAGAGTAGTTTGGGTAATTCAGAAATTTTATTGGAAGGGGAAAGAATTTTTGACCCAAATTAGATAAAGCAACTCTTGGGTAATGATTTCTTTTCTTGTTCTCTCTTTATAATCAATTGAAAGTAGTAGTAAGGCTGGGTGGCAAAAGAAAGAGGCCTGGGGAGAATCGCGTGGTTTTCATTATCTCTTTTCATAGCAGCAAAGTGGGAAGGGACCAAGAGGAAATCAACTGAAAAACCATCCTTCTGAAACATTGGCCTAAAAAACTGTAGTCCAGAAATTGAGTGCAACTGGCAGTGGCATTTAAAAGGAATGCTCTAATTTCTAGGAAAGCAGGCACGAGTACCTCTTAAAAGAAGAAAAAAATGAAAACTGTAATTTAGGACACATAGACGAGTATCCATTCCCTGTACTTTTACTCTCATGTCCTAACCAAGGAAGGGTTGCCATAGCAAATATGGCATTCCTTAGCCATGATTCACTGTTGTAAATGCCTGCAGCATTCATAAAAGTAAGATATATGGGCTCTTCTTTTTCCTTTTAAATCTTTATTTCTGTATTTAAATCTGTATGTCATCATCTGTATTTTCTCTCTTGTTTTTTTTAAATCTTGGGAGATGGTACAAATTATTTAGGGGAGGGAATGAGTTTCTTGTCCACAAATAGAGGAGAGAGAGGGCTTTTTGTCTTTCTGCTTTGGAACTGGAGAGCTTCCTATTTAGGCATGGCCTTTTTCAAGTGACCTTGTATTGTTATCAGTACTGTAGAAGGTAGGCACGTTGTGTAAACTTTAAAATTGAAAGCCATTAGGCATTCCACTTGTAAACCTTGGCTTTTTAAAGAAAATTACATGTTCATTGTGAATATTTTCTTATCGACCTATCTCTGTGCACATGCAGACTTCCTTTGCCTACATTCTGAAAGGTGTAATTGCCTTCTTTAAGGACAGCGGACATCTATAGTTCTTGGGTCAAATTGTCCTCCTTCTGGTTTTGTCAGTTCTCAGCCACACTGTGTGAGCATCCATTTTCTTGGATTCTGGTTCGGAGCTCATTTTAAGGAACATCATGTCCCTTTTGAGACTCTGTGGACATTGGGGTGGGTAGATGTCCCCCTGTGAACAGAAGGTCCCTCCCTAAGGAGGTGCTTCTCTGTGTTGAGTCCTGCATCTGGGCACACAGAGCCCGAAGCAGGAAGAGTTGAGTCTGAATAGGGAGGCCTGTAAGCCTGACTGCTCTGCCACGGGTAGGCCTGGTCTGCCATGCTCCAGGAGCCCCCAGGAGGCTCTGAAGTCATTCTGCCTCTGGGAATTTTACAGAGGAGCTAATATTTGAGCTGAGTGAGAAGGTGATTCTTGAAAAAGCAAGGCGTGCCCTGGTCCAGTTCTGTGGGGCTGTCGTAGAAGAGGGCTCGGAAGCTCTTGGGAGTGAGGCTAGAAAGGTAGGCAGTGTTACCATAAGGAGGTTGGAAGTGACACAGATAGGCTAAGGAAGGGGACTTCAGTAATCATGCAGCAATGGCCTGGAAAAGGGAGAGGCTCATAGTAGGGAGACCAGTTTGGAGGCTGCCATAGTGTTCTACTGAGAGAGAAAAAGACTTGAACTCAGAGCACGGTCAGGGAAGGTGGAGGGGCAGGGTCTGATTTGGAAGTGTTTTGTTTTTTGGTTTTGGGAACAAGGATTTGGAAACCTCTTGGCTCCGTAGATGAAGAAAGGTGAACCAAGGAAGACTGAAGTTTCCACTCAAGGAAACAGTAACTCAGGGAAGAAAACACAGGAGTAGGAATAGGTTTAAGAGAATGACAAGCAGTTGTGTTTTGGACTTGTTTAGTTCGAGGTGACATCTTTGTAGGGATGTCTAGCTGGTAGCTGCAAGTATAGGAGGAGGCTGGATGTGTGCATGAGTTTCTTGGTAAAGATCCATCTGCAGTCTCCTGAAGATGTCACCCAGATTGCCCTGCCATCACCCCAGGGCCTTGAGTCACTCGCTTCTCTTGGTGTCTAGGCAGGCTTGAAGAAAATCAAACAGTACAAAATCATGCAAATTCAGACCTCTATTCCACCCCAGAGGAAAGTCCTGCTAGCAGTTTTTGTGTATTCTTCCAGAAATTTGCCTTGCAACGCGTTTGAGTATATAAATAATCCCAGAAAGGATGGGCCAGACACTAGCAGAAACTCACCACACACACTGCACTGGGCATGCAGAAACTTTGCAAAATGTACTGGTGTGTGCTGTCACTGCATTCCTGGGTTTGGAGGTCTTCTGTGTCCCCAGCTGTCAGTATTGCCCACAGGCTGACCACTGAGCTCCTTCCACAGCCGGCCCATATCACCCTCTTTCGAAGTGTGTCTGCAAGGCTAGATTATTAGAGTAATTTAAGTGTTTCTGCTTTGTGTTTTCTTTAATGAATTTTTTTATGATGAAGTTCTTGTTTTAAAAATATACAGTGGTAATTAACATGTATGCATTTTTCTTAAAATGACCCCCCCAGTCCCTCTTCGGATGTGATCACTGTTAACAGTATCGTATATAGACCCTGTTCTGTGTGGGGCGGGCAGAGGGCTGGTTAGTGGGTGGAACATGCATACTCACAACCATATTTTTCACATGGGAAAATATAAAGGTGACAACAAATCTCCTGGACTATAATCTCATCAAGCAGACAATAATCTCTGTTTCAAAAGTGGACAAATACATGCTGATTTTTTAAAAAAAATTATAATAGTACAGAAAGATACAAAAATAAGTTAAAGTCTTCCTAACTCTCCTGCCTGTGCCCTCCACTGGGCAAAAGTCCCTGTCCCTAAGGTAATATCTGTTAACAGTTCTCCTTCCAGAAAACTTGCAATGCAAATAGGAACATTTTGTGTGTCTGCCTCTGTGTGTATGTGTTTACATGTCTTTTTTTTTTTTTTTTTTTTTTTTTTTTTTTTTTTTTTTTTTTTTTTTTTGAGACAGAGTCTTGCTCTGTTATCCAGGCTGGAGTGCAGTGGCATGATCTCAGCTTGCTGTGATCTCTGCCTCCTGGGTTCAAGTGATTCTCATGCCTCAGCCTCCCGAGTAGCTGGAATTACAGGCGCCTGCCACCACACCCAGCTAATTTTTGTATTTTTAGTAGAGATGGGGTTTCGCCATGTTGGCCAGGCTGGTCTGAAACTCCTGACATCAAGTGATCTACCCGCCTCAGCCTCCCAAAGTGCTGGGATTACAGGTGTGAGCCACTGCTTCTGCCCCTGCACATGTCTAACGCACACAAAAGAGATTCTGCTGAACACATTTTTTATGCTTTTTCTTTCCAATTTAACATATTTGACATCTTTATCAGCTTATATAGCTTTATTTTTTTAAGAGGTTATTGGCTATAAAGGGAAAGTGCTTTATGGGTGCTTCTGTTGTTATTTAATTGGATCCTGTTGATGGACATTGATATCATTTCTAAATTTTTTAGTATCCTAATTAATCCTGTGGTGAGCATCCTTATACAGATATCCTTGTTCCCTCATGAAAATATTTCTGGAGGATGGAAAGAAGGGAAATTTTAAAAATTATTTGTGTAAACATTATCGTTTGTTAGTAGAATGACCTCAGGAGAGATTGTAGTAATTTATACTTCCCCACATGCATATGAATGCCTTTTCAATATATTGTTTCAAAATTGGATATCATGAACCTTAAGAGATAAATATATATGTATGTATTTTTTTTTTTTTTTTTTTTTTGGTGGGGGCATGTCCTGTTATTGACAGTTTGTTTTGGTGGAGGGATGTCCTGTTATTGACAGTTATCGAATAGAACTTTGTCAGTTCCTTCATGTAAGGGATGAATTTGGTAATAAAACAGGTCTGACTTCAGTTATGGAACTGGGAAAGCTGGACCTTGATGTGGAGGTGGGCTCAGACATGCTGTGTCTGGGCAGGTATCTCTTGGGAAGCAGTGTCATCCCTGAACAGAAACATGGATGAGCCGCAGGGGACGGTGCTGAGCAGAGGGGCTGGCCGTGGGTCATCTGCCTCCCTTGGCCTAGAAGGCACAAGGGAGCTTTCCACCTTGCCTTTGGTTTTGAGAATGCAGAAGCTACTAAGCAACTCACAGTGTGCCCAGGGTGGTCCAGCTGAAGGATGCGAAATGGTTCTTCCTTTTCCAGCCAAAGATCTTGAACCTCCCACCCCATGACAAGCATTATAAAATTCACATAATTTTGATAGGCTGGATTCCTTTTCTGTAGCAGATCTTTCCTCAGAACAGAAGTTTGTTTTTTTTTTTTAACCTAAATTACCTGTGAGTTTTATTTTTTAAATATGGAATCTGTTTTTTGGACACCTCCTTGTCATATTAAATGTTCTGTTATTAATTTTGAGATTTTAATGTAAATTTTACCCCAGCAAATTAATTTTGTTTCTCTTGCTCTCTCTTTTTTTTTTTTTGGCATCCTTTCCCGTTGTATAGTGGTGCTCATTTTATCATACTGCTTTTATATGACTTTTCTTTTGTGAACAGGGATCTTGTTCACTTTTCCTTTTTTAAAAATTTTTTTATTTTTTTGAGACGGAGTCTTGCTCTGTTGCCCAGGCTGGAGAACAGAGGCACAATCTCAGCCCACTGCAAGTTTTGTCTTCCGGGCTCAAGCGATTCTCCCACCTTAGCCTCTTGAGTAGCTGGGATTACAGGCGTGCACCATCACGCCTGGCTAATTTTTTTGTATTTTTGTAGAGATGGGGTTTCACTATGTCATCCAGGCTGGTCTCGAACTCCTGGACTCAAGCGATCCACCCGCCTCAGCCTCACAAAATGCTAGGGTTACAGGCGTGAGCCACTGTGCCCGAGCCACTTTTCCTTTTAACATAAAAACATTGATATCCTAGAGAGGGCACTGTATTTTGGGTACATACAGGTTCAGATCACGGAAGAGTTGTATTCTATACTTTTTTTCATCATTCTTAGTTCAGTATGATGTATTTTATAATTTCATATGAGAAACTGTAACAATGGGCATGTGTCATCCAGCAATACCTACTCATAAATCATATTAAATTTTGATCCAAACATGGGAGAAACTGAAGTTTTCTCTGTGTACTTGGATGCTTTCAGAGGCATAAAATTATATTACCATGTGAAAGCAAGCCTACAAAATTCCTCAGGTGGTCCACTCTGCCACTCAAATGAGAGCCAGACTTACAGTGCACACTCTACAAACGGACTTCCAGCTCGTCAGGGTATTTTAAGTGCCTGAATATGCAAGGCACTGTGCCAGTAAAATTACTCAGTCCTGAGGATAGAGCCTGTTAGAATTATTTTAAAATCTGTACTTGAAGTTTATTTCCTCAGTATTCCAAGATATTTTATCTGGTTGTTCTCTGAGTATTTCACACGTAGCTAGTTACATATAGGTGAGATGGTGATGCTTGTGCCTGGTGTGGATGAGAAACTGAGCCTGGCAGACCCGAGATTGGATTTCCTCTTCTGACTTTGCAAGTGTGGCTTTGCTTTAATAATAGCCCTCCTCTTTTTCTGTATTCCTCTTTTCTCCTTCCAGTGTGGCAAATATGCATCAATCAAAATACAATAACCTGTGGAACCATTTTTTCTAAAATAGGAAGGTGGTGCCATGGGCTATTGATTGTTGAGGGTAGTCTTCAGAGCCTGTCTTATAAATCTATAATAATTCCCCCCAAATTAATGTGCTAGTTAGAACCCTAGAATTGCAGCACTGAAAGTGAATTTTAGAATCTTTTCCAACTTTTTACCAAGCTCAGAAAGCCCTTTTATTGGACCTTTGTTTGCCTCATGGTCATCTGGTTTCTTTATGCTGGTAGTAACAGGAACCTTACTAACCTACAAGGTGACCCAGTCCATCCTGGGCAGCTGTGATCATTGGAAAGCTCTGAATCATTCATCTGGAAGCTGCCTGTGGCAGAATAGTACAGAACATATGCATTGCACACACTACAAAACTGCTTTAAATAAGTGTTCCTTTTCATTGTTAGATGGAAGTGACCCAGGGCAAGGATCATGTTTTATGAGCCAGTTTTCTCCTAGTGCCTTGAACATAGGCACTTGGTAGTGTTTAGAGAATGAATTGTCTTTTTTTTTTTTGAGACAAAGTCTCACTCCATTGCCCAGGCTGGATTGCAGTGGCACGGTGTCAGCTCACTGCAGCCTCCACCTCCCAAGTTGAAGTGATTTTTGTGCCTCATCCTCCCGAGGAGCTGGAATTACAGGCATGCGCCACCACACCCAGCTAATTTTTATATTTTTAGTAGAGATGGGGTTTTGCGTGTTGGCCAGATGGTCTCCAACTCCTGGCCTCAGGCGATCTGCCTGCCTCAGCCTCCCAAAGTGCTGGGATTACAGGCGTGAGCCACTGCGCCTGGCCAGAGAATGAATTCTTAATAAGTTTCTTATGACTTCAGATTGACTGGCAGTTGTGCTAAATATTTTTTGCCTTTATTTGAATTAGAAAATTCGTAAGGGGGCCTTGAGAGTAGATGCAGTCACATTTAGGAGATTTTTCCCCCCCATTGGTTAAAATGCAGTTTTTCTATGGATCTGCTTTAGAACTACAAATAAACTCCGATCACTCACAGCAGACTACGCAATGAGATAAGAAGCAGTCCATTTGTTCTGTCGTTTATTCATGGCCCTCATCTTTGCCAGCCAACCTGTGCAGAAGAGCACAGCAAAGCATAAGCTTCCTAACAGCTATTCCCATTCAGCTGCTGTCTTCAAGAAGCAGAAGGGTTTAGATAACCTTAGAGAACATAATCAAACCTGGGAAACTCAAATCAAAACAAAACTTCGAAACGGAAGTTGAAGGTCCTGAGGTACCCAGAGGCATAGCAAGGAAAACGTCCCCACTGGGATATCTTCTGGATTCACCTACAGACCTCTCTGGAGTTTTAAGATCCACGTTTTATGACATATTGCATAGCAAACAGGCCGAACGCTGTTGTAAATCATCCTCTACGAAAGGCCCAGGTTTTGAAACTGAAGGCCTGAAAAGGCTCCTGCTTACCAGCTGTGTGCTGTACCTGACACACTGAAGCCTGAGAGTGCCAGTCACCTGTCAGAGGGAACACAGCTGCCCTCAGGCAGAACCTGAGTCTAGAACTCAAGGTTTTTGACTCTTAGGCTAAAAATAAAAAATCAGAAGGAGGAACTATGGATTGCTTAATCAGTCACATTTTCACTTTCTAAGGTTTCTTGTAGCAAAAGTTATAGTCTTTGGGGATTGGGATGTAGACACTTTTTTTTCCTTCCCTAAAACAATTTTTGGCCTGCCAGTTTTTCGAGCTTCCTGCTCTGGACCCTGAAGTTGCCATGCAGTTGCAGACATGCTCCTCCTTCAAGGCTCTGTTAAGCTGTGGCTGCCCTTCCTTACCACTGCTGTGCCCCAGGCCAAACCCCCTGCCCCTCCTTCCCCTAAGGCACTTTGCACCTGTTGCTCCGAGCCTTCTGGTCTATCCCAGTTGGTAGAGTCCCTGTGCTTACCTCTGTGGCTCAGTCCTCGTGGGTGGTCAGTGCTCTAGGGAAGGTGAGCTGACCACTTCACTTTCCCTTCCCAGCCATAGCTCTTCACAGCCTCACCAACTTAGAAAGGAATGCTGCTTTTCTCTCTGTCCCCCGTCCTGACTATGTTCAAGTCATTGCTCAGCCCAGTGAGTTTGTCCTTTCTTCCAGACCAGTAGTTTTCCCCCAGTCCCTCAGGCTTCAGCCCTTGAAGGCATCCTTAGCCCCCCACCACCATGATAGTCAGGCGCTGCGCCTATCCGCAGGGTGTGGGTATGTGTGTGTCTTTTGTTTCTGGAGCCCATTCCTTTCCTTCCACCAGCCTCTAGGCCTTCATCCAATCCTTTTGCAACTCAGTGATTCATGACTTTTCCCTGCATCCAGTCTAGTCTCTTTGCTGGTCCATTGTTTCCATAGTTGCCAGTTTAATCTTCTTAAAATGCTGCATTTTTGAAGTCAGTCTCTTTTGGTCCCTCTCAGAAACATTTAAATAGCTATCTGTTGCCACAGGGGGAAAGCTTGAACCTCTTAGCCAGTCATTCAGAGCCTGCCCTCTGCTGGGGCCTGCTTTCCTCTACAGATGCTTCTCCCACTCTGCCTGCCACAGCCCTTGTAGCTGGCTGATTGCCCTGTACCTCGCAGGCTCTGGAAGTCTTCAGCTCCTTCATGGAGCCTTTGCCAGCCATTCTTTTCAAGACTTTGCTGTTGTTCACTGCCTGATTTGTTCATTTGACACTTAATTCACTGAGCAAACATTATGAAAGATGTACTGTTTGCTACTGTGAGGAATGGATCCCCAAGAGATAAGAGGGTCAGTCCCTACTGCCAGGAAACTTGCCTGTGTCACCTGGGTTCAGTATCTTGTGTCTATTAGATCAGAAGTGGAAAGGCAGAGGCCAGCCCGTATGCTTGTTTTATTTTATTTAAATCACCAGCACCCCAGCAAGTGTTTTGCACAGGAAATTTCTCATTATTTAATTATTTTGGGTTTTTTGATTAAATTCTGTACATTCCCATTTTAGCTTATCTTGAGTTATAACATTAAAATTAAGGTAGTCATCAGCTGAATTATAAGACTTAATTAGATAAGATTATTTAAGATAGTGATTTCTCATTAGATTGGCCCTGTTCATATTAACTTTTCTGTTTTTTTCTTCAGTCTGCATGAAGAAATCAGTGATTTTTATGAATACATGTCTCCAAGACCTGAGGAGGAGAAGATGCGGATGGAGGTGGTGAACAGGATCGAGAGTGTAATTAAGGAGCTCTGGCCCAGCGCTGACGTGAGTCCCTTCCTGGGTAGCTTATGCTTCGGACAGTCCTTGTCCACGGGCTAGAAGCCTATCTGCTGGTATCTCATGCTAGTCCTCACATGCAAGTAGAAGTGCTCTGTAGAGTTGTGGTCTAATTAAATTTTAAAGGCAAACAATTTTCTGCAGTCTTTAGAATTGAGGCTTCCTAACTATTTTCATTGGATTGGATGACTAACAACTATTTTTTTTTTGTAGTGCTAATAGCAACTACTAAAGGCAAGCTATCCTTAGAAATTATTAGTGTAAAGAGAAGAAAGACAAATCAAACCTCATTGTTGTAGTGGTCTGTTATTGGATATGATATATCAAAACCTCATTACTACTTAGTTCCAGCCTGCCAGGGTAAACATTATATAATTGTTTACAGCTAAATGAAAATGTCAAGTAAGAACTTTTGTCACTTGAAGTTCATTTCCTTTGGCTAATGCACGCATAAGTCTTTTCTTATTTCTTTCCTGAAATTGCCATTTTTCATCTCTCTCAGACCAGCTAATTGCCTTTTAGACAGCTCCCAGTCAGTGAACAAAATGATTACTCAGGATTTCTTCTTGGCTTATTTGTCGTTTTTGTTACTGGTACTAAGTCTTTTGTTTTTTGTTTTTGAGATGGGGTCTCACTCTGTTGCTGAGGCTGGAGTGCAATAGTGCGATCACGACTTACTGCAGCCTCGATTTCCTGGGCTCAGGTGATCCACCTCAGCATCCCGAGTAGCTGGGACTGCAGGTGCACGCCACCACACTTAGCTAATTTTTGTATTTTTTTGTAGAGACTGAGTCTCACTATGTTGCCCAGGTTGGTCTTGAACTCCTGGGTTCAAGCAATGTGCCCGCCTTGGCCTCCCAAAGTGCTAGGATTACAGGTGTGAGCCACCACACTTGGCCTGTTACTGGTACTAAGTTAATACGTCACTTTTTAGGGCACTTTGAGGGCCTGTTCTACAATTTTGTGTATGCAAAGAAGTACACAAAATAATACTAATAAAATCCATTACTTTGTGTTTGTAGCTTTTCTTCAGGCACTGTCCTGGGTGGTGGTGGGAAGCTAGGGAAGGTTTTTTTCCAATTGGCAAAACAAAGAAGTTTCATTGTATGTAAAACTTGCAAGTATATGACAGTATGTATATGACACTGTAGGTAAAGGGAAAAGGCAAGGGTACTAATGTTTTATGAGCAATGACCATACATCGCATTCTTTCTCCTATGTGATCCAAATCAGTGGTTCTCAGCTAGTGGCTATTTTGTTCTCCAGGGGGCATTTGGCAATGTCCGAGACATATTTGATTGTCCTGACTGGGTACGCACTGCTAGTACCTAGTGGGTAGAGGCCATGGATGCCATCAGCCATTCTATGATGAACAGTATAGGCCCTTACAACAAAGAATTATCCACCCCCAAATGCCAATGTTGAGAAGCCGTGATCTAACTTAACCCTTATCTTTCTTAGGTGGAGGTTGATTATCTATCTATCTCTTTCTCTCCAGCCAGCCAGGCAGCCATCATCTGTCTACCTACAGATGAGGAACATGAGCTTGTGGTTAGGTTCCCAGGTCCATCTCGCCTCAGAGGTTGAACTGGTTTCACTGTTTATCATTTTTTTCCCCCGAGATGGAGTCTCGCTCTGTCGCCCAGGCTGGAGTGCAGTGACATGATCTCAGCTCACTGCAGCCTTTGCCTCCCAGGTTCAAGAAATTTTCCTGTCTCAGCCTCCCAAGTAGCTGGGGTTCAGGCGCCCGTCACCACACCTGGCTGATTTTTGTAATTTTAGTAGAGGTGGGATTTCATCATGTTGGCCAGGCTGGTCTTGAACTCCTGACATCAGGTGACCCACCTGCCTTGGCCTCCCAAAGTGCTGGGATTACAGGCGTGAGCCACTGTGCCCGGCCTATCCTTTTTTTATTACAATTACCTGCATACATATTTCTGCCTGAGTTCCACCGTTCTCCATGGGTTGAGATGGAATGCATCCCAGTTTTATGCCACAGCATGATGTTACCTGATGTTCTTTGTGGAATTGACCTAAAGGCCCTCACTTGCCCTACAGTTAAAGTAGTCTGATCCCAATTTAGTAATCTATTCGAAGACTCCTGCTTAGAGAACAAAAATGAAGGATTTGTGATTGTGTCTCTGGATAATGAGGGAACATTAGTGATCTGAACTGCTTCTGAAAGTTTCCTGTGGTTGGCTTTCTGTATCCACAGGTACCACACCTCCATATTAAACCAACAATGGATTGAAAATATTCAGAAAAAACTATAAAAATAACAATGTACCAATAAAAACAATACAAATTATTTTAAAAATACAGTATAACAACTATTTAGGTAGCATTTACATCATACTTGGTATTATAGGTATTATAAGTAATCTAAAGATGATGTAAAGTACATGGGAGGACTAGCATAGGTTGCATGCAAATACTCTACCATTTTATAGCAGGGACTCAAGCATCTTCAGATTTTGGCATGGTGGGACTGGAACCAATCTCCTGCCGATACCAAGGGACAACTGTATTTTGGTCTATGTGTTTCATATTGAACCAGATAAGTTTAAATTATATTCAGAATGTCTGCTTGTGAAACAGAATCCCCGCTTCATGAAGCTTGGGGTTAGAAAAAAATGCTCTTGTCATACCAAAAAGTACCAGTAGAGGGTAGCAAAAACTGACATTTCTCCATATCTTGGTGACTCAATATGATAACAACTTCTGATAACTCAATATAATAACAACTTCTTTTTCTGTTTCAGGTCCAGATATTTGGAAGTTTTAAAACTGGACTTTATTTACCTACTAGGTTAGTACACTCATGAATCTTTCAAAGGACTTTTCTTAGAGTGTATTCATTTTGGCTGTCAAATTTGTAAGGAGTAGAAACAAAACAAATTTATAAAACAAAATGGGGCTGGGCATGGTGGCTCATGCCTGTAATCCTAGCACTTCGGGAGGCCAAGGAGGGTGGATCATTTGAGGTCAGGAGTTCAAGACCAGCCTGGCCAACATGGTAAAACCCCATCTCTACTAGAAATACAAGAATTAGCCAGGCGTAGCAGTGCGCACCTGTAATCCCAGCTACTCAGGAGGCTGAGGCAGGAGAATTGCTTGAACCCGGGAGGTGAAGGTTGCAGTGAGCCGAGATCGCGCCACTGCACTCCAGCCTGGGCGACAGAGCAAGACTCTGTCTCAAAAAATAAGTAAGTAAATAAATAAAGGATTTACCAGCATTTAATTTGATTTACCTTGAAGTAGAATATCACTTCACATCATCTTACCAAGACATAGATGGTACAGAGAGATGGAAAAGGGATCATGTTGCAATGGAATCAATTAGTTACTAATTTTAGAAATTGACTGCCTGGCAGAGTATTGCTCAGTCCCATAACTTAACCCACTGACACAGATGTTAATGTAGTATCATGATAAAATGTCTGATTATATATCCTCTTGAATGTGAGTTCCCGCTGTCTTGCTCACTCACTCTTACACTCACCCTCGCTTTCAAATTAAGAACTCATTCTACTAGTTATGGCTCCAGCATCCTGATCCAGAAATTCAGGGTACAGATCTCTTCTCTGAGAAAGATCTTGGCCTTTCAGGACTGTTGTTCAGTTTCAGTCTTCTCAAATGAGACCTCTTGTGACGCACAGCCTTGGAGGCTCTCTTTTGGGAAATGATAATGTTTCTCCAAAGGGTGAATACTTGCTCTCTAAGAATTGAAATTGTTTGAACATTCCATCATGGTTATTATTATTATTACCTTAAATTTTAATCTCTCCAGAATAAAGTCAGCATCATGTTTTTCCATTTGAGCTTGATTTGGTATACTTTACCCCAACTTAAAGTGTGCTGAAGTGGATGGACCCTGGCAATTTCCGTTCTTCTCATAGATGCCCTTGGCCTGCAAAAGTCATAAAATACTCAACTTCGAGTTAATATTTCTTATTTAGGTTGTCAGCATCAGTAAAACATGAAAAATCACCTTTCTTAAAAAATTTAATTAAATTTTATGAATAGGTAGTACATTCACATAGTTCACATTTGGAAAAGGCACAAAAATCAATACAGGGAAAAGTCTCAGTCCCACCTCTGCCCCCTGGTTCTCCTTGGAACAGCCGCTTTTACCAGTTTCTCACATATCCTTTCAGAGATATCTGTGCATATAAAAGGACATGTGTGTATATTAACACAAATGGTAGCATGCTGGATACCTGTTCTGCATCCAGCTTAAAGCACTTCATAATATTTCTGAGTTGCAATTAATCTCATCCGGATAGGAAAATCATTATGTCTAGTACCACAAGCGTTTATTAAAGAAAATACATGAAGTGCTTTTTGTTTTTTTTTCTTTGAGGTTTTACTTCTTTCAAAATCACCCTATTTCCTGAGGCCTGAATTCTGTGAAATGACTGAGAGGAGGAGTTTGTTAAAATCAACAACTACTATTTCCCTTCTCCACAAAACCATTATCACCAACACATTTAGTCTTCGTTGGCCAGGGTGGGAAATAGGTTTTAATTGTACTAATGAAGTCTATAAGCATGAGTGTCAGTTAAAACAAGTTTCCAACTTCTTCCGACCCTCTTGTATATGTATTCTGTGTTCAGTGACATCGACCTAGTGGTGTTTGGGAAGTGGGAGAACCTACCCCTCTGGACTCTGGAAGAAGCTCTTCGGAAACACAAAGTCGCAGATGAGGATTCGGTGAAAGTTTTAGACAAAGCAACTGTAAGTTCTGCAGCATTTCATATTAAAATCCTTAGTTATTTACCTATGAAACTTGAATTAAAATTAAAGTTTGGTGAGCACAGTTGCATTGCAAGTGAGTGATTCTTTCATTTTGTTAATGTCACCGTGCTTGCACATAAAAAGTTTTCTGGTTGTCCACACTGGAGTGTGACCATACAATCTCGGCTCACTACAACCTGTGCCTCCTCGGCTCAAGTGATCCTTCTACCTCAGCCTCTTGGGGAGCTGTACTACAAACACAACCTGCCATGCCTGGCTAATTTTGTTGTATTTTTTGTAGAGACGGGGTTTCACCGTGTTACCCAGACTGATCTCCAACTCCTGGGCTCAAGTGATCCACCCACCTCTGCCTCCCAAAATGCTGGGATTACAGGCGTGAGCCACTGCACCTGGTCTGCATTTCTTTTCACAGCAGCAAAATATGCAATTTTATTATACACAGTACTCACTGTAGAGATTTTTGTTTGTTTTATTCATTTTTTTTAGAGAGATACAGTCTCACTATGTTGCCCAGGCTGGTCTCTAACTCCTGGACTCAAGTGATCCTCCCACCTCAGCCTTATGTGTATCTGGGACTAAGGCGCACCCTACCACGCCCTGCTTATTTAAAAAATTTTTTTTTGTAGAGATAGGGTCTCCCTGTGTTGCCCAAGTTAGGCCATTTTTTGAAAAGAACTGCTGATAGCTCATGTAAATAATCCTGTCAGCTTTTTAGAATAATTTTTATATTTTATCTTGTCAGGTTGTTTTTTGGGCTATTTGCAAAACTGACCAGTAATGCAAGTGGGTTGTAGTGTACACCTTAAGAATCCAGCAATTTTCTTATTAGAAACAGTTTGATGATACAAAACATTTAATACCTGGCATTCCTAGTTCTTCATCTTATACTCAGAAAGTGTTCTCCAAATTATTGAGGAAGGTTTTTGTTCATTTTAAAATTATCATTATAACTATATGTCAACTAATAAATGAGATGATGGGCATATTAATTTATTTAACTGTAGTAATCACTTCAGTATGTATATCAAGATAAGTATATCAAAACATGTACACCTTAAATATAAACAATAAAAATAAATAATAAAAAATTGGACACCAAACAAAATTCTCGGTTGATAGAAATTATACTGTAATATACTGTATGGGACCCAGTGCTAAATATGCAGCATATAGTATTTGTAGCAGACCAGGTTTACTGGGGTGTGCCATATTTAGAATACTCAGTGTTCTTATGCTCTCATGAGATGATGGAGACCTCATGTCTAGTAGGCTTCCATCCCCTGATTTTATCATTTAATCTGGTTAAAGCATTTACATTTTACCTTTCTTCTCTTTATAGGTACCTATTATTAAATTAACAGATTCTTTTACTGAAGTGAAAGTTGATATCAGCTTTAATGTACAGAATGGCGTGAGAGCAGCTGACCTCATCAAAGATTTTACCAAGGTCAGAGAATTTAGCGTTTATACAACAAAACTATTAGAAACGTAATTTTAAGATTCTGTTGTGGTGGTGTTCTAATATTTTTATATGCATGTTGCTGTCTCTCTCTCTCTCTTTTAAATAGAGCTAGGGTCTCACTCTGTCACCTAGGCTGGAGTGCAGTGGCTGGATCATGGCCCGCTGCAGCCTCAAACTCCTGGGTTCAAGTGGTCATCTCACCTCAGCCTCCCAAGTAGCTGGGACTACAGACGTGAGCCACTACACCTGGCTATTTTTTGTATTTTTTTTTTTTTTTTAGTGTTGGGGTCTCGCTGTGTTGGCCAGGCTGGTCTCTTAACTCCTGGCCTTAGCCTCCCAAAGCACTGGGATTACAGGCATGAGCCACCATGCTCAGCCTGCACCTTACTTTTGTATGCAACGGTTTTGCTTTCTTTGAATCTGCTTGTAATGATCAGTGATTAACTTATAATGTGACCTCAAGTAAGAATTAAAAGTTGAGAAAGCTTTTGAAGAAATTGTCTGCTCTAGATCCTTCCTTGTAGAGACAGAAGAGATGGAATTCTACTACACAGTTGATTCCATCTGTTTTTAACCTTCAGGAGTTCAGATTAAGAACCTTTCCTTTAACCCATTTCCCATATGCCCCAAGAATACTGTGCGGGCAGTGAGCTGCACTTTTTTTTTTTCTTTTTTCGAGGCAGAGTCTCTCTCTGTCACCCGGGCTGGAGTGCAGTGGCACGATCTTGGTTCACTGCCACCTCCGCCTCCCGGGTTCAAGCAATTCTTCTGCCTCAGTCTCATGAGTACCTGGGACTCGTGCCTGGGACGAGTACCAGGCACCTGCCACCATGCCTGGCTAATTTTTGTATTTTTATTAGAGATGGGGTTTCACCATATTGGCCAGGCTGGTCTCGAACTCCTGACCTTGTGATCCGCCTACCTCGGCCTCCCAAAGTGCCCGGATTACAGGCGTGAGCCACCGTGCCCAGCTGTACTTTTTTTTTTCCTAAACAGGAAATAGGTTAAGAGTTTTAAGAGCCTTTTCTAGATTTCAATCCCTAAATTACCTTTAAGGTGTTTCCTACAGGCTTCCTTACTTCTGTTTTGAAATTATTTAAGTTTATTTCTATTCTGTTTTCTTCCAAGATAGAGAATAATTTGTCACCATCATCTGTGGAACATTTTACATACTTAGGTAGTTGTCAGCTTTCTCACCTCTAACCTAAGCCATTAACTCCTTTGGCTTCTGTTAGAATATTCACAATTTTTTTTTTCTGTAGCAGCTCTAAAGTTTCTATTTCTTCTTTTTTGTTTTTTAAGAAAAAAATGTTAACTACTTGATGTTACAAGCATTATCATCTTGCATAAATGTATGGAAGACAGAAAAGCAGAAAAATAAAAGAAAGATTATCCATAATCGCACTATATTGGGGGTGTGTGTGTGTGTGTCTGTCTAATATTTTCTTTTTCTGGAAAAAACTTTTAAAAATTGAAATTCATATGCATGATAACATTCATCAGTATAAAGAGACAGTGTAAAGTGAGTCACCCTTACACCATAGATACTTAGATCATTTTTACAGAATTTCTCATTGCCAATTATTGTTTTTTGCGTTGCTTTTTTATGTTCTTTAAAATTATAAGCAAAAGGAGTAGCACATTATACACACATTGTCTTATAACTTCATAAAAACTTAATGTTTTGGAGGTTTCTTCCATATTAGCACATACAGGCTTGCTTTATTCTTTTTGTTGGTTACACAGGCAGTAGTCTTTTATAAGGCTGTGACTGCTTGATTTAGCAGTTCTTCAGTATTGTTCCAGTTTTCTTTTGCTATTAGAAAAAGGGATTGATGAATATACTTCCATACATGCATCTTGCTTTACACATGCAAAATGTTTGTAGAAAGATTCCCAAAAGCAAAATTTTGAGGTCGAAGGGTATATCCAGATAAAATTCTGTTGGATATTTCCCTAATTATTTATTCTTTCATATTCTCATTTTCTCTCTCTCCCTCCCCCTTTTCTTCTCCCTCCCCCTCTTCCTCTATCCCTCCCTTTCCCTTTTCTCTCTTTTTCTTTCCCTCCCTTTTCTTTTCTCTTTTCTCTTCTTCCTTTTTCTTCCTTCCCCTTTCCCTTTTCCTTCCTTCTGCTTCCTTTTTTTCCTTTCTTTCATTTTTTGACACCGAGTCTCACTCTGTTACCCAGGCTAGAGCGCAGTGATCATGGCTCACTGCAGCCTCGGCTTCTTGGGCTCAAGTGATCCTCCCACCTTGGCCTGAGTATCTGGGATCACAGGCTTGCCCACCACACCTGGCTAACTTTTTTTTTAATTTTTTTTTTTTTGAGATGGAGTCTCACTCTGTTGCCCAGGCTGGAGTGCAGTGGCGCGATCTTGGCTCACTGCAACCTCCGTCTCCCAGGTTCAAGCGATTCTCCTGCCTTAGCCTCCTGAGTAGCTGGGATTAGAGGCGCACACCACCACGCTCAGCTAATTTTTGTATTTGTAGTAGAGATGTGGTTGCACCATGTTGGCCAGGGTGGTCTCAAACCCTGACCTCAGGTGATCCGCCCTCCTCAGCCTCCCGCAGTGCTGGGATTACAGGCGTGAGCCACTGAGCCCGGCCACTTTTTTATTTTATTTTTTAAGTAGAGATGAGGTCTTGCTATGTGGCCACTTTTTTTTTTCTTTTTTTTTAAGTAGAGATAAGGTCTTGCTATGTTGCCCAAGCTGTTCTTAAACTCCTGGGCTCAAGCAGTCCTCCTTCCTTGACCTCCCAAAGTGTTGGGATTACAGGCATGAACCACCACACCTGACCCCTAATTGTTCTTTGAAAGGGAACTGTATCTAGACTGACTTAACCACCATGTTTTGTTTTGTTTTTTGAGACAGAGTCTTGCTCTGTCACTCAGGCTGGAGTGCAATGGTGCGATCATGGCTCATTGTACCCTCCGCCTCCTGAGTTCAAACGATTCTTGTGCCTCAGCCTCCAGAATAGCTGGGACTACATATGTGTGCCACCACGCTGGGCTAATTTTTGTATTTTTAGTAGAGATGGGGTTTCTCCATGTTGGCCAGGCTGGTCTTGAACTCCTGACCTCAAGAGATCCACCCGCCTCAGCCTCCCAGAGTGCTGGGATTACAGATATGAGCCACCGTGCCCAGCCCACAATGTTTAAAAATACTTATTTCTCCATATTTTTGTTCTTTCCTATGCTTGCTTAGTTTGATACAATTTGCAAAAGTATAAGCTTTTTTTTCTTTTTTATAGAAGCCATGCGTGTTCATTGTAGGACATCTAGAAAACAGAGATAAGAGTAAAGAAAAAAAAATGGAAATCACCGGCCAGGTGCTATGTTTCACACCTGTAATCCCAACACTTTGGGAGGCCCAGACAGGCAGATCATTTGAGCTTAGGAGTTCAAGACCAGCCCGGGCAATGTGGTGAAACCCTGTCTCTACAAAAATACAAAAATTAGCTGGGCATGGTGGGCTGAGGTCGGAGGATCACTTGAGCCCAGGAGCTGGAGATTGCAATGAGCCAAGATTGTGCTACTGTACTCCAGCCTGGGTGACAGAATGAGGGGGAAAAAAATGGAAATCACTAGTAATTTTACCACCCTAAGTAATAATAGCTGTTAAGACTTCTTTGAAGATGTTGTGCCTGCTTTGTTTCCCTCCGTGGCCCCAGCCTATGGCATGGTTTACAGAGGAGTGAATGAATATGTGCACAGCAAAAGGTGGACTCATTCTGTACATACTTGCCCACTCAGGTGTTCTCTCGGGTAGCCCTGCCTCATTCCCTGTGAAGCGTGGAAGGGAGGGGTGGTCTGTGTGTAGTCATCAGCCCATGTGCAAGTCAGCAGGCAGGACTCTTGTTTGCCCCAGGGCTGTGGCAGAATAATCTAAAGGTCGCTAGTCTACAGTGGTACATCACCAAGAAAAGTGATTCTTAAAAATCTCACTGATTTAGTGCTTTAAGATGTTGGTTACTTTGTCCTTGTACTCTTTCTATTCTCTGTTTACAAATGAATATTAGAGGGTCATGGTCACAAATGAGCATCATCAGTTACATGCTGTTAGTGTTTCTATCCTATAGCAAGTACTTTTTTTTTTTTTTGAGATGGAGTCTTGCTCTGTCACCCAGGCTGGGGTGCAATGGCACGATCTCGCCTCACTACATCCTCTGCCTCCCGGGTTCAAGTGATTCTCCTGCCTCAGCCTCCCAAGTAGCTGGGATTACAGGCTCCCACCACCACTCCTGGCTATTTTTTGTATTTTTAGTAGAGATAGGCGTTTCACCATGTTGGCCAGGCTGGTCTCGAACTCCTGACCTCAGGTGATCTGCCCGCCTTGGTCTCCCAAAGTGCTAGGATTACAGGCATGAGCCACCATGCCCAGCCCTGTAGCAAGTACTTAGATACTATTATTCATTTGTACATGTCTTACAATTTAAGTATAAGGGGAGAACCATTCATTACCTATAGTTTACTTTTTTTTAATAGCTTACTCTTAAAATAGAAAATTAAGTATGTTGTATATCTCTACCAAATTTTATAATGTAAGGACCAATTTATGCCCCTCTTAATGCTTAGATCTGTTGCTGATACAGGAATTCATTGAAAATACAATTTTCTTTTTCAGAAATATCCTGTATTGCCATACTTGGTTTTAGTATTGAAACAATTCCTATTGCAGAGGGACCTTAATGAAGTATTTACAGGTGGAATTGGTTCTTATAGTCTCTTTTTAATGGCAGTCAGTTTCCTTCAGGTAAGTCATATGGGTATAGCATGCTAGTGCACACTAAAAGCAAAAGTGATCAATCAGCTGGGAAACATTTTGGAAAAAATCGAAATCAACCTGTAATTGCATTGCTTTCCTTGATTACTTAACGGCTTTTCCCTTTAAACTGGGTACATTTTATCATTTAGCAAATATGTATTTTTAAATTCCTATGAAAGAATATTTTTGGTTTTAAATCCCATACATTCTAGTATTTTTGAGACTTTTCACTGCAAATTTTAACATGCAAAATGTACGGCCTGGTTTCCATAAGCATAAATAGTATAAATGCCAACAATAAGAATGTCTTCTAAGCAGCTAAATCTTGTAAGTTTAGTTGGAATTGAGACCAGCTATTTGGGTAAGCGAATTAGAGTCTTAGTATTGTAAGTGGGTATGTTTATGTGGCACAGGGTTGCCAACTGCCTGAGTCTATTCGTGAGTCAGAACGACTTTGCTGATGTGTTGGGCCAAGCCAGCCCTGGTTGGCAGCCTGGTGCAGCCGTAAAATTCAGCCTTACAAACAGTCTCCCGCCATTCCCGCACCATGGGACTTTAGTGTTGTGTGTAACAACAGTATAACCTGCTGTTAGCCCATTATCAACTGACTGCTATGCTAAACCAAAATTATAATAATATTGCTTGTAGAAGTTAGAATATAATTTATTCCCCCTCTCCTTGATAATTTAGCAAAAATCCAATATAATTTCTTCTTTTCTGCTTTTAGTTACATCCCAGGGAAGATGCTTGCATCCCCAATACAAACTATGGTGTTCTCTTAATAGAATTTTTTGAATTATATGGACGACACTTCAATTATTTAAAGACTGGCATCCGGATAAAGGATGGTGGTTCATATGTGGCCAAAGATGAAGTACAGAAAAATATGCTAGATGGCTACAGGCCATCAATGCTTTATATCGAAGATCCTTTACAACCAGGTATTGAAATTAGGTAAATTTGTGGGCATTCAAAGAGAGGGCACTGTCAGTCACCTTATTATACTTTAAATTCTCTTTAGATGAAAAATGAAGGAACAACTTCTAATTGTTATTCTTTTTTCATCGAAATATTTCATGAGCAAACATACTAAAATAAACAGACACAGACAATAGAAAAACACCTTGGAGACTTCCAGATAAGTAGGGAGTAGAATCTGTTTAACCCTAAAAGCATAGTAGAAAAGGCATTCACTTATTTGGATGGGTTCATGTTTGGTGGCTGTTTCTCCTTCTTGGGTCCTTATTGCCTTGATTACAACCAATTGTCAGCAATTAATGAGGCTTTAATGAGATGATTCTGAAGTCCTGAGAGGCAGCAAGCATAGTAATATATCTTTGAATTCATGAGCAGAAGGGTGCAAGGAGACAATGTATTTTCTTTTTGAATTTCTCCTTTCCTGTTTGATTTTGCATGTCTCTTTGTGCTTTTTCCAGCTTCATGTGGGCTTGAAAGTAAGCAGAAAGTAAATTCCTTCCATGCTTTTCTGAAGTTCTGTTTGCTTGCTTGTGTCCTGATTTTTGTGAGCAATATTTTTTCTTGATATAATTGTAAAATAGATTCTGCGTTATTGGACTTCAGTGGAAGTGCTTTTAGTCATTTGCTTTAATGTGTAAACTTTGAAAATGAGTAAGGAAAGGGGGTGAAGAGATAGAGTAGTTGCCTAGGAACCATTTTCTGGCTTATTGAGCTGCCTTATAAACATTAATAGTTCTATGTGTTTATTCATTGAGGAAACATTACATTGATTGGGAGCCTGCTCTGTTCAAAAGTATTGGGCCAAAGGACACGAAGACTTTTCAGCAAGACGATCCTTGCTTTTTAGGGGCTCATAATTTAGAGTGAGAAATAGATATATAGCTAATATAAACCCAAAAAATATAGAAGTATTTCTGATGTAACTTGGGGTTTCACTCTTAGGAGTGAACAGGGCACTATTTCTTTTGTTTGCATAACTGTTTATGTATGGAATGGGATAATTCTTGATGGGCCAGAATACATTCCGGCAACTGATACACCATAATGAAGTACCAACTGCATGATTCACATATTCAGAGACTGGGGAGCTTTGGGGACAGCTCACAGCTCAGCTTCCAGGCACAACTCTGGTGGGATAACTATGGCCCTTGCTCTCCTGGAAGAGAGTCATCAACATTTAGTGCATATTAAGCACAGTCAGGCTTACTATGTTACGTATATTTCTTTTAAAGGTAACGATGTTGGAAGGAGTTCATATGGGGCCATGCAAGTGAAGCAGGCCTTTGATTATGCCTACGTTGTTTTGAGTCATGCTGTATCACCAATAGCAAAGTACTATCCCAACAATGAAACAGAAAGGTAAAAGTTCATCTATAACCAGCCCATTGTGTCAAAATTAGTTGTGGCTTCTTATCTTCAAATTAATGTTATTCCCTCCCTCTCCCTTTCTTTTTAAACACATGCAGCATACTAGGTAGAATAATTAGAGTAACAGATGAAGTTGCCACATATAGAGATTGGATATCAAAGCAGTGGGGCTTGAAGAATAGACCTGAGCCTTCATGCAATGGTAAGATATTTTCCTTGGTCGATTGACTGAGTATTAGAGGCTTTTCTGTGTTGTGTGCGTTTAATGGGAAGAAACGTTTTCCAATCTTTTGCCACTCTTTCAGGAAATGGTGTTACCTTGATAGTAGATACTCAGCAGTTAGATAAATGTAATAATAATCTATCTGAAGAAAATGAAGCCCTTGGAAAATGTAGAAGTAAAACCTCGGAATCTCTTAGTAAACACTCTTCAAACTCTTCATCAGGTCCAGTGTCGTCCTCTTCTGCCACACAGTCCAGCTCTAGTGATGTAGTAAGTATGAAAGCCTCGGCTCTTCTGAACTCAGATGCATGCACGTTCTCTTGCTGGGGTTAACACTGTCTCGAAGGCTAAGGCTACTTCCTTTGCTTACATGTTACTGGGATATTTTAATAACTTTCATGCTTGTACATTTTCTCAACATTTTGTTATGAAAAAGTTCAAGCATATAGTAAAAGTGAACAAATTTTAGTGAGCATTCATGTACTCACCAGTAGATTCTGCTATTAACCTTTTACTTGCTTATGTCATACCTGTCTATCCATCACTCTATCCATTAATTCATCTTATTCTTTGATCCATTTCAAAGTAGATTACAGACATCAGTTCCCCTAGAGTACTGTAGCTTGTGCATCCTTGTAGCCAGACTCCAGTATTTGTTTATTGTTTTTTCCTTTTTTTTTTTTTTGAGACGGGATCTCCCTCTGTCACCCAGGCTGGAGTGCAGTGGTATGATCTCGGCTCACTGCAACCTCCGCCTCCCATGTTCAAACGATTCTCCTGCCTCAACCTCCTGAGTAGCTGGGATTACAGGTGCGTACCACCATACCCAGCTAATTTTTTGTATTTTTAGTAGAGACGGGGTTTCACCATGTTGGTCAGGCTGGTCCTGAACTCCTGATCTTGTGATCCACCCGCCTCAACCTCCTAAATTGCTGGGATTACAGGCATGAGCCACCACACCTGGCCTTTAACGTTTTTCTTTTCTTTTCTTTTCTTTTTTTTGAGACGGAGTCTTGCTCTGTCACCCAGGCTGGAATGTAATGGCATGATCTTCACTCACCTCAACCTTCGCCTCCTGGGTTCAAGCGATTCTCCTGCCTCAGCCTCCTGAGTATCTAGGATTACAGGCATGTGCCACCACACCCAGCTAATTTTTTGTATTTTTAGTAGAGATGGGGTTTCACCATGTTGGCCAGGCTGGTCTCGAATTCCTGACCTCAAGAGATCCACCCGCCTCAGCCTCCCAAAGTGCTGGGATTACAGGCGTGAGCCCAGCTGTTATGACTTTTTAACACCATAGTTAGTTTTGCCTGTTTCAGAATTTCATACAAATGGAACCACATAGAATATAGTCTTGTGTAAGGCTTCTTTCACTCAATTTTTTTTCAGCTTTCTGGTTGAATTTTTTGTTGTTGTTGTTTTGTTTTGTTTTTTGAGACGGAGTCTCGCTCTGTCGCCCAGGCTGGAGTGCAGTGGCGCGATCTTGGCTCACTGCAAGCTCCGCCTCCCGGGTTCATGCCATTCTGCCTCAGCCTCCCAAGTAGCTGGGACTACAGGTGCCCGCCACCACACCCGGCTAATTTTTTGTATTTTTAGTAGAGCCAGGGTTTCACCGTGGTCTTGATCGCCTGACCTCATGATCCGACTGCCTCGGCCTCCCAAAGTGCTGGGATTACAGGCGTGAGCCACCACGCCTGGCCAAATTTTTTTTTAGTTGAGATATAGTTAACATAAAATTCAGCATTAAAAATGTACAATTCAGTGGTTTTTAGAACATATTCACAATGTTGTGCAGCCATCTCCAGTAATTCTAGAACATTTCCATCACCCCAAGAAGAAACCCTGCATTTAGCAGTAGTTTCTTCTAATTCTTCCTTCCCTCCCTTAACCTCTGGTAACCTCTAATCTACTTTCTCTTTCTATCCTGATAGAATTTTTTTTGTTCCCCCATCCTGATAGAATTTATGTGTCAATTATAATGTAAGTTACCTTTTAAAATCAAAGTGAATTTGTAGTGTACTGATTTGAGATCTAAAGCAGGCTTACCTGTTTGAGTTTAACTTTATTAAGTGTAGGACATGAAAAGTAATCTAAATATTGTATGTTGTTGATGATGACCATGTGTCAATATGGAATCATAAATCCTCCTGTGCAGAATCTCCCTGTGTGCTTTTTTGGTTCCTAGAGCAGTATGCTTTGGAGGACAGAAGCCAAGCTAGATGTCACAGACACAGGGAGATGGAGTGTTGGGGACTGAGAGAATGTGACTCTGACATGCTGGGTAGAGTGCCAGGGCCAGGGTGGAGACCTGCAGAGAGACGTAGCATTGTCATGGCCCATGCAGCCCAGAAATAGGTGGAGCTCAGCCCACTGTCGCGGGAAGTCCACCCCCACCCACACCAGTATGTTTGGTTAGAATGATCACTGATTTGTCATCACAGACTCTCAGAGATTGAACCCCTTAAACCCATCATCTTGTGTCTGGCTGAAGCCAGGGACTAGGACCTAGGTTCCTCACTCTTTACCATACTCTTTCATTTTCTATAAATAAAAAAACAAATAAACTTAGACCTCTGTGAGCTCCTTCAAGGTCAGATGTGGGCAGTGGATTTAACAATGAACAGAAGCTCTCTGATAAAATCAGTCATTTTAAATGTTTGGAGGAAAATTTAAACAAACAGTTAATTTTTTGTGTGCTTCTTTTAACTCCCAAATGTTTAAATTTAGTCCAGAGAGTACTTTAACCAAAATTGTTTTTCTTTCTGAATATTGAGTATCTAAATTACTAATATGTCACATTATAACTCACGTGACTTGTGTTAGGATTCCGATGCAACACCATGCAAAACCCCGAAACAGCTGCTTTGCCGTCCGTCCACTGGGAACCGAGTAGGGTCGCAAGATGTATCCTTGGAGTCCTCTCAGGCAGTTGGGAAAATGCAAAGCACCCAAACCACTAACACATCCAACAGCACCAACAAATCTCAGGTGTGTGGAACGTGGGTTTTTAATTGTTAGTATTTGATACAAAATATTTAGAATTTCCCACATGTAAATAATATGCAGCATGGGTTTGAAGAAAACGCTAGATTGAAGAACAAACTTATTTTATTCTAAGAGGTTCCAACACATGACAGTGCTTCTAGGAACAGGATGTCCTAAGGATCCTTGTGAGACACCATTGTAACATAAATCTCTTCAGGAATCTATTGACTGGTCCTTATAAGATGTTCCAGCCAAACTACCATATAAAAAGTGTCTCAGTTGTACATGAAATAAGCTGGCATGAAGGTTTTGTGAGGCCTCATGGCAGTGTGCATATCTGGGAATAATGTATCCTTTTCTAATATTTTAATGTTCAATACCTTGTTGCTGGTGTTGAAATGATCAGCTGGCTGTCAGGCGTGGTCAGTTGATTAACATTAGCTTGGACTTAAAAGGCCACAGAGATACTCTAGTTTAAGTTTTTTTGTTGCCTAGAATTGTCATTAACTGAGTAATGACTCAGAGTGAGGGGAGGAAGCCATTGATATGGGGCTCTGGCCTAAGGCTGGGTCACTCCTCACTATAGCTGGGAACCTGGGAATAGGCCTCTTGGCTGTAACCTTGTGTCTGATTTGACTCACTGAGTTCACTTTACCTACGCGGCCTTAGCCATGTATGCCAGACACAGACTTATCACAAAATACCAGTTCAAGTGACAGGGTTGACAGAAGGGACTGAGGTCACGAGAAAGCCACAGGCCATGAGTAGCAGGAAGGGAGTAGCCACCTGTGCTGACCCAAACCTACCAGTGTGCCTGTCATGCCCAAGAGCCTCTTCCCGCTCTGTCACTTATGATGTGGTGTTTGGGTTGGTAAGTTTCTTAAGAAAACCTTTGCATCCCACACACTGTTAAGAAGGCGGGCGAGTGGTCTATGCTTTTCATTATTTCCATTAAAATAAAGTAAGGGTTTTAGAGCTAAAAAGAACCCCTGTAACAGCTTTTTCTGCCCACTAGATAAGTCAGTGATCAGTAAGGTAACAATCTAGCCAGCATATTCCTAGTTTTGAAAGCTTCCCCAAATCCAGGTGTTTGAGAACACTCTGCTTTTCTGCAATACTGATGTCTTTGTGGTCGTTTTCTGTTTCTGCAGCATGGATCAGCAAGGCTCTTTCGTTCTTCCAGCAAAGGCTTCCAAGGTACAACTCAAACAAGCCATGGTTCCTTGATGACAAACAAACAACATCAAGGCAAATCCAATAATCAGTATTACCATGGCAAAAAGAGGAAACACAAGAGGGACGCGCCCCTCTCAGACCTCTGTAGATAGTCAGCGCTGCGCGGTGGACTGTCTTCTCTGTGCAATGATCTCATGCTCAGGACAGTTGCGCAGGGACTCCTGGGAGATATTCAGGAGCCTCACACTGTTCAGACGTTGACTTAGCAACTGCGTTTTTTCCCAGCTCGCCACAGAATGGATCATGAAGACTGACAACTGCAAAAAAAACAAAACAAAACAAAAAAAAAAGCAAGCAAAAAAGAGGGAAAAAAAAGGCTGCTTATTTGATAAGTCATATGCTACAACAGGGTCATTTTAAGATTTAAAGCTTGAATGTAAAATAAATATATTTCTCATTGGCTTTATGCAGAGTTATAGGGAATAGTATTCAGTGTTGGTAGGGTGATAGAAACAAAAAACAGTATCAGAGGATGAGGTGGGGAAGGAAAACAAAGGTATCTGATAGGAAGTCCAGATTCCAAAGGGGAAAGTGATCTGTGCATGTTTTTTTTTTAAATATTTTTGCATATATTTACCATTTTATTGTGTGTATATATAGAAGACCATATAGGAGATTGATATTTGTAATAGTGGATTTGTTAATAATACTTTTTACATAACATTACTGTTTAAATTGTAAACAGATTTTTTCTCAGGATTAGTTTGAAAAATAATCTAAATTGTCATCTTAACATCCATATATAGGGAAGTGATTAGTTCTATTACTCAATTTGTTTTTCTCAGCATTGAAATGACTTAATAGAACCCTTGTGTCCTGCTGCAAAAATTTTTCCTCTCTAAAGAAAAGGTTTATGGTGGCAAATGATGTTTATTTTATTTTGTAAAAAAAAAAAAATGTACTATGTACTTTTGTGTAAACACTGAAAAATCTCTGGTCATCTCCGAGAATTAACTTGCAACTGTTTTCTATAGTGCTGTCGTCTTGGGCAATGGGCAATTACATGACTTTGTGTTTGCTTCCTTTGCAGTCTTTTTTTTTTCCCCCCATTTCTTCCTAATAGGAAAAAAAAAAAAAAAAAGGTCACCCATGTCTGGTCTCATTCCTGTTGCAGTGAAACTTCGAGTTCCACAGACTTTGCATGCTGGCTTCTCTAACCCTGTGTGCTGCGTGTGCCTGTTTCTCATCTCTTATTCTTTTTAAAATTCATGCTTAACTACTGTGGGAGAATAACTGTAAACAGCTTTAATTAAATCATACTTATAAAAAACTATTTTCTTATATTCCACTCTATGCTTTTGGTATTGTTGATCTTTACAAATTAAATGGTCTTTGATAATGGATCTATTTTGTATTGCCTTATTAAGACCAAATACTTCTTGTCATCCCATTCTTTATCCTCTTCTTTCATGGAATTGTTATCGTTAATTAAAACTTTTTTAAACATTGGCTTGTTTCAATCATACTGTAAATTTTGGTTGTAGTCAGCTTTGAGTGCAATGAGATGTATAATTCTGTTATCATTACCTGTTGAGTTTGAAACTCAGTTGGGAATATTTAATATAATAGAATGTAAGTGACATTTCTGAAAATGCTTTCTTTCAGGGTGAAAGCTCTTATGTTTAGCATCAATGTGTATGGCTCTGTTAAATGCAGCCATTTCTGAGACGAGATTCTTTTATATATATATACATATAAAGTACTATTGGCTTTTAGGAGTTTCTTTTATATACATTTATGAAATACTGAAGACCAATCAGACCATTAATGGACACTTAGTGTAACTTTTTATAAAGAAAATAATGCTAAAGTAAGACCAAAACTGATGTCATCACTGAAATTAACAATTTTCAATATGTTCATATTTTAATTCACAATGGAAAAATGTGTTCCAAAACTGGAAACTCATAGTACTCGTGTAAACTGTGGAAGATTTCAAATGTGATGTTATTTTGACAATGTTTTAAATTTTAGAGTCACATTTTATTCTGATCAGAATTTTTATTGAGATGTTGAGCTTTTGTTTTTGAAACTAGTTTGTCATAACATTGTGCATAATCACAGTATTTATTTTCTAGGACAATTGTGAATGTGTAGACTTATGTTTACTGCTAAGGGAACAATTATTTATAAAATAATATTAAATCCAGTATTAGCTGCCTATTTCAGACACTTAATACTTGCAGAGATCTATGTTACATTTACCACACTGAAGTTTTTTTTGTTGTTTTTTGTTTGTTTTTAAAGAATCACCCTCATTGTTGAAAGTAAATGTACTCTTAGGGTGCGAATATTAGTGTTCCAATAAGCATGTGATTATATTAAGGTGGTGGTAGCGGGAAGATAATTCTGATTCCATTGGGAATCTTAGGTTTTCGTAAATTTATTGGGAAAATAGTTTTTCCTGTACTGCTGAAGTTTCTTTTTGGTAAACAGTATCTTTCTAAAAGAAAAAAGCATGAAGGAGAAATTGAGGTGTGTATACATTTCCTCAAATGACCAGCATTGTATTCGTGAATACTGTGTATCTTGCAGTGAACAGTGTGGAAGCTGTTCATTTTTCAATCTGAAGTAAAATACTTTCAAGAACTTTTAGTTTGCCTGCTCATTTGTTTTATACATTTCATCTATTTGACTCCTATCTTATTTCTTTTTTGAGTTTTAATACTTCCTATATTTTGTGAATATATCAGAAATGTGTCATTTATATATTAGAGTCCATTCATATCCATGAATCATAACCTTCCTTTGCTAATACTTGTTGAATGGGATTTTACAAATTCTCCCTCACTCTGGTGACATTTCTCAGGCAGTCATGTATGTGTACCTGGCCATTAGAAATATTAATATTTAAAGACTGTTTTTTAGAGGAGCTGATGGGTTGGTGAGGTGTCAGCACAAAATCTTACTGGTTATGTTTTGATGATAAAAGTATATCCATTTTTTCCCTCCAGCTTTAAGGTGACTGTGAAGGTGCCTGGTTTTGAATGTCTTTGTTTGGTTTGGAGATGTCGCACTCAGTTTTCAAATCTAGCTTGGATCTGTAGGACCTATGTTTTTTACAAGTAATTGCCCTCCAGTCTTCAACAGTTGATTCTGTTTTATTTTTATCCTGTTTTGAGTGTACTTTACCTTTACTTGCATTTTGAGCCTCATTAATATTTAGGTTATTTGATTTGGCTCCAGATATTCCTAGATCTGCACAGGGCAAAACATGGGCTATAGGGTGAGCATTTTTAATTGTCTTTTTCTGCTGGAACCTTATATCTCTCCATGTGTTTTCTGCTCCTTCCCTCCCCCATGAAATGGTAAGTGTGACTTGTGTTTGCCTGAACCTGTGGACTAGTGTTTGGGGTTTCTGGAAACACTAGAGGGTCAGAAAAGAGTAATGACCACCGTGACGTGCAGGATTCTCTTGCTGTGACATGTTCATTGCAAAGCCCTCTCCAGTGACTAGGAGGTGTAGTTATTAAGGTTGATCTGTTAGAAATCACCATTATTAGGTATTAGTGGTAGATGTTGCTGATACTTTTATTGGTCATGACTACATCTCAGTTTTACTTTAATATTGATCTATAGTTTGATCAGTTCCTTGAATTCTAATATGTTGATTTCTCAGTGTTTCTGTCACTAACCAAGAATGTTTCTAGGCAGTTGGTTGCTTCACAGTCAAAACTAAATGGTAAACTATCAAAAATACATTCCCAATTTTGCTGTGATAAATATTGAAATGTTAAAATTAATGAACAGAAGAATTTATTCTTACCCATCTATTCTTGTTCTCCTAGTTCATTAAACTTTCAGTTATTGGAAAGGCACATTCTCAAAGTATTTTATGAGCAAAATATTCTATAAATGCGTCTAACAAACCTAATTGAATATAAAAGTTATATTTAGTAGTTACTGTTGATAGTAATTTTCATCAGGGTCATAGTTCATCTAGTAAAATATTTAGAGAATGATGTTAACATTCCAGCATTAAAGTGGGAACAAAGATTTATATATGAAATTCCTTAAAAGAGTTCATCTTGCCTTGGTTTCTGACCCTCAAGACTCTAGCTACCTGCCATCTTGTCAAAACATTTGTGGGTAGAATAAGTGTTAAAGATCAAATTTTAATATGCTTCTCGATATTTAACATAGCTAAGAAGCCAGATTTTACTGTAGAAGTTATTTACATGATTTGAAAACTTGACCTAACTGGAAGCCTTTTTCTCAGTCATCTTGTTCTAAGCCATCTTGACTTCACACCCTTAGCGACTTTTCTTTTTTTTTTGGTCAAAGATAATGAGCTAAATATATATAGACGTTGAATGTTGACAAAATTATTAACCAGAAAAATTGCTTATAAAGGCTGCTGATCTATTTGATACCTAGAATTAAATATTTGAGGACAGTTTTTAGTTAATAAACTGCTAATGTTTATTTTACTGTCTCTCAGGTTTTTGGTTTTTTTAAAAAAAATGTGTTTGGCCTTTACATTTTCTACTTAAGTGTGTACTTTATTGAGTTTAACCTTGTCTGTAGCCTAGTAGCCTGAAAGAAAAGGAGACAGAACCAGAGAGATGGATGTAGTGCATTCCCTTTGGTTATTACACATTTGTGGTAGCTCCTGGATTTACTGAGAGATATTTTAGCTATGTCAATAAGAACAGCTAATGATGTGGAAATCAGGTGTTCTCTTGTGTATTTCAGTGAACATTTTTATTAGTAGTTGCATATCATCTCTAGTTCCACATTTTAACTTAACGTCTTTGTGGCTTCACCACTGAGCTACCTTTCACTACACCAGCTTCTGTGTGGCCTGGTAACATGGAAGGTCTCTCCTAAGGACAGTCTGGACGTATTTTGGGGGAATGTTATTTATCTTAAAGATGCCTAGAAACAAAACGCATATAGTACCAGTGAGAAACTATGAAGTAAACAAGTTGCTCAGGCCGGGCATGGTGGCTCACGCCTGTAATCCCAGCACTTTGGGAGGCCGAAGCGGGAGGATGGCTTGAGGCTGGGAGTTTGAGACCTTCATCTCTTAAAAAAACAAACAAAAACCTGAATGGTGAGGTGTGGTGGAATTGGGTAGGGGAGGGAAAGGAGGACTTGGAAAAGCATTCTCCAAAGCCAGCAACTTGGTGAAGTTCAGTACTTGCCTCTTAGAGGTTAGGCCATGCCTTTCAAAGAGAGTGAAATGATGGGTTATCAGCCACATTCTTGGAGTTAATATTTTTCTTCATCTTTCAGTTTGGGTTCTGTGCTATTCATAGTTCTTCCCTAAGACCATTTCATTATTACCTTTTATATTTAGTTGCAATTTATTATAATATGTTGTTTTGTCCCTGAACTTAATCTCCTAATTTTAAGATCCTCTCTGATTTTTGCATATTGAAACTTACAGAAGTCACTTTAAAAAAGTCTTTTGAAAGTCCTACAATCCTAAAATAAATCACAAGCTTGTTTGTTAGACGTGTCAAGAGTCTCCAGTCTTTACTACTAAAAAGCAGCACTGCCTTAACACACATTGTTATGGGTGAAAAGTGAGGGACGACCAGTGTAGTTTCTGGATATAAAGTGTGAAGGACTGTTGAGTTAAACATTTTTAGTGGAATATACATAGATAACGTGTATTTAGAAACTTTGGTGAAGCCAGTATTTGTTTTTAGTAACCTTTTTATGTATTTCCTTCTTTGATTAGCATTGTCTTCAGTGTTAAGAAATGTGGACTCCTGTGAGGTGCTGGAGGTTTGAATCATCTTGAAAACTTTCCAATCTTGTCTAGTTACCACTGCAGAGACACTAAGGAATTTACCAGAAAAAGATATTTGATACAAGTGATTTAAGAAATCTCAACATTTCCTGAGGCCGTATCACTGGGCAACCAGTGATGAAAACTATGAATGAATTGCACACCTGGAAGATTTTTTAAGCTAATGACAGTTTCTTCAAAGATGTCAATTATTTGCCTTGGAAATTTTATAAATTGCATTTCTATGCACATCGGCCTCTAGTGCTTACCACTCGGTTTATTATTCATAATCTGCAATTCAATAAAGGCTTTGTGTTTTCATTTATCTTCAAAACCACTGGTATGAGCCCTTATGTAAAACCTGAATGACTACTTTTTCTAAAAAAAATTTAAAGACAGCTCTGTTTAGGCAGGTTTTCTTGTGCACATATGGCATTTCTGTGGCTGGTTCTCTAAGCTGGATCTCTAAGCTAGTTCTCATCCTTTTTAATGCTAGTACTGGGAGATGCTTGAGGATGCTGTTTTCATCCTACTCTGTCCTAGACAATATTTGGCCCCCACAACAGCCATGGAAGATTATAGAAATTGATCTCATAGAATTTGGTTATTCACAAATACCAGCCCAGTTTCACCCTCTACTTTAATGCAGGGGATTATGCCTGCTATACTAAGAAAATGAAATGCATTACCATAGGTTGGGCAGAGCAACAAGTAACAGATCATTACAACAGAATAATGAAAATAGTTCTCCAGAGAACCGAGAGAGGCAGGGTTAGTAACCAAAGTGCAGCCTAAGGCGTGTCTCAGAATTCTCCCTCAGCAGGGGAGGATTTGGTTTAGACTGGTCTGTCTGCCTGGGACCCAGCTGAGCGGTGGCCAAAAAAAAATCCTGGATAGTTTCCTGTAAGATAGTCCCAAACTGGCTTAGAGTGAAGGTGCTCAGCAGCATGTAGACAACTGGCGGGTGAAACCAGACTGCCCACTCCAGCGCGATGTCTTTTTTTTCCCCCCCTTTTTTTTCTTGAGACAGGGTCTCACTCTGTCATCTAGGCTGGAGTGCAGTGGTGCCATTCCAGCTTACCGTAGCCTCAACCTCCTGGGCTCAAGTGATCTGCCCACCTTGGCCTCCCAAAGTGCTGGGACTACAGGTGTGAGCCACCACACCTGGCCGATTGCTGCTGCTTAAACCTCTGCTGCAAGTGCTCACTTAAAAAAGGCAAAAAAAAGCAAAATCCTTCGAAATATTATCCCAAAAGTTTCTCAAATATGATAGTAGAGAATGAACTGAATATCCATGACAATTTTGTCCATCTACCTAGACATAGTGAATTATTTCACAAGTAACATATGAATGTATGTTTTATTGTGAAGAAATGTAAACACTTAAGTAAAAGGATCTAGCTGCACTTCAATCCCTAATCCCACTCATCAACCCAAACCCATCCATCTTAATATTATGGGACGTATCCTAGATTTTTTTTCTATGCATTTGTACACATGAACAAGTATAATTTTAGGGGGTCTTTTATCCTTTAACACAAATGGGATCGTATTGTAGTTTTCTGCAACTCCCTTACCATATAAAGATGTGTTTCCAGGTCAGTACACATGGAGATATATTTCATTTCCTTTTTATTATGCTGACTTTAGCTTGCAAGTTGCTTTGGTAAATTAATGTGTCAGACACATCAAAGCTAACAAATTAATAGAAATATCCAGTATTTTTCAGCTTCCCTTTTGTTTTTAGAGAGAGGGTCTTGCTCTGTTGCCCAGGCTTACTGCATCAGCTTACCTTGAATAGGGATTTTCTAAAGTACTGCTATTTGATGACAATTTTCTTCTGAACCCATTTTACTAAGGAAAAAAACTTTCCCACAGTTTTACATGTAAAAAAAATTTTTTTTTTGGCCAGGCATGGTGGCTCATGCCTGTAATCCTGCACTTCGGGAGGCCAAGGTGGGAGGATCGCTTGAGGCCAGGAGTTCAAGACCAGCCTAGGCAACATGGTGAAAACCCATCTCTATTAAAAAATACTAAAATTAGCTGGATGTGGTGGCATGTGCACATAGTCCCGCTACTCTGGAGGCTGAGGCAGGACATTCGCTTGAACCCAGGAGTCAGAGGTTGCACAGAGCTGAGATCACATCACTGCACTCCAGCCTGGGCAACAGAGACTCTTTGAGACAGAGATTCTGTCTGAAAAAAAAAAAAAAAAAAGAAAAGTGAAGAGATGGGGCGGGGGCGCGGTCTCACCATGTTGCCCAGGAACTCCTGGCCTCAAGTGATCTGCTCATCTTGGCCTCCCAAATTGCTGGGATTACAGGCATGCATCACCACACCTGGCCGGTTTTACATTCTTTTAAGTTGAATTTTCATGACTTGCTTTGAAAACTGTTTCATTTGATATTTTTGCTAGGTTTAAATGTTATAAATATAACATGGTCATCTGAAACAGTGCTTTGCTATTTTTTCTATACTTTATTTCCACTTTTTAGAATATGTCACCCTTGGCAAAACTGATGAAACAGTTACATTGGTCATTCACCACGTACCCCTTAAAAATCTTTTAATTTCAAGACCCTCCAATAACTGCAGCAGCAACAATTAAAACTCCCACTGAAAATAAGTTACCTGTCTTAGCCAGGTGTGGTGGCATTCGCGTGTAGTCCCAGCTACTCAGAAGACAGGCTGGAGGACTGCTTAAGCCTAGAAGTTGGAGGCTGCAGTGAGCTACGATGGTGCCACTGCACTCCAGCCTGGGTGACAGAGTGAAACCCTGTCTCTAAAAGAAAACAAATAAGTTATCAAAAAAAAGTAGGATGGAATTAATTTTATGATGAGTAGAGGGACGGAACTCAGGTGAGAAAAAGAATCCAGTTTTGGGGGACAGAGAAGGCAGAGTACTGCCTCAGATTTTGTTGGGAAAATCTGTGGGAAAATATGTTGGAAAAGAGAGGAGGATAAAATGTAGCTGTGGGACTGATCTCCCTAAGCCAGAGCAGTGCAATGATAGGTTTTTAAGGAGATATTTTCCTTAAAATCACTTTCTTAGGCTCTCATTATGTGACTGTAGAATTTCTGCTTTAATTGGCCGGGTGTGATGGCTCACGCCTGTAATCCCAGCACTTTGAGAGGCTGAGGCGGGTGGATCACTTGAGATCAAGAGTTCGAGACTAGCCTGGCCAACATGGTGAAACCCTGTCTCTACTAAAAATACAAAAATTAGCTGGGTGTGGTGGCACGTGCCTGTAATCCCAGCTACTCAGGAGGCTGAGGCAGGAGAATCGCTTGAACCTGGGAGGCTGAGGTGGCAGCGAACCGAGATCACACCACTGCACTCCAGCCTGAGTGACAAAGACTCTGTCCCCCCCCCAAAAAAAAAAAAAAAGAATTTCTGCTGTAATTTCTATTCTTTGGAAAAGTCTTTTCTCGGGGCTGGGGTTCTCCCTGTGTTGCCCAGGCTGGCCTCGAACTGCTGGGCTTAAGTGATCCTCCTGCCTCGGCCTCCTAAGTAGCTGGGATGACAGGCATGTGCCACCACACTCAGCTCAGTAAGTGCATTATGAGATGTACTATGTTTACCAGTTTGGCTTAGGAATGCAATCTTTGACTTTGAAGTTGGAAGAATTTCACCTTTTAACCTTTCAAGTAAAATGCTTTATATTTCTTGCTTGTCTAAAGAAACCATGTTAAACCCAAACTAATAATCTAATAATTCATTTGAGAAGTAGTATAAATTTGTGTGTGTGTGTTGCAGAAGACCTTTTTTCTTGTATTGTAAATTGACAATATATAATTATGTATGTGTGTGCAAGTGCATGTGTGTGTTAAAGCAAGTAACTACTATTTGAAAATGTGAGAGTAAAATTTTGTTGAAGAGGAACCATCCAACGCACAGCTGAGACTAGAGGTAAAAATGCCTTAATGTTTAATGTCAACATTAAAAGGAAAGGAGAGAGTTATTAAAAGTAGCAAGTGGCTTATTTAAATGGTGTATCAATTTTCAAAAGAGTTATTGCTCAATTTAGATTGTAAACCACTTTGGTACTTAAATCACTCAACAGGTGGCCTCGGGAATGTGGCTTTCCACAGCACCCTTCAAAATAGTCACAAGGTGGGTTACGCCACACATCTTTGTTTTTAAGAGTCCAATTTAAGAAAATTGTGCTTTCACGTGCCAGACATCAGTGCCTAAGATGTCTCTGCAGGGAGATGTGAGGTTAGCAGGTGGCACAGGGAAGCCTGTTGAGACAGGTGCTTAAGCAACACGGCAGGGCACAGGGAGGGCTGCAGAGGTGCTGGGGAGGTGGGCTGGGCCCTGCCAAGACAGGTGAAAGCAGGTGGATAGGACTAGGGCACCAGTTTTGTCACAGTTTAAACACAAATAGTGTTTTATTTTATTTTTTTTAAATAGATAAGTCTGGCTGTCTTGCCCAGGCTGCAGTTCAGTGGCTATTCATAGGTGCTATCATAGCACACTATAGTCTGGAGATCCTGGGCCCAAGCCATCCTCCCACCTCAGTCTCCCAAGCAGCTGGGACTACAAGCACTTTGTCCCCCATCCCTCCTTCTACTTTCCCCCTTTTCTAAGGCAGCTATTTCCAACTTTTTGTGTTTTTCTGAGGTGCTGTGTTTACCTCCATGTCTCTAAATAATAGACCTCTATTGCCACGTCTTGATTCTTGATTTTTAGTTCTTGAAATTGTGTTGACTTCCTGCCACCCCTGAACTGCTTCTGTGCCCTAGCCTCCCAATAGAGTTAAAATGAATTTCGTTTAGCTCAATAGTCAGTGTTCACATTATAGTGACTGTGTAAGGGCTGTTCTTATCAACTGAGCTGTGTAATATTTCTTTATTTATCATTTTAAATTTTTTTTGAGGCAGGGTCTTGCTCTGTTGCCCAGGCTAGACTGCAGTGGTGCAATCAAGGCTCACTGCAACCTCAACCTCCTGGGCCCTAGTGATCCTCCCTGCCTCACTGTCTGATTTTTTTTGTTTTTTGTTTTTTGGTTTTTTTTTTTTGAGACAGAATCTTGCTCTGTCGCCCAGGTGGGAGTGCAGCAGGGTGATCTCAGCTCACTGCAACCTCCGCCTCCTGGATTCAAGCAATTCTCCCTCCTCAGCCTCCTGAGTAGCTGGGATTACAGGCATGTACCACCATGCCCAGCTAATTTTTGTATTTTTAGTAGAGATGGGGTTTCACTATATTGGCCAGGCTGGCCTCAAACTCCTGGCCTCAAGTGATCCACCCGCCTTGGCCTCCCAAAGTGCTGGGATTACAGGTGTGAGCCACTGTGCCCAGCCTGAACTGTGTAATATTTCTTTTTCCGTGCAAGTTCTTTTTGTTTTTCCTGAGTTTTTCTTTTCCATGTTGTTTACTAATTCCCCCTAAACTATGCCAATGTTCTAAGCCCCTCCAAATGCTTAGCACATAAGGTATTTTATCACTGTCATCTTCTCAGAGGCACTTGTCCTGGAGTTTCTGGCCAGCTGTGCCCAGCACACAAACTTCATCCTAAATGACGCTTTTCTTCCATGCATCCCATGGGGCAGCTCCTCTCCTATGTGTCTTATGTTTCCCTCTTTCTTGATAAACTGTTTCCTTTCATTGGTGCTCATCCCCCAGTAGCTTTCTGGAAGCGTGCAGGCAGTAGACATCCGAAAATATTTTTGTTCTTCATTTACACTCAATTGTTAGCTTGGCTGGATATAGAATCCTGAGTTGAAAACATCTTTCCTCCAGAATTTGAAAACATTGCTTCATCACTCCCAGCGTTGTTGTGAGAAGTCTAAAGCTAGTTGTAACCTTTCTTTTTGAAACTTTTGGGATCTCCTCTTTGTGTTCTGAAATGTCACTATTATGAAAGTTAGGCGAGTCTGTTTTCATCTACTGCACTGGGAACTTGATGTGATGGGGCATCTGATGTGGTACTGCATGTCCTTCAGTCCTGGGAAACTTCTGGAATTATTTTTTCCCCTCCTTTCTGTTTTCTCAGGAACTCCATAACTATTCAGGTATTGCATCTCCTGAACTGATCCTCTCATTTTAGCTTTTCTTCTCTATTTTCCATCTCTGACTTTTTGTTCCACTTCCAAACTTTCTGTTGTTTTTAAATTTCTGTTATCATGTTTTTACTTTCCAAGTCCTTTTCTTGGCCCCAGATGTTCCTTGTTAAAAAAAATAGTATCCAATTTTGTTTCCTAGTTACAATATAGGTTTGGAATCTCTGAGGATATGAATGGTATCATTTTGTTAGGTTGTTGTCTACCTGCATAGTCCCTGTTAGCTTTTTTCTCATTTGTTGTTTTGGACTCTCTGTGGGGTTGAGGCTGTCCATGGATTTCTGGTGATTCCTGGTTACCTGCACATATTTAAGAGCTGGGGGGAAGCTCTGTCAATCAATATGGCTAAGTCAGTGGTGTGCTTCTGTAAGAATTAGCAGGCTGTGGGGTTCCCCAAAGAATTCCTCCAGCCTGGGGGTAAGGCTCTGGGCCACCAACATCCTGGGAGCTGAGGGTGGAAGAGGGCTAGTGTGAGGTGGGGGGAGGCGTGTGTCCCAGCCTTCCATGTGAATTTGCCTTTAAAGTTTTCCTGTTTTCAGTTGGGTAGCCCTGCCCACAGCTGGGCTTGGTGTTCCCCAATTCAGAGACTGTCTATTTTACCTTCTTCCAGAGAAAAGGCTTACCGGTTCCTGCTGGGGTAGGGGAAGGACTGGCACTCTTAGCTGCTTCTTAAATTTTCTTTTTTTTTTTTTCTTTTGAGATGGAGTTTCACTCTGTTGCCCAGGCTGGAGTGCAGTGGCATAATTTCAGCTCACTGCAACCTCTACCTCCTGGGTTGAAGCAATTCTCCTGCCTCAGCCTCCTGAGTAGCTGGGATTACGGGCATGCACCACCACACCCGGCTAATTTTTGTATTTTTTTTTTTTTTTTTTTAGCCGAGATGGGGTTTCACCATGTTGGCCAGGCTGGTCTTGAACTCCTGGCCTCAAGTGATCTGCCCGCCTCAGTCTCCCAAAGTATTGGGATTACAGGCATGAGCCACCTGGCCTTCTTCCCTTTTCTAATTAGAAATTATGGTTGAGCGCGGGGCCTCACACCTGTAATCCCAGCACTTTGGGAGGCCAAGGTGGGTGGATCACCTGAGGTCAGGAGTTGGAGACCAGACTGGCCAACATGGTGAAAACCCATTTCTACTAAAACTACAAATATCAGCCAGGGGTGGTGGCGGACATCTGTAATCCCAGTTACTCCGGAGGCTGAGGCAGGAGAATCGCTTGAACCCAGGGAGGTGGAGGTTGCAGTGAGCCAAGATCGTACCACAGCATTCCAGCCTGGGCAACAGAGAGACTCTGTCTCAAAAAAAAAAAAAAAAAAAAACCTCATGAGCAGTATTGCCTGTGCTTAGGCACTCACTGAGCTTCTGTCCTGTGGCGAGCACCACTGGAGGAAGTGTGGGAAAGCAGGGAGCTCTTCCTTCCTCGGGGACAGGCAGCAAGGACCATCTGGCTGAGGAGGCTAACGCCACGCTCTGCGTAGTGATGCATCAGGAGGCTGTAAAAGGACTGAAAGGACAGGCACCGCTCAGGAAACTTTTATATTCTCCTACTTGGCTGTTGTTCTCATTGCCTGGTGAAGGGCAGGATTAAGGTGGCCGAAATACATGACTGTTAGCTTCTGTTGTGGTTGATTTTAAATTTTTAAATCTTCTCGTTGCACAAGTGAAATAAAGCCCCAAACTCTTGCCCACCACAGAAAGTGACTCGGGCAACACATGCAGAGTGCCCTGGAGCAGTGGGCACTGGGCACTCATAAGTTAGGAGGGACCCCAGGTCACTGCGTTCTGGAGCTTATCAACACAGTGGATAATTAAAATCATAAACACGGCTGGGTGTGGTGGCTCATGGCTGTAATCCCAGCACTTTGGGAGGCCAAGGTGGATGGATCATTTGAGGTCAGGAGTTCGAGACCAGCATGGCCAACATGGTGAAATCCTGTCTCTACTAAAAATAACGAAAATTAGCTGGGCGTGGTGGTGGGCGCCTGTAGTCCCAGCTACTTGGGAGGCTGAGGCAGGAAAATCGCTTGAACCCGGGAGGTGGAGGTTGCGGTGAGCTGAGATTGCGCCACTGCACTCCAGCCTGGGAGACAGAGCAACACTCTGTCTCAATGAATAAATAAATCATTAAAATCACAAACACATTAGATGTGGACATCTGGAGACTTCCTCATCTGGACAGAGACATGCAACTTTCAACAGCAGCTCTTCCGTGTGCATTCAATTTCCCATGCATACTTCTCCACTCCAAAATTACTAACGTATTTTCTCTTATAGGTTTCATTTTCAAACACAAATATCTTTCCTCTATTAGTTTTTGTTTGTTTTTTTAAAAAGACAGGGATCTTGTTATGTTGCCCAGGCTGGTCTCAAACTCCTGGGCTCAAACGATTCTCCTGCCTTGGCCTCCCAATAGGTAGGACTACAAGCTCATGCCACTGCTGGTGTAAAATTTTTTTTAAATAAAAATTAAACGAATTTTTATTAAAAAAAATTTTTAGGCCAGGTGCAGGTGACTCATGCCTCTAATCCCACCCAGCACTTTGGAGGCTGAGGCAAGAGGATCACTTGTGCCCAGGAGTTTGAGACCAGCCTGGATAACATAGTGAGACCCTGTCTCTACAAACAAACAAAATAACCAGATGTGGTTCTGTGTGCCCATGTCTCGCTATGTTGCCCAGGCTAGGGTGCAGTGGTGCGATCACCACTCACTGCAGCCTCCACCTCCTGGGCTCAAGCGATCCTCCTGCCTCAGCCTCCCAAGTAGCTGGGACCACAGCCACGTGCCACCAGTTTATCCAGCTGTGGCTTTAAAAAAAAAAAAGGCGCCATTCCTTTTCCTTTCTGATTTGAAGTGCCATCCTTGTCACAAATTAAACTCACCTGGATTTTAAAAATACTGCATATTCCCAGACCCACCCAAGGACCAGAATCTCTGGGAATGGGACTCCAGCCTTATTTGGAATCCAGTGCCTTAGAGCCTTGCTACCCAGTCTGCCAAGGACCAGCAGCATCAGCGTAACCTGGGAGTGAGACAGAAGTTAAGTCTCAGTACGGACCCAGTTCTGCTGAATTCGAAACTGAGTGGAGCCCAGCCATGTGTGCCTTCACCAGACCTCTGGGTGAGTCCGTTGCTGGTTACCATTTGAGAATCCCCTATTGAGGACTGAGTATCCAACGGGGTGATCCCGCTGACAGGTCCACAGTGGCGATGAGGACCATGGGGATGATGGATATGTCCCGAAGGTTCTGATGGGAGCAGTTATGCAGGCACGGTGTATAACTCACTTTCTCCAGCTCTGTTTTCCTGTCTGCTGTCAGGAGACTTGCTCATAGATTTGCGTGAAGATGACACACAGATGACGGGCTGGGAAGTCATAGCACTGTTCCACACACCGGAAAGGGCTGAGGGCTCCTGGCTTGGAGAGCACTGAGTGTGGGTCCCAGCAGGACCCTCCCTCCATAGCTGGCTCCGCTCCCCTCTCTCTTTCCAGGGCTGACCTTGGCAGAGGTCACCGTGACCCTGAGGCACTGGCTGTTCTGAAGGCCTTGGGGAAACAGGTGGGTTTCTTCGTTTTCAAGGTTCTGCTAAAGGGGTGGGGCTGCCGGGGGTGGGCGGTGCTTTCGGAAGCTGGCTCTGCTGATGATCCTATTACCTTTCTTCACTGCTGCCGGGATTCCCATTACCGGCGCAGGGAGGCCCCAGCTGCTCAGATCTTCCCGGGTGAGCCCTCAGGATGCTGCAGTGACCCGGCCAGGGCCCTCCACGGGGAGGCCGATGAGTAGTGGAGTCGCACCGGCCCAGAGAGCCAAATGCCACCATGCTTGATGCCCGGGGGCTGCACGAGCCCAGAGGAGCTGCCTGACCAGCGCGGGAAGCCGAGAGGGCTTGCTGCTGCTGGGATGTAAGTCTCAGGTGGGACCTCTCTGTGGCCATCTGGAGTGGAAATCAGAGGCTCCACCTTCCAGCCTCGGCCATCTGATTTCTCAGCATGGTTTCAACGTGGGTGGCCTGAGGCTGGGTTCCAGGCCCACCGCGGGGGGCAACGCCCTCCCACACCAAGATCTCTCCCCTCTAGGGTGAGCCGGGGTAGCAGGCTCCAGGATTCCACCATAGGTTCCCAGTAGATCAGCGTTTCTGCTACCTGTTTGTCATAGATTTCCTCCGTGCTTGTTAAACTACAGACTCTCTGGCCCTTTCTATGAAGACCTGCTAGGGCCTTGGGGGTCGGACCTGAGAAATCGGCATAACAGGTGCTTCTGTAACCCCTCTCAGTGAAGTGGGAACCCCCAATTCCTGGGTACCAGGGAGCTTTAGACCAGTGGGAAAGGGCGGGATTCATGGGGGTCTGCGAGTGAGAAATGCCCTCGTAGACTTGATTACTCCTGCGGACGACCTCCTCTGCCCCTCCCAGGGTGACTCACAGGAGGCTTTCTTGCTCACCCTGTCTGAGTTTCTTGGAAACAGAGCAGATTTTTTTTCTGCCAACACTGGGGCCCCACCCTGGGTTGCAGGGATCACAACGAGGTTACAACACCTACTTTCTGAGGACACCTACAGGGGTGGTCGCTGTCATCTCCCGCCCCTGAGCCCTGCCATAGGAGGTTAAGGCCTGAGTGAGACGTAAGGCGGGACCAAAGCTCCCCCGGCTTGGGAGGAGGGCACTGGCCCGCCGTCTGTGGATCCTTCCAGAAACACGGGCGCTCCTGCAGGGGGAGGGGAGGCCTGGGGCAGAAACACTGGAAGAGTTTGCTAGAAAGTGTTTCCCTCTGGGGGTGGGGCCGGCCTGGCGCTCCCCAGCACGTGCGCGCGGTACCTGGAGAAGGTCCTGCTGGGACGCCTTTCCTTCCTGCGGCGCCCCGAGCTTGCCCGGCCGCTCCCTCCCGCGGCAGCGCCTTTCCCACGGTTCTAGGGGAGCTGGGGTGGGGTGGGGTGGGGTGGGGCGGGGCGGGGACAGCTGCGCTTGCAGGGTGGACGCGGCCTCCTGGGCGCCCCCCAGCCCCCAGCCCCCCGCCCCGGCTCCCGCCCCCGCGCCCCAGGCCTGGGACACGCGGCCAGCGGGGGGCGCCTGCGGCCGCTCCTCCTTCCCCGCCCGCGGTGAGTGCCGGGCCAGCCCGCTGCCACTGGGGCGGCCACTCGGGCGGCGGTGGAGCGGGAGCGCGCAGCAGGTGAGCGCGGGGCGCGGGGGAGCGCGGCGGGCGGGCCGGGGATGCGCCCGGGGTCGGGGGTGCCCGTGGCCGCTGCCCCTCTCCGCGCGGTCCCCACACAGGCGGGCGGGTGGCCCCTCTCCCGGCCCGCCCTTCCCCGGCCTCGCGGGTGCCCGGCGGTGGCGGCTCCTGCCCGGGTGGGTCGGAAATGCTCCGAGACCCCTCCCTCGGGCCACGACCTCCTCCCTTAGGCACGGCCAGGAGACGCTTCCCAGACGCTGCCCCAGCTGGCGCCCGCTTTCCGATAACAAGACTGAGACTCGAGGGAGGCCGCCCGGCCCCAGACCCCTGTGGTGGAGCCCGACTGGCTTAGGGCACAGAAGGGGGCTGGCTCGGGGCGGCGGGGCCTGTTGGAAGCAAACACTGCACAGGGTAGCAGCCTCTGTGGGCGCAGGACCGGGCTGTGGGTCTGCAGCGCTCCCGCCGGAGCCAGCAGCGAGCAGGACCCCTCGGTGGCCAAAGGGGACCAGGGTCCAGGGGAGAGTGAGCCAGGCCCGGCCCCTGCCTCGGACCCCAACCGGGAAACCCAGATGCCTTGCACATGAGGAAGTGACAATGGGAGCCGACCCCGGGTAGGGGAGAGAGGCTGGAGCCTCTCCATGGATTGGAGTTGTTCCCTTTACTGGTTTATGTCTCAGGTCCCCTCCCTCAAAGGCCAGGAACTCCTTTCTGAGTCCCAGAGCTGAAGCTGGAAATGACCACGTGGGCGCCGTGGACAGAAGTAGAGCCCTTAAAATGAGGAACAGGATACCCTGTGTGGTCGGCTGAAGCCCCCTCGGGCCTGGTCCAGAGTGATGCTCCAGAGATTGAATGAATGAATGAATGAATGAATGAATGCATGACCAACAGGACTGTAGTGAACTCCGGGTGAGGCTACAGCTGTGGGGACTTAGGCAGGGGCTTTGGGCCCTGAGAGGAGGGGGTTCTCAGGTTCAGTGAATGCCTTCAAACGTGGGCAGGTGCCCTTGTAGAAGGGAGTTTGTGGGCTGTGGAGCTGGGGACAGGCTGTGGGGAGGGGTCAGACTCCAGGTCTATGGGGGGACCCCACAGGAGTGGCTGACTGGGCCTGGGGAGCAGAGGTGAGAACCCTGCATGGTGAGTTGGGTCCATATGCGGAGGCAGGATTTTTTTTTTCTTGAAACAGGGCCTTGCTCTGTCCTCCAGGCTGAAGTGCAGTGGCACAATCATGGCTTACGGCAACCTCCACCTCCCAGGCTCAGGTGATCCTCCCACCTCAGCCTCCCGAGTAGCAGCTGGGATTACAGGTGTGCGCCACCACGCCTGGCTAATTTAGTAATTTTTTTTTTTTTTTTTTTTGGTGGACGCATGGTCTCACTATGTTGTCCAGGCTAGTCTTGAACTCCCGGGCTCAAGTGATCCTCCTGCGTCAGCCTCCCAAAGTGCTGAGATTACAGGTGTGAGCCACTGTGCCCAGCCTTTCTTTCTTTCTTTCTTTTTGACTCCTGATTTTATGATTCAGTTTCTTTTCCATCTGAAGCAGTCTTCTGTGGCTGGGAGCCTGGCTTCGCAGGACCAGGTGTTCTAAAGCTGCCTCTCCTCTGCTCGTTCGGGATCCCCAGGTGCTGGGTCCTCTTCCCTCAGCAGCCACACAGGCCCTAAGTGCCCTTGGGCTTAAAAGAGTGGGTACTTTTGGGCTTTTTACAGAGGAGAGCAGGGAGAGCTGAGGCTGCTGAGCCCTCCCAGGGAGCCCTCCAATTTCCCAGGCCCTTACAAAGCCCCTGCGTATCCCTTGTATCTTTAATCATAAGTTAGGCAGGACCCAAACGACCAGTCCCATTTGCAGATGAGAAAGCGGAGGTCCTCACAGGTCTGGTAGCAAGGAGCCGGGCTGTTCTCATGTGTTCTTGGTGGAGCTGGTTTGGGTCCACATCAGCGAGCCTGAGCTCCATCCCTAAATGCAGAATCAAGTGGGCCTGGTGAGTGCCCGACCACGGGCAGCACACATTCCCTGCCCTTGCCCCGCCCACCTCTCCCTCTTCCTGTTCGTACCCCATACCCAGAAGAGCCCTGGGGCTTTGCTCCTGACCCCCACCTCTTGGAGCCCCCTTCTTGATGGGCACAAAGGAATGTTGCTGATGGAGAGGGGCCTATGTCCCCTCCTCCCCATCCCTGCTGAATCCAGCAAGGGGTGGCCTGTGTCTGGGCAGGAGGCAGAGAGCTGAGTTAGGCATGGGCCCTGCCATGGCCAGTAGGGGAGACCAAGTGGATGCACTTTGACGCCAAACACTCACACTGCAGGCAGGCTAGGCTGTGCTTTTGCGCATTGAAGGGTAGGCAGGGGCCGTTACTTTTTACAGATACCCTGTATAAAAATTTAGGGTATCTTTGGGGGAGTTCGTGGACAGATCATTTTCTTATTTAGTCGTGCTTTCTGTGTTTTCAAAATTGTCGGCAATGAGGAAGAAAAGCAAAACTTTATTCCCTTTGTGTTTGCTCTGGTAAATTTTCAAGAGCAGTTCTGCTGCATCTGAATCTTAGAATTGGGTTTGCAAGATGAGGTCTGGAGGCTGATGCCAGTTTCTGAATTTGACAGGATATCACGTGGTGAGGTTCCAGGATTTTGAGGTATTTCAGTACACAATAGCCTCACAGCCTAACAGAACGGCCTGGGACTCAGGTGGACGATACCCTTTTGGTCGGTGGCAGAGCTTCATGTCACCTCTTCCGCTGTGTGTCTGCTGGGATCTGTGGCTCATGGCGGTTGGGAAGCTATCTGGGTCCTGCCTCCTCTTCCCAGATACTGCAGACTGTGTGTGGCCCCCTTGAGTGCTTTCTGCTCTCTGCGTAAGAGCCTGCACCACTCCCACCTCCCAGGCCTTGCCCTTTGCTGTGCCTTCTTCCTGTAAGCCTTCCAGCATGGTCCTATTGTGTGTCTTAGCAAGTACTCAGGCTCTGGCCTGGCGCAGCGGCTCACACCTGTAATTCTAGCTCTTTAGGAGGCTGAGGCAGGCAGATTGCTTGAAGTCAGGAGTTTGAGACCAGCCTGGCCAACATGATGAAACCCCGTCTCTACTAAAAATACAAAAATTAGCCAGGCATGGTGGTGTGTGCCTGTAGTCCCAGCTACTTGGGAGGCTGAGGCATGAGAATTGCTTGAACTCAGGAGGCAGAAGTTGCAGTGAGCCGAGTTAGCGCCACTGCACTCCAGCTTGCTCTGGGCGACAGAGCAAGACTCCGTCTAAAACAACAACAACAACAACAACAACAACAAAACCAAAGTACTCAGGCCCCTCTTAGACAGTTGACCTCATGGGTTCCCCCTGAGCCCTGGTCTGTGGGTTAGGGATGTGGCCTGCAGGTGATTATGACTTCAGGCTCTGCCTTTTGGACCTGGACATTTGGGCCTCGACTATACTGTAAGGGGAGAACATGGCAGGCACTCCTGGCCCCAGCCCTCTAAGGCCCTCGTTATCGCCCAGTTTGCCAGGAGGTGGGGAGGCTCCTCTGCAGGTAAGCACATTCTTTCTCTGGAAATGGCTATGTGGGGCCCTGCTGGGGGAGGTGGTGGGCATCTGGCCAGGGCCATTGCCAGGTGTGGGGAGCGGGCAGCCTGCGGCCCAGCCCATGTGTGCACAGGAGGGTGCTCCTTCAATTAATGACCACCTGCTGAGTGAGGTGCCTTGAGCAGCTGTTTGCAGAGGGAGCCCCTGTTCAGTTAACAACAAAGGTCTTTCTTTGGAAGCTCTTGGGCCTGGAGGACAAGAGCAGCACAAGCTCTAAAGAGAGTCCCCTGGGCTTGAGTCCCAGCTCAATGTTTGGTAGCTGTGTGACTTTGGGCAAGTGCTTCAACCCCTCTGAGCCTTCAGTTTCTCACTTATACAATGCGGACAGTAAGAGTGCTTATCTCAAAGGCCAAGGATTTAACCTCCAGGTTAAAGGACACTGAAGAGAGGTGACAACAAAATGAATTGGCCGGGTGGGGTGGCTCACGCCTGTAATTCCAGCACACTGGGAGGCCGAGGCGGGCGGATCACTTGAGCTCAGGAGTTCGTGACCAGCCTGGCCAACATGTTGAAACACCATCTTTCCTAAAAATACAAAAAATTAGCTGGGCATGGTGGCTTGTGCCTGTAGTCCCAGCTACTTGGGAGGCTGAGGCAGGAGAATCGCTTGAACCCGGGAGGCGGAGGTTGCAGTGAGCCGAGATCACGACACTGCACTCCAGCCTGGGGGACAAAGCAAGACTCTATCTCAAAAAAAAAAAAAAAAAAAAAAACCTAAAATGCAGTATGTGGCCAGGTGCAGTAGCTCACATATTTAATCCTAGCACTTTGGGAGGTTGAGGTGGGTGGATCAGGAGTGTGAGACCAGCTTGGACAATGTGGTGAAACTCTGTCTCTATTTTTAAAAATAAACAATTTTAAAACAAATTTTAAAAATGCAGTATGTGAGCATATGGTGGGAAAAAAGGTATAAAGCACATCAGTGGGATGGTTGATAAAATTGGGTATGGGCTGTAGATTAAAGTATTGTATCAACATTAAATGATCTGATAACTGTTTATATGAGCCCTTGATCTTTGGAAATTTGCAAGGCTAAAGAGGCACAGGGTAAATGTATAGATATAGAATGAGGCAAAATTGTACAAATAGGCAAATCTGGATTAAAAAGTATAGAATTCTTTGTACTTATCACTTCTGAAAGTTTTTTGAAAGTATTTCAAAATACAGCTTTAAAAAATGCCTGTCTTGCCAGGTGAGGTGGCTTACACCTGTAATCCCAGCACTTTGGGAGGCCAAGGTAGGAGGAACGCTTTAGGCCAGGAGTCTGAGACTAGCTTGAGCAACATAGCAAGATTCTGTTTCTTCCCAAAAAAAGAAAAAAAAAATTGCCAGGTGTGGTGGCACACGCCTGTGGTCCCAGCTACTCCAGAGGCTGAGGCAGGAGGATCACTTGAGCCCAGGAATTTGAGGCTGCAATGAGCTATGATCACTCTACTGCCCACTAGTTTGGGTGATAGAGCGAGACCCTGATTTAAAAAAAAAAAGAAAGAAAAAGAAAAAAAAGCCTGTCTTATGAGATTGTGGTGTGATGAAATGACATTACTTCCCGGTACTTAAAACAGCCTCTGGCACTCATCGAGCATTAGCTGTTATTGTTGCTGCCGCTTTTTGTTATCTTTAGTATGGGCAACGTGTGTCCCATCTCCTGTTGCCATGATCCTGAGGGGCAGGCCTTGTTTCTCCACTTTACAGATGACACAGTTGAAGCCCAGAGAGGTGAAGTGGCTTGCTCAGGACACCGCAGAGGCCAGGGCCGTGGGAGGAGGACTGCAGAAGTGCTTAAAGTTTATTTTGAATTAATCATCAACATTTGAAAACCACAAGATTTTTACATAAAGCCTAGATTTCTAGTTTCTTTTGCCAACTTAGAAGGCCTGTACCCCTGGCCACGTTGCTGCATGGCAGCTACCGGTGGAAGCTCGGCAGGGTGGCGCCTCACCCAGAGCTCGGGCCTCCAGTGTGCCCCAGTCCCCACCTAGCCAGCCAGCCTTGCCTGTCATTGTCCCCGCCTGGCCTCCGGGGGCTCCCAGTTCACTGTCCTAGGAAGTGATCGCAGGGTGCTGGGCCACAAAGCTTGGGTTCTCCCCTTCCCCGGCCTGCTCCCCCACGCAGAGGGCATAGCATTGCACTGCCTTGACTCAGCCAGTATTTGAGCACCTGGTGTGTGTGGGCAATGGCTGGGGGCTTCAGGCGAGGAGGAAGAGGAGCTGAAGCTTTGGGGCTCCAGCCTGCTCTCCTGTCACAGTCCCAGGCCTCTGTCCATCCCTCCTGCAGCCTCAAATGTGTGCCTGGCCCTGAAGAAGGGGTGCGGGGTGGCTCGCTGACCACGCCTTGAGGACGGTGCAGGAGGAGCCCCCGGGCTGCTGTTTTTTTTCCTTTTTGGGTGTATGTAGGCAGGCAGTCCTTTCTCTGTGCCGAGCCTCTGGTTCTTCCTATGTGAGATGGGGCTAGACCACCTTCCTGGAGGGTGGGTGGAAGCAGGAGGAATGGGACTTGTCAGTGTTGAGCAGGGCTGAGCTCTGCACACATGATTGACATGATGGTTTCATTCCAGTGCTTGGCTTCTAATGCCACTGGTCCCCCGCCAGCCTGGCTTCGGGGCCAGCAGGAATGGGTTGAGCAAAGGCTGGCAATAGGCATGACCCAGGGTGTGGGGTGGAGGCAGCCACTGGGTAGGCATTGTTTGTGTGCCTGGGCAGGCATTGTTTGTGTGCCTGGGTAGGCATTGTTTGTGTGCCTGGGTAGGCATTGTTTGTGTGCCTTCGTAGCTGTGCCTTAAGGTCATCATCTCACAGAGGAGGGGACAGGCTCAGTGACGATGGCAGGAGCTCACCTTGGTGAGTTTGGTGTTCAACAGATGGGGAAACTGAGGCTCAGAGAGGTGAAGTGACCCTCAGAGGTCCCATGACCAAGCAATAGCAATGCTGGGACTAGAAGCCAGAGTTTCTGCCTCCTGGGCTAAGGCTCTGGGCTCCATTCCCAGGAGGAGGAAAAAGCTCGTTTCTTATTTTTAAATGGTTTTCATTTTTTAAAGTACAGAAACAATTCACATTTAGGTAATGAAAAATCAGAAAATATAAGTAATAAGGTGGGGAAAAAACTTCTTAATAGAATTGGAACTCGAAGTAACCCATTAACATATTGGTGTATATTCTTCCAGACTTCTTTTCTTTTTTCAACATATTACAAGAAAAAAAGTTGAGCATTACAACTTTCTTTATTGTCCTCTAAGGGGAGTTCTGTCTGCCCCAGGCTTTGGGTGTGGAGTTGGGGGTCAGGGAGGTTAAAGTGTTACAGACATCAGCAGCCCAGCCTTTGACACAGGAGGTGCCCTGCACGATTTTCTCTGTCCCCTGTTGCAGACATTTCGGTTGTTTCCAGCATTTTCGCAGTTAGAGAGCTGCACTAAACAGCCCGTAGCTAAGTCCTTGCATGTAGTGGGACTGTTTCTTTAGGGTAAATTAAAACGAGTCCATTTCTTTTTCTTTTCTTTCTTTTTTCTGAGATGGAGTCTTGCTCTGTCGTCCAGGCTGGAGTGCTGTGGCGCAATCTCGTCTCACTGCAGCCTCCGCCTCCTGGGTTCAGATGATTCTCCTGTCTCAGCTTCCTGAGTAGCTGGGATTTACAGATGTGTGCCACCATGCCCGACTAATTTTTGTGTTTTTAGTAGAGACATGGTTTCACCATGTTGCCCAGGCTGGTCTCAAACTCCTGGCCTCAAATGATCCACCCCTGCCGTGGCCTCCCAAAATGCTGGAATTATAGGTGTGAGCCACCGCACCCAGCCAAAAATGGGTCCGTTTCTTACCTTTGTGGTGCCCTCAGGCTGGACCCAGGTTTGTGGTGGGACCACGTCTGGGAGTGTGGAGGTCTTGGGCACTGAGCGCTTTCCACTGCCCACTCTTTTGTGGTCAGAGGATGAGACAGGGAGGGGCTCCGGGGGGAGGGCTTTGCCAGGAGTGTGTTCTAATGACGCCGCCCAGGCTGGCACTGGAAGCCTTTAAGCTCCTGTGGTGAGGTGGGTTGAGGTGGGGGTGGAGGCGGTGGTGTCTGCTGCTACATGCTGGTGGGGACTGGAGGCCAGAGCCTGGAGCCTCCTTTGCTTCCAGCAGGAGGGGACCTCAGGAAGAACTTGTGTGTGTCTCTGTCTTTGTCCTTGTCTGTCTCTAACTGCCTTTCTCTGTGTGTCTGTCTATCTGTCTGTCTCTGTCTCTCTCTGTCTGTCTCTCTCCAGTCAGGAGCAGGGTTGAGGCTGGGTCTGTGTTTCTGACCCTGAGACCTCGGGGGAGTTACCTTCCCTCTCAAGACCACATGATCCTCATCTGTAGGAAGGGGCTAAAAACGACCCCTTCGCTGTGTGAGACATGGAGGAGATGGCAGATCCCAGAGTGCTTTCAGTGACAAGGTTTTGACGTTTCATTATGAACAAGCCAACAGACACAGCAGCAGACAGGGCAGCCCACCAGCACGCCACTCCACGCACCCCTGCCTCCGCTTCCGCAGGCTCCAGCCCATGGCCTCTGGGAGCTGCCTCTCCTCCCACACACAGCCCCCTCCAGGCACCCTGTCACTTCATCTGTGAGAATGGTAGTCTATGTTACTAAAAGATAAGATGCTTAAAAAACACACAATCACCAAATAACTGTTAGAACTAATAAACTAACACAGTGAAGCTGTAAAGTCAACACACAAAAATCAGTCATGTTTCTGTATGTTAGCTAACTATCTGAAAAAGAAATCAAGAAGATAATCCCATTCACAATAGCCACGCGAAAAAATACTTAGGAATAAATTCAACGGAGAAGGTGAAAGAGCTGTATGCTGAAATCTATAAAACAATGAACCAAGAAATGGAACAAGATACAAATAGATGGGATTTTATCCATGTTCATGGATTGGAAGAATTAATATCGTGCAAATGTCCATACTACCCAAAGCTATTCAATGCAGCCTTTGTCAACATTCCAGTGACTTCTCACAGAAAAAGAAAAAACAGGGAACACACCTTTGGTTTATACCAAAAGCTGTGTCTCCCTGCCCCCCCACCCCCACCCCCTGCCAAAACAAAAGAAAAAACAATTCTAAAATTCAGGTGAAACCACAAAAGACCCCAAATAGCTAAAGTGATCTTGAGCAAGAAGATCAAAGCTGAAGGCATCACACTACCTAATTTCAAAATATATTACAAGCTACAGTAATTAAAATAGCATTGTACTGGCATAAAAATAGACACATTGGGCTAGGCATGGTGGCTCATGCCTGTAATTCTAGCATTTTGGGAGGCTGAGGTGGGAGGATTGCTTGAGGCCAGAAGTTTGAAGCTAGCCTGGGCAACATAGCAAGACCTTGTCTCTACAAAAAAAAAAAAAAAAAATTAAAAATTTGCCGAGTGTGGTGGCAGGAGCCTGTCGTCCCAGCTACTTGGGAGGCTGAGGTGGGAGGATTGCGTGAGCCTAGGAGCTTGAGGTTGCAGTGAGCTATGATTGTGCCACTGTACACCAGCCTAGGTGACAGAGTGAGCCAATTAAAATATATATATATATTTATAATTTCTTTTTTATAGAGATAGGGCCATCTAAAGTGCTGGGATTACAGGCATGAGCTACCATGCCTGGCCCATAAGACTCTGTTTCTGGAAAAAAAAAAAAAAAAAAAGACGTATCAACCAATGGAACAGGATAGAGAGCTCAGAAATGAACCCATGAATATATTTACAGCCCAATGATTTGTTTGTTTGTTTGTTGTTCAGATAGTGTCTCACTCTGTCACCTAGCCTGGAGTGCAGTGGTGGGATCTTGGCTCACTGCAAACTCTGCCTCCCATGCTCAAGCCATGCCCCTACTTCAGCCTCCTGAGTCACTGGGACAACAGGTGCATGCCACCTTTGGCTAATTTTTGTATTTTTTGTAGAGATGGGGTTTCAACATGCTGCCCAGGCTGGTCTCGAACTCCTGAGCTCAAGGGCTCTGCCTGCCTCGGCCTCCCAAAATGCTGGGATCACAGGCATGGGCCACTGTGCCTGCCCAGTCCATTGATTTTTTTGACAAAGATGCCAAGGACCCACTATGGGAAAAGGATAGCCTCTTCAATAAATGGTGTTGAGAAGACTGGGTTTTCACAGGCAGGAGGATGAAATTAGATCCTTACATATAAAAACCAACTCAAAATGGACTGAAGACTTAAACATAAGACCTGAAACTATAGAACTACTAGAAGAAAATATAGGGAAAAAGCTATGTGATACTGGTCTGGGCAATTATTATTATTATTTTTGACTCCAAAATCTCATGCAACAAAAGCAAAAATAGACAAATAGGATGATGTCAAACTTAAAAGCCTCTGCATGGCAAAGAAAACAGGTAACAGAAGAGACAACCGATAGACTGGGAGAAAATATTTGCAAGCCAAACATCTGAAAAGAAGTTAATATCCAAAATAGATAAGGAACTCAATAACAGCAACAACAACAACAAACCCAATTAAAAAATGGGCAAAGAACCTGAATAGGCATTTTTCAAAAGAACCCATGCAAATGACCAACAGGTATACAAAAAAATGTTCAACATTACTAATCATTAGGGAAATGCATATTAAAACCACAGTGAGGTATCATCTCACACCTGTTAGAATGGCTATTATTAAAAAGACAAGAGAAGCCAGGCGTGGTGGCTCACGCCTGTAATTCCAGCACTTTGGGAGGCTAAGGCAGGAGGATTGCTTGAGCCTGGGAGTTTGAGACCAGCCTGGGCAACATAGGGAGAACCCATCTCTACAAAAAATAAAAAAACAAGGCAGGTGTGGCAGCGTGCACCTGTAGTTCTACCTAGTCAGGAGGCTGAGGTGGGAGGATCACTTGAGCCCAGAATTCAGAGGCTGCAGTGAGCTATGATCACATCACTGCACTCCAGCTTGGGCAAGACCCTGTCTCCAAAAAAAAAGAGACAGGTGTTGGAGATAATGTGGAGAAAAGGAAACCCTTGAGCACTGTTGGTGGGAATGCAAATTAGCACAGCCATTATGGAAAATAGTAGGAACCTCCCTTCCTTCCGCTTGTGGGTACATATCCAAAGGATTTGAAAGCAGCATGTCAAAGAGATATCTGCACTCCCATAATCATTGCAGCATTATTCATAATAGCCAAGATCTAGAAACAAGTGTCCATTAATGGATGAAGAAAATGTGACATATATACACAATGAGATACTATTTAGCCTTAAGAAAGAAGGAACAACATGGGTGAACCTAATGGACATTACACTAAGTAAAATAAGCTAGGCACAGAAGGACAAATACTGCACGATCTCACTTATGTGTGGAATCCAAGAAATCTAGGCTGTGTGCGGTGGCTCATGCCTGTCATCTCAGCTCTTTGGGAGGCTAAGGTGGGAGAATTGCTTGAGGCTAGGAGTTCAAAACGCATGGGCAACATAGCACCCCACCTGTACAAAACAAAACAAATGCAAAAGACCACCACCAACAAAAAAATCCAATTGAACTCAGAAGCAGCAAGTGGAAGGGTGGTTACCAGAGGCTGTGTGTAGGTAAGGGGGGCAGGGGTGGGATGGGGAGAGATAGAGAGAGGTCAGTCAAAGGATACAAAGTTTCAGTGGAGGAATAAGTTTTTTGAGACCTATTGCACAGCATGGTGACTATAGTTAATGTACATTTCAAAATTACTAAGAGGGTAATTTCAAATGTTTTCACCACAAACAGTGCTAAATACTTGAGGTGATATGTTAATTAGCTTCATTTCATCATTCTCCATTGTATATATGTAACGTCACCTTGTATCCCATAAATATATACAATTATAACTGATCAATTTACAATAAAATTAAAAAAACAAACATTTTACCACACATATTGCTAAACATTAGCAGTAATTCTTTAAGATCGTAACTATCCATTCGGTGTTCAAACTTCCAATTGTTTTGTAAATGTCATATATATATATATTTATATTTTATATATTAGATTTATCTTTTTTTTTCTTTTTTTGAGACAGGGTGTCTGTTGCCCAGGCTAGAGTGCAGTGATGCGATTTCGGTCCACTGCAACCTCTACCTCCCAGGCTCAGGTGATCCTCCCACCTCAGCCTCCCTAATAGCTGGGACCACAGGCATGCACCACCACACCAGGCTAATTTTTTTGTATTTTTTGTAGAGACAGGATTTCACCACGTTGCCCAGGCTGGTCTCGAACTTCTGGACTCAAGTGATACGCTTGCCTCGGCCTCCCAAGGTGCTGGGATTAGGGACGTGAGCCACCGTGCCTGGCCTATATGTTAATATTAGCTTTTTAAAATCAGGATCCAGAGCCAGGCATGGTGGCATGCACTTGTAATGTAACCTCCAAGCTACTCGAGAGGCTGAGGCAGGAGGATTACTTGAGGTTGGGAGCTGGAGGCTGCAGTGAGCTATGACTGCGCCACTGCACTCCAGCCTGGGTGACAGAGAGAGCCCCTGTCTCTTTAAAAAATAATAATAATCAGGATCCGAATGAGGTCTGCATGATGAGACTGTGATATGTTTCTTCAGTTTTTCATCTGTAGGACTGGTACTCATTCTCTCTGTCTTCCATGTGGTGTTTTTGTTGAAGCTGGGTCCCTTTACCTGTAGGAGAGCTTCCTATAATGTGTAGCATGCTCCTTGTCCCCTGAATCCTATAAATTCATAGTTGTATCCAGAGGCTTGATCTAATTCAGTTTTGATTTTTTTCACACAACAGCACATTGGAGATGCTATTGGAAATTTCTGGGAGGCACGTGGTCTGGTGAATTTCCTTTTGTAATACTGGCAGTCATTGATATTCAATGACTTTAAGGTAGTATTTTTTTTTTTTTTTTGAAACATGGTCCCTCTCTGTCTCCCAGGCTAGAGTGCAGTGGCTCAATTATAGCTCACTGCAGCCTTGACCTCCAGGCTCAAGCAATCCTCCTATCTCAGCCTCCCAAGTAGCTGGGACCACAGGTGCCCACCACCAGCTCAGGCTAATTTTTTTTGTAGAGATGAGGTTTCACTCTGTTGCGCCGGCTGGTCTTGAACTCCTGGGCTCAAGCGATCCTCCTGATCTCCCTGTCTTGGTCTCCCAAAGTGCTGGAATTACAAGCATGAGCCACCACGCCCAACCCTTAAGGTAGTATTTTTAGTTACAGTAAAAACCTTCCGTATTCACCCTGTTACAAGTGGTGCCTAGTTTGGTGTTGGGTGGAAAACTACCCATCTCAGGGCATTGTTTTTCCTTTTTCTTGCTTTTTCTTGATTGTAGCTGGTTTTCCTCCTCTGTTAATTATTTGGGTAGTATATTTTCATTAGAGAAAAATTGAAAAGCAGATCTAAACAAAAAGATAAATATTAAAATAAAACTGTGCCAAATTCTATCACCTAGTGATAACTCCTAAGATTTGGGACATTTTCTTCCCGATTTTCTTGTATGCAAAAAAATACAGGCATCCCTGTGACATCGTTAAAAAAGAAAGGGGTCACACTTCACATGCAGTTCTAGGAGCTGCTATTTTCAATTTGTGGTATGTCTGAAGCCCCCTTTGAGGATCTGGTGGGAGGGACATGGCCTTCCTCCCTGCCTGTCCATGGGTCACACTGGGCCGGGTGCAGGGAAGGACAGGCGGCCTCTGGTGCGGCCCAGCTGCCAAGTTTTTCAAAGGAAATAAGGGCTTTTGGTTGGCAGGGCGGTTGCTTTCACATCTGTTCTTTTAGGATTCTCTGCTGTTACTCAACACACCATGACCCCAGCTGCCCCTTTCCTTCTCCAAAGCCCCGTCTCCCAGGCGTGGCAGAGATCGGGGCCCTGGGGATCATGGGAGTCAGGCCCCTGCCCTTGAGTGGGCTTTGTCGCTTACATGAAGTCGGGCTGTTCATCTTTCCTTGTTGTGGCATTGGAACTCAGCCAAGCAGCAGCGATTTAGGAGGGGCAGTAGCCGCAGGGTGCCGGGTTTAATGGGAAAGATGCTGTTTACTTAGAATATGTGTTCATTTGGAGTGGCTTTGGGGCTTACCCCAGGCCACCCCTTAGGACCACCACTGATTAGGGGTCAGAAGGCGCTAGTGGACCCGGGCATTTTCTTATGTTCCTAGCCTGCACAGGAACAGATCCCTGCACATCCCTGAGCCCACAGCTGAGAAGAGATGTGGGCAGAGGCCTGGAGGAGGTGGGTGGATGCACTGGAATGTTCCCCGCCTCCCAGCGTGAAAGATGCATCTGGGAGGAGGGGGAGTGTCTCCATCGAGCTGTGCTGCCTCTGCGAGTCCCTCTCCCTGGGGAGCTCACCTCAGTCCCAAGTGTGGAAGAGCTGGGGGGCGTGAAACCACACGGAGTCAGCCCTGCTCTGTCCTCCCACGTAGGGTGAGCAGGAGGGGACGCTCACACGGCTGGCTGCACTGTGTTATTGTTGGGAGTATCTGGGTACAGGTCAATCTGGCAGAAATGTCGTGAGGTCCTGTGGTGCTGGGGAGAGGTGGTCCTTGCCCTCAGCCAGATGGGTCTGATGGAGGAGAAGACAGGACCTTCAGTCACTCCTGAGCAGGGAGGGTGCTGCATGAATAAGTTCAGGTTCTTTGAGCTGCAAGTACCAGAAACCCACTGTAACCAAAGGGAAAGGGAGAAAGAGAGGACTTGAGACTTTGTGGGGATTCAGGCATGGCTGGATCCAGGGGCTCAAATGGTATCATGAAGACTCTGCTTCTCTCTCCATTTCTCTGTCTTGGCTTCCTTTTCAGGCCAGTTCTTCCACAGAGAGGTTGTATTTGTAATCTATTGCTGTGTAACAAATTATTCCAATTACCTCATAATTTCTGTAGGTCAGGAGTTCAGGCTGAGCTGGGTGCTTCTGGCTGGGGTTCTCTGATGAGGTTGCAATCAAGCTGCCTGTCAAGCTGCAGTCATCTGAAGGCTTGACTGGGGCTGGAGGGTCTGCCTCCAAGGCAGCTTTGTCACATGCAGGGTGGGTTGGTGCTGGCTGCTGGCGGGAGGCCTCCGTTCCTCGAACACAGATCCCTCCTTGGGGCTGCTTGAGTGTCCTCGAGCCATGGTGTCTGGCTTCCCCTAGAGGGAGAGATCCAAAGGAAAGCTGAGTGGAAGCTTCTGAGATCTTTCATGATCTCAGAAGCCGCATATTGTGGTTTCCACGATATTTTATTGGTCACACAGGTGGTGTGGGAGGGGACCATTCACAGACATGAGTGCCAGGGGACAAGGGTCACTGGAGGCTGACTGCCACTGTGGCAAAGATGGCCCCAGTGGCTCGTAGCTCACACCTACTGCCAAGTGAATGAGAACACTTTCCCACAGTCCCAACAAAAGTCCTGGAAGTGAATTTCACAGGACCACCTGAGTCTCACACCCATTCCTCCATATACGCTAGTTGTGAGTCCACCCCTGCAGGGCTGGTTCCCCATAGGAACAGGGAGCTGTTACCAAAAGTGGACATGACATCCTCTGTGGAGAGGTCTATGGCATTGTGGCCTAGAGGAGGTGATGGTGGGGCACTGGGGAAGGCTTCCTGGTAGAGGCGGCACCAGTACCTGGCGGGATGGGTAGCATTTTGAGCATTCCAGGGACACTAAGGCCTGAGCAAAGAAATGGAAGAGTCAGGCAGCTGGGTAGCAGGTGGAGGCAGATAAGGATGGAAAAGTGAGTTGGGCCAGGTGGGGGTCCCCGAGAGGCAGGAGGAGGAGGCAGGACTTGCCTCTGGAGGCACAGGCAAGCCATGGAAGTTGTTTGAAGGAGGGGCAGGCACGTCGCAGAGCCTAGGGATTTAGGGTTTAGAGCGGGGAGAACGCCTGGCTGGCCTCCTCCCTGCTGGCTTGCACCCAGCACCCACCATGTGCCTTGTCGGCATTTCTCACAGCCCCCCACGGGCTCCCAGCAGAGTGGGCCACATCTCCTGACTTTACAGAGGGACTCCCTGAGCCACCAGGGTCCCCTAGCTCCGCCAAAGTCTCTCCCTGGAGCCCCTGACTCCAGAGCTCTCAGACAGGAATAATAGCAGGACCTTCCTGAAGGCTCCTCTTCATCCTGCCAGGACGATAGGCGAGGTTGGCGACAAGTGGCCAGCCCAATTGCTCAGACCCTCCCAGGGCTCCTCCCGGTGCCGTGAACCCCCGACCTTAGGGGAAGGAAGAGGTGACTGTGGCATGGACGGTGGTTTTTGTTCTCATATCCCCTGGCCCCTACAGAGACGTGCCCAGAGTTCCAAGCCCACTGGGTGCTGGGGCTTTCCTTCCCCCAGTAAGGGCTCGACATCTAGGTTTGTGTGGCAGGGCCAAGCTGTTTGCTCAGCACTCAGTGTTATTTGTCCCTTGGCTGACTGACAGCTTGACTGTCTGCTTCGTTTTGGCTGCAGTTTGAGTCTCTCCTACTGACTGTTTCATGGCCTCATCTTGAGCCCCCATTGTTGCCCAGGGTAGGAAGTCCTTCTCCCCTAAACTCTGGGCCACATATGCCTGGACCCTGCTGGGTACTTCTCCTCAGATCTCTTTTTTTTTTTTTTTGAGACAGGGTCTCACTTTGTCACCCAGGCTGGAGTGCAGTGGTGTGATCTCAGCTTACTGCAACCTTTGCTTCCTAGGCTCAAGCGATCCTCCCACCTCAGCCTCCCGAGTAGCTGGGATTCAGGTGCCCGCCACAATGCCTGGCTAATTTTTGTATTCCTCCCACCTCAGCCTCCTGCGTAGCTGGGATTCAGGCGCCTGCCCTCAAGCCCGGCTAATTTTTGTATTTTTATTAGAGACGGGGTTTCACCATGTTGGCCAGGCTGGTCTCGAACTCCTGGCCTCAAGTGATCCACCCTCCTCAGCCTCCCAAAGTACTGGGATTACAGGTGTGAGCCACCATGCCCTGCCGGCTTCTCCCCAGAGCTTTATGCCATGCCTTTGATGGGCACCTCTTACCTCCTCCCAGCCTAGGAACTTGCATGAAAGGGAACTATGTCCAAGTCAGTTTTGTGTCCCTAGCACCAGGGAAGAGGATGGGGGTTGCTGAGAGGGACAGGAAAGGATTGGGGTTGTGCTGTGTGCCCTGGCGCCTCTACCAAGCAGAAACCAGCCTTCCCTGTCTGCTACTGTGAAAGCCCAAGGTTGCCCTTCTTTGGGGGAGTTGAAAGAAAGCGGGTGTTTGTTCAGCACACTTGGGAGCACTGTGTGCCAGGGCTGGGAGATCTTGGGTGAGGGTACTCACCATGCTCATTACCTTGTAATGGGGTTAGGGGTAGCCTGTCCCTATGGAAGCTTGTCCTTGTTCCCAGGGAGGGTCAGGAGCATGGGTTGTGAAGTCAGGTAGATCTGAGCTTGAATCCTGGCTCTGCCTTTTCATAGCTGTGTGTGCTTGGGCCAGCAATGTGGTGTCTCTGAGCCTTGGTGCCTTATTCTACAGAGGGATGATAGCAGGGCCTTCCTCAGTGGGGCTGCCAGGGAGTGCCATGAGGCTGTGTGTGTAAAGTCCTGGGTGATGCCTGTGTGGATCCCAGGGAGCATTGACCTGTGTGTGCTCAGATCCTGCCTGCCGGGACCTCCTAGACAGCGTGAGGGGTGGGGTGTCAAGTGGTGGCTGGTGGCTGCGGCTGCGGGGAGCAGCTGGTTTGAGGCAGTGCTGAGGCTGCAGCAGGGAAGAGACTCACCGCCACATCTTCCAAGGAGAAAGCTGGGCGGGCAGCCTGGGAGGGCAGGAGGTATTGCTCAGTGGGACAGGAACCTTGATTATCAAACGGCAGGGTTTACTGTGCCCCTCTCATTATCAAACTGCAGGGTTTGTTATCATACAGCCTCTGCTGTATGGCCAGTTTATCTTCACACACTCCCTGCTCTATGGCCGGTGCTGGAAAGCCCAGGGCCCCATAAGCTCCCAGCAGGCAGTGGGGAACCCCCCTCCTGTGTCCAGGCATCTACATGTGTCCTCTCCAAGCTGCCCCTTTTCTCAAGCCGAGATCATCTTGCAGAAATGTTGGTCAGGGTGGGTCGCTCCCCACCTGCCATTCCCCTGGACTTGCCCTGCCTCCTATGCCCCTTCCCCTTGGCCCCCGATATCTCCCCCAGCGGCTCCATCTCCACGCCGCGCTTTCCTCAGGGTTTGAGCATGTGTCTCATCAGCCTCTCGCCCACTGGGCCAGGTCAGATCTGTTCTTTTTCCTGAATCTACTGAGCATCCAGCACCATGCCCTCCTGCATACGCAAACGGGTATCCCTCAATACCCATTTAAAAATGGACGGGTAATTTACATACAGGCAAGTGCACAAACCTTCAATGTACAGGGTAATGAGTGTACTTAGGCACTCGCCTGTATAACCAGCACCCACAGGGAGATTTAGAACCTCCTCAGCCCCCAGAAGTTTCCTGTGTGCCCCTTTCCAATCAGCGGCCTCCCTAGAGGCAACCGCTGTCTTGCTGTCTGTCACTGTAGATTAGTTTCATCATTTCTGAAGTTTCATATAAATGGAAACGTGCTGAATGTGTCTTTTGTGGGTGGGTCTTTCACTGTCCTTGCCATCTTGGATATTCATTCATGTTGTGTGTTAGCAGTGATCTGTTCCTTTTTACTGCTGAGTAATTTTCTGTTGTGTGAATATATGAAAATTTGTTTATCCATTTACTCATTGCAGGATGTTTGGGTTTGCAGTTTGACTGTTAGGATGAAAGCTTCTCTGAACACTTGGATAGAAGTCATTTGTGGACACATGTACTCATTTCTTTTGGGTAAATACCTGAGATTGAATTGCTGAGTCATTGGGGAAGCATATGGTTTGCTTTTGTCCACACTGCCAGGCAGTTTTCATCATGGTGGCTCCATTTTACATTCCCACTAGCAGTACATGAGAGTGAAGAGCTGCTTCTCCTCCTTGTCAACACTTGGTATTTTCATTTTAATTTTAGCCATTCTAGTGGTACAGTGGAATCTCTATATGGTTTTAATTTGCTGGTGGCTAATGATGTTGAGTATCTTTTTCATGTGCTTATTGGTCATTTTGGCATCCTCTTTGTTGAAGTACCTGTGTAAGTCTCTTGTTCATCTTTTAATTGGGCCATTTGTCTTTTTCTTATTGGTTTGTGGGAGGTCTTTTTTTTTTTTTTTTTTTCTGAGACAGAGTCTCACTCTGTTGCCCAGGCTGGAGTGCAGTGGTGTGATCTCGGCTCACTGCAACCTCTGCCTCCCAGGTTCAAGTGATTCTCCTGCCTCAGCCTCCCAAGTAGCTGGGATTACAGGCTCATGCCACCACGCCTGGCTAATTTTTGTGCTTTTAGTAGAAACGGGATTTTGCCATGTTAGCCAGGCTGGTTTCAAACTCCTGACATCAGGTGATCCGCCCACCTTAGCCTCCCAAAGTGCTGGGATTACAGGCATGAGCCACCATGCCAAGCCTGGGAGATCTTTATATATGCTAGGGAGGAGTCTTTTGTCAGTCATATAGGATGTGACTTTCTCCTAGTCAGTGGCTTGTCTTTCCCCTCTTTTGATGATGATGATGTCTGTTCCTTCTCTGCTCTGGGACATTTGCTAGGGAGACATTTGCTGATAGGAGGGCGACCCTGATGGGGAGGATCCCCTGAGGTCTCCCACTCCCTCCTGTGGCCTCTGGAGCAGCCTGGAACCCTGTGTGAGTCCTATGCCTGTCTCCACCAGATGGCAGACCTTAGATCACCTGCTAGTTCCCTGCATGGGGCCTGGCACAGAGACAGCACCTAACATGTTCAGTTCCTCCTGATCAGTATGTGTGGGATGTCTACTCTGTGACCAGCTGGGGCTGGACGCTGGGGACACAGCTGTTGATATTACAGCTGCCCTCCCATCTCTGCCCTCCTCAAGGATATAACCTAGGAAAGACAGACCAGCAACCAGTGGTCACAGCACAGAGGTGCTGTGATGGAGGAAGGTGCAGGGGTTAGAAGACCAGAAGAGGGGTGTCTGACCCTGGATGTGGGAGGTGGAGGAGGTACACCATTGCTTTGAGGAGCTCGTAATCCCAGGATGCCAGTCACATGCTCAGAAGGGCTCCCTGAGGACCAGGTGCTGCTGTGGCCAGCGGGCTGGAGGCCTCCCCCTCTGTTTTGGGAGTCTCCACTCTCTCCTCTTAGCCTCTCCTGATCTGCTCCCTCGCCACTGAGCGCCCCATGATCCCAGTGGGGAAACTGAGGCCTGGCATAGCAGAAGGGGTGCTGGGGTTTGATTCCCAGCCTCATGGTGCCCAGGGATGTTGGGGGCTCTCCAGGGACTCTGATTTTGGAATAGGAGCCCCAAGGATGGGCCTGCCCCTGCCCTGCTCCCAGCATGGGAGCGTAGGTGAGATGGAGAGGCAGTGGGCTGGGCTGGAAGATCTTTGACCTCTCCTGGGCCCCTCTCAGAGGTGGACGGGGCCACCTTACTACATAGATAGGGAAATTGAGTCCCAGGAAGGCGCGGGGGGCCTGTCTGTGAGCGTCAGAGCCCACAGGAGGCTCAGGCCAGGCCGCTAATTGCTAATTGCTCACTAAGGATGCATTTGCTCCCCACTTTGAACAGTTGTCTTGGGGCTTCTAATGGAGGTTTTTGGTGCTTGTTTTATTATTATTTTTTCAAAATTGTTCCAGCTTCAAGCTTCAAATTTCCATGAAGTCATTGGAGCCCGACAGCTCCCAGGCCTGGCAGCTCCCAGGCTGCGGAGAGCAGCACTGTGGCTGGGGGAGGGGGCCCTGCACACCCCGAGAGGCTGGGCTGTGGGCTGTGCCTTAGCCTTGCTGCCGCCGCCGCCGCTGCTGCCGCTGCCGGAGCAGGAAGTGGTGGGTCCCAGATGTGACTCACTCTCATTAGGTAGCGTGGAAGGAGCCTTCGGATGGGTGAGCCTGGGCGCGTCTGAGGAAGGGCAGGCGGGGGCCGGGCCACCTCCCTGCAGACCCTGGCCGGCTGCTGGGGCCGGGGAGGAGAGCCAGGTAAAAGTGGGGTGTGGGGATGGAGTGTCACCAGTCCTAGTGGCTTGAGCCCCAGGGGACGGGGCTGGACAGTGGGTGGGAAGCAGCTCACCCGGCAGCCTGGCCTGGGAGTGCACTGGGCAGGGTCTGGGCTGGGGGAGTAGGAGGCTCCGTGAGCCTACTGGGCAGATGGCTGGGAGAGGCGGCCCTTCAACAGGGGACCAGAGGCGACTTGTCACTGGCTTTTCCCAGCCTGACAAGAAAGTGCGGTTGTGACCACAATGTTGTACATGTGGCCCGTTCCATCTGGAATTCTAGGAACCACAGACTCTCAAATGTCCACACTCCTTCTCGAGGGTGTAATTTTACATTTACAAGCACACATGACTTTTCTCAATGAAAGGAAACATTGGCAAGGGAAGGCCAATTCAACTAATTTTATGAAATTATAAAACAAAAAACAAACAAAACCTCTGAAAGGAGTGCATGCCTGAGGGTCAGGAAACCAAGATGCCTCCAAAAAGCAGACTGGTTTCCCTTTCCCTGCAATGCCTCTCCTCTATCCCCCAGGGACCGCATGGGCCATCTGGAGTGGGTCTTTCTGGAGCGGGTCTTTCTGGAGCTTTCTATGCATTCATCTAAACATGTATGTACAGAGGGTGAGGCAGTTGCCTCTTCTCTGTGTCATCACATCAGGGTCAAGGGCAGGGACATCTGTGGCTGGGGGCTTCCTCCCTGGACAGCCATTGCTGGAGAGGAGAAGGGAGGGCCGGGAGGGGGAAGCCAAGGGCCTGGAGGTAGGGGCCAGGCCGAGCCACCTACGACAGGGGCCCTGGGTCCAAGGCCTGGACGGGCAGCCAGTGTGGGCTGGATGTGTCTGGAAGGGCTATGTGACCGTGGGCCTTCACTAGCATCACCATCTTGCAGATGGAGGCTGTGAGGGGTGGACTCAACACCAGTGTTTCTCGGAGTGAGGACCGGGCTGCCCAGGGAATCACAGGGGGTTCTAGCCTGTGTGTGGAAGGACATGTTTAAAATCTAAGTATTTGTCTTGGGGAAAAAAAAATCTGTAAATAGGACATTGCCATTGTGACATCATGACTGTATTATTGTCTTAGACGAGGCCAAAGGAGACATAAAAGTGACAAGCCAGCCAATTTGAGAGGAAGTGCCAAGTGCCAGCCCTGCAGGAAGTGCAGGAGGCTGAGGGGGCTGCAGCTCAGGAAGGCGTTTGCTGCACAGCCTTCGCTTCCCACCCAGTTGTCTGTCTTCCCACCTCCAGAGGCCCTGGGTTCCCAAGGTTTACCTGCAGCTCCTGGTGCAGAGTGTGGGGGAGGGGAGGCTCTCAGATTGTTCCAGATTCTGTGGCCCTCAGAAGGGCAGGTGTGAGCTTTGTGGAGGTAGCGTCTCCGGTGGTATTTTCTTTCTTTCTTATTTTTATTTATTATTATTTTTTGAGATGGAGTCTCTGTCTGTTGCCCAGGCTGGAGTGCAGTAGTGACCCTCTTGGGTCACTGTAACCTTTGCCTCCTGGGCTTAAGCCGTCCTCCTCCCTCAGCCTCCTGAGTAGCTGGGACTACAGTTACCACACCACTACACCTGGCTAATTTTTGTATTTTTAGTAAAGTAAAGACGGGGTTTCACCATGGTGGCCAGGCTGGTCTCAAACTCCTGACCTCAAATGATCCATCCACCTCGACCTCCCAAAGTGCTGGGATTATAGGTGTGAGCCACCACCCCCAGCCTCTTTTCTTTTTTTAAGACAGGATCTCACTCTGTCACCCATGCTGGAGTGCAGTGGAGTGGTCATAGCTCACTGCAACCTTGAACTCATGAGCTCAGGCAATCTTACCGCCTCAGCCTTCTAAAGTGCTGGGATTACAAGCATGAGCCCGACGCCCAGCCTTCTAGTGCTGTTTTCATGAAAGAAGCAGCTGTTTACTAGCAGCTGTTTTCCGGGTGATGAGGGTGAAGGTGGTATTGCAGAACATCTTTGCCAGGAGTAGGTCTGGGAGGTTTGCTTGAGGGCATGGAGGTTGGTGTAGGGAGAGCTCAGGAAGTAGAAATTGGGCTGGAGTGTGGCCTCTGGACAGGCCACAGGAGAGTCTCAAAAGGAGAAAAGATCCCAGCACTTTGGGAGGCCAAGGTGGGCGGATCACTTGAGCCCAGGGGTTCGAGACCAGCCTGGGCAACATGGCGAAACCCCGTCTCTACAAAAAATACAAAAATTAGCTGGGTGTGGTGGCGTGTGCCTGTAGTCCCAGCTACTTGGGAGGCTAAGGCAGGAGGATCCTTTGAGCCCAGGAGTTGGAGGCTGTAGTGAGCCATGACTGTGCCACTGCACTCCATCCAGCCTGGGTGACGGAATGAGACCCTGTCTCAAAATAAATAAATTTTTCAAAAGAGACAAAAGTCCGACTCGATGGTTGCACTGGGGACATGCACCCCACTCTACAATTTATAGCTACTGATTTGACCCATTCCCCACCTCCTCCACCGCTCCATATGGTAGGTGCCGTTCACCTCCAGTTTACAGAGGAGACAGGGCCCAGAGGGGCTGTCTATCCTGAATAACCCAGCAGATCGGTCCTCAGGCATCCAGTTGTGCCCACCACAGTGTGGTCTGCTGCCACATTTGAGCCTGGAGTCAGGGCCAGCACACTGTGTCTTTGGCGAGATCAGATGGGGCAAAGCTGAGAACAGGGGCTCTGGTTGGTGCTGAGGGATTCGTGGGGGTGGTCCTTACTGGGAAGATGAGGAATTGGGCTCCTGTGAGGGCCTCCCCTACCCTGCCCTGTGCCTGGACTTCGCTGGGCCCACTGCGGGAGAGAAGAGGTAGGACGAGGCCTTCTGCGTGGCTGGGCCAGGGTGGGCTGTCTCACGTGCTTTCCTGGATGTGTGGTTGGGTCATGCCTTAGCCAGGAGGTAGGTGGTTTGTCCACTCCCTGTCATTGCAAGGGTCACAGAGGTGGCTGGGTGGCCTGACCCTCAGCACCGCTCCTTGCCTCCCTCCTGCTGTCCTGGAGGAAGAGGATGTGGACTTGTTCATACTGAGGTGACACAGCATCCTCTCTCCTACCTCTCCCACTGCCCAGGGAGAGAGCAGCGCTTAACTCCGCTGGAGAAAGTTCCAGGCCTTTGAGGGAGCATGCAGAGTGGGTCACAGTGGATGCCTGTATCAGAGCAGCCCATTCTAGCCTTTCATGGGGTGGGAGGGAGGCATTTACTACTTTTAAAAGACACGTGTGGCCAGGCACCGTGGTTCACACCTGCAGTCCCAGCGCTTTGGGAGGCTGAAGTGGGCGGATCACTTGAGCTCAAGAGTTTGAGACCAGCCTAGGCAACATGGCACAACCCCAACTCTAGGAAAAAATTACAAATATTAGCCAGCATGGTGGTGCATGCCTGTAGTCCCAGCTACGCAGGAGGATTGCTTGAGCCCAGGAGGTGGAGGCTGCAGTGAGCTGAGATCATGCCACTGTACTCCACTCTGGGTAATAGAGCAAGACCCTGTCTCAGATAGATAGATAGATAGATAGATAGATAGATAGATAGATAGATAGATAGATAAACAGATAGATAGACACATGTAGCCAAGAGCTGGAAGTTAGTTGGAACTGGAGAATGAGACCACATCTGAACACCAGCCAGAGAAGCAGGGGTCTTCCAGAGGTTATCCGGTCCAGCATCCCGCCTCCAGGCAGAACTGGACTGTGCTCTGGTCCGGCGGCACGGGTTCCAGCTCTGTTCTGCCTCCTCCCAACAGCGTGTGAGATGAGCAAGGGATGGAGCCTGTTTCTTGCACCTGTGAAATGGGGTTGGTAAAGGTACCCCCTGCATCAGGTGGTTGTAAAGATTAAATGAGCTGATGCACACTCTGCTCCTGGCACAGCGGAGGCGCTACCTAAGTGGAAGTGTGCGTCACTGTCGGTGTCGTGAGGCTCTCGTCTGCCTTGTCCTGCCTTGGGTGGGAGATTGGACCTCCCTGGGGGAGCCTGGGTGGTGCAGGCAGGCAGGGCTGAGCTGAGCAGCCTCCCTGTCACCTACATCCCTCGGACTAATCATTTTCTTTCTGTTCCTCAGTTTCCTTATCTGTAAAATGGGGCTGATGGCAGTGCTCAGGTAGGTTAATGGGAGGGCTAGCTGGGTGAAAACCCTTCCCAGGCACCTGACACTGGTGTGCCCAGGCTGAGAGGTTGCCACACAGTGGCTGGAGCCCCTCCAGCTGTGTGTGCCGGGGATCCCGCCAGCCCCCTCATCTGTGCAGTGGCCCCCTCCCCACCAAGGACAGTAGCATGGTGTCACCCGGCTTGCCATAGGCATCTGGCCTGACCTGCTGCTGCACACGGATTTCTCAACTGGCCACATCATGGCTAGGGCATTGCCCAACCCTGAGTGCAGACCTGCTTGGCCGAAGCACCCTCCGTTCCCTGCTCTCCCCTGGAAGCCTGGAAGCCTTTCTAGAAGGGACCAGTGTTGGGGTGGAGAAGGGTTGGGTGGTGAGTCTGGGACCAGAGCTCCGTTCCTCTTTGGTGGCCTTTTTCCTTGGAATACCTAGGACCGTGCTTTCCTGCCGCCACCAGCTCTCTCATTTTTTATTTTGACAGGGTCTGGCTCTGTTGCCCAGGCTGGGGTACAGTGGCCTGGTCATAGCTCACAGCAGCCTCGACCTCCTGGGCTCAAGAGAGCCTCCCACCTTCACCTCCCAAAGTGCTGGGGTTACAGGCATGAGCCACCACACCCAGCCTGTCCTCTTTGATGGGCCAATTTCACAGGCATTTTCTGAGCACAGCACAGCCCAGTGCTGCCGAGATGAACCTGAGCAGACTCTGTGTTAGGATGGGGTGGGGACGGCTGACCTTGGGCCTGGGAGAAGGTCCTCCCTGTTCTAGAGCACAGCCATCTGGTCAGTTTCTCCTGGCTTGTGAGGCCCTCCCAGACCGGGCCTGACTTCCCTCCCCACTCCCGCCACTTGTCACCGTTATCCACTCTGGGCCAGCCCCCCTGACATTTTCACTCCCAGCTTGGCTATCTCCTGCCCCTTTCCTGCCCTTGGCCCCCACAGTTCCCACTGCCTGGGGTGTTCTCCCCAACTGCTGCTTGGCTGTGTCCTCCAGGTGAGGGCCTCCTTCAGGGGTCCTCCAGCATGGGGAGAAGAGGGGACCCAGCCGGCTCTGCTCTTGAGCTGTTCACTCAGCCGCCTCCCCCACCCCCTTGGCCTTGCTTTGAGCCCCTGTCTTGCTGTGGCTGGGGCCCAAGGGACGCCGGGATACCCTCTTCTCACCATCCTCCCTTTATGTCCCTGTTTCCCCCACCACCGCTGACCACTGGAAGGGTGAACCCACGACTGGGCCTGAGGGAAAGGGAAGCCAAGGGAGGTCTTTGGTGCAGGTACCCCCGTTTCCAGTTGTGTTTCCTGGCCCCAGGCTCTGCCCATTCTTGCCTCCTCCCAGGGTATCAGGACATGCTGGAGGTGACAGGGCAGAAGGAATGGCCATGACCCTCAGACACAGGCCTGTACCCTGGGGAGGAGCTCATGTCCCTGGAAGGCAGAAGGTACCTGCAGTGGGTGATGCCACCACCCGCCTTCTAGGGCCCGGATCCCTGGAGGCCGCTGGACCCAGGGCACCCTGATCGGGGTGCTTTGTCTTCCAGGCCCCAGGCTCTTCCTGCCCTCCAGGGTGCCCTTCCTGCCCCTGTAACTGGCCAGCTTTCCTCATGCTGGCCTCTGAAACAACCTAGTCACACTGCCTCGGGCGCAGCTGACTGAGATCATTGCTTCCTGGAGTCACCGACTGGCTGGGCAGGGAGAAGCCTAGCACCCTGGGATGCAGCTGCTCTGCACAGATGGGGAAACTGAGGCCCTGGGAGCTCTGCAGCCTTGGGGCTGGTGTGTCTTCCTGGTGGGAGCTATGTTGGAGTTGCAGGCCCTGCCCCATTCACAAGCACATCCCTTGGCCTCACTCATGGGAGGGATGTGGACTGGGGGCCAGTCTTGTGGGCTTGTCTTGGTCCTGCTGCTGTTCTTGGGAGTCTGGGTCTCCCTCCTCCTGGGCATCTCCTTGCTGGAGCAGGGGTCCAGGGTGCTGGTGTAGGCTGGGATGAGACCTCCTTCTGTGTGTGTGCGCATCTGGCTCCTGGGCCCCCAGGCCTGTCTCCGGTACCCCCTCTGGCTGGGAGGAGGAGCCCTTTTAAGCTGTCTGAAGGAGCTATTTTAAGGGGGGCCTGGGCTAATGGGAAGTGGCCTCTTTTGATATACCCAGACTCCCTGGAGACACTGCTCCATCCCCTGGGGGCAGGGACCAGCACTTCTGTATCCCTTTGTCAGGCTCAGCTCTCCTGGGCATGGGTACAAGAGCAGAGCTGCCCTTTGGGGGCAGGCAGGAAGTGAGGCTGAGACCCTGGTACTGAAGTGTGTCCCCAGTGCCTGTTTATGTCACGATTTCTCAGGCTGCTCACCCTGGTGTCTGGAGCTGACTGGGGTGGCCCTGGGTGATGGTACTTGCTGTGTGCCCACATCTACGTGAAGCCCCTGAGAACTGGTATTGTTACCAGTCCATTCTGTGGGTTAGGAAACTGAGGCCCAGAGAGGTTCAGGAACATGCCCAAGGTCACACAGCTCCTCCAAGGTGGAGCTGAGATTCACGGCCTGCTGTTGGATCTCAGAGCTTGTGCTCCCAACCACCATGCTTTCCTGCCTTCCCCTTCTGCCCTGCCCTGGCATTTCTTTTCCTCACTTGGCTCATTTATGACAATCTGCCCTCCTCCTGGCATGAGCTCCTCAGGGGACCCATGCCTGTCCTGTGTGTTGTAGCAGCAGCAGTGCCTGCACCTGCTGCAGGCAGGAGCTCAGTGGCACTTGGCAGATGGGGGTCTGGTGGCACCAACATGTGGCCTCTTTCCTGGTGGCAGGATGGGCCCCTTTCCATGTGCAATGGGGGTTTATGAGGTTTTATAGCTATGAGGTCACGTCACTGCTAGAATAGGCCATGGAGCGAAGAGAAGGGTTTCATCCCCATTGCTCAGGTGAGAAACTGAGTCCTGAGAGGCAGGTCACCTGCCAGAGCTCATGCAGTTGGGACTGGGGATTCCAGGGTTGGGGCCCAGTCCTTAGCTGCCAGTTCAGTGCTGGCTGTACCCCCCAGTCTGTGGAGTATGGGGTTTGATGTCCCTGTGTACCAGGCAGGGTTAGATCCTGGGAGCTGGGTAGTGCATGGCTGGACGTGCAGCCAGGTAGTGACAGGTCAGGGTAGCCTGTGCTTCTGTGGGAGGTGCAGGCCCTGGGGAAGCTAAGGAACAAGGCCAGACTGGGAGGGGACCAGGCAGCCTTCCTGGAAGAGGTGGCAGCTCAGGTTGGCCCTGAAGGGCGGGCAGGAGTTCGCCAGGCAGAAGGCATTTGGAGGTGAGGAGGTGGGCGTGTTTTTAGATTGCCGGAGCTGGAGATGAAAGGGTGGGGCTTGTTTGGGGAACCGAAATCAGCCAAATCACGCAGCCACAGAGGAGGCCAGGGAAGCTCTAGAGGCGTTTTTTGGCCAAGGGGTGAGCAGAGATCGGGCTTGGTGTTTTGGGGGGTCCTGGGTAGGTGTGGGAGGCCTCGTTTCGGGGGCCACGGGGCTCCTGTGGCGTGAGACTCCATCACAGTGACCTCCTGTGCCCAATAGCTCCGTAAGGGCAGGGTTTGTGGAAGGAAGGAGTGAGTGACCGGGAATGGGGTCTTGGGCTCCAGGGACAGCCATGGCGAGGGCTCTTCTGTGTGGGTGCAGGTCCGGAAGCTGGGGCTGTGGTTGGTGGGGGAGGCTGGGTGGGGCTGCTTCCCCTGCAGAAGGGCTCTTCCGGGCTCTTGGCGCGGTTTCACGAGGCAGTCCCCTCTGTGTCTCTCGTGCCCCCTAGGCCTGGATCGGGTTCTCAGGAAGCCTCGGGGAAGTGAGGGTCTTAGCGCCTTGGTTTGGGGCTGGGCACTTTGCGAGCTGGTGTCATGGAGGCCAAACTGGGGGCCTCCGGGCCAGGTGGTGGCTTCAGGCTTGCTGTTGGGACAGGAGGCCAGGCTAGGCAGTGACGCCTCACTGAGCTCCATGGGTGGCACGCTGAGCTCTGGGTGGGAGAGGCCTCTCCCACTGACCTCTCTGTGACTGGCTTCTCTGCTGGTCTGAGTGGGAAGGGCCCTCAGAGACCCTGGAGGCCTTTCCTGCCCTGGAGGAGTCAGGCCCAGAGAGGGTGAAGAATTGCCCGAGTCACACAGCTGGTGACAGGGAGAGCTGGGACTGTACCTTACATCACCTGACATTCAGCCCAGGGCTCTATTCCCTGCACTGTGGCAGATGGGGAAACTGAGGCAGGTGGGCCACTCCTCTGCATTCCATGGGAGAGGCAGGAAATTCGACAGGAGCCCTTTGCCGGGTTGGCACTTGGAGCTGTTTTCCTGCTTGCTTTTCCCCAGGGCAAGGTGCTTCCCAGCTGAAAACTGCCTAGGGAGGGTGCTGTTGAGACCGTGAGCACCTGAGAGCCCTGGTCTTTCACTCAGGCCTCTCCTCTCACCTCCACCTGGGAGGCTAAGCTCAGGGTAGGTGTCCTGGCCCACAGGCAGGTGCATGGGCTGGTCCCGCCAGCACCTGCAACCTTCTTGTGCGCAGCTAGCCCAACCTGGGGTCAGGTGGAGGTGGGTAAGTGGGGCCCCCAGCATTAAAGAGCTTCATAGGCTGTCAATTAAGGGGAGGCTAGTGGGCTCTACAGGCCACAGCTACCCAGGGAGCCTTCTTAGGGGAGGAGTTCCTAGGTGGGTCTCAGAGACTCCAAAGTCAGCATTTCCCAAAGGAGGTTCATTAGGGATTCAGTGCAAAAAGAGTCTCATTAACAAAAGGATGGGGAAATGTTCAGCTGTGTTTAATTCAGCAGGCTTCTTTCCTGCAGGACTTGTCAGAGCCTTTAATTTGCTAATGTGTATGGGGGATCTTTAAATGGGGAAGAGGAGAATGTTGAGCTCAGCACCACCTGTGACCAGAAATGGCTGTGGATGTGTGTGGCTGCGCATATGTAGCTTTTCATGTTCCTGCTTTTGGGCAGAATGCACCTCAGGAAATGCAGATAGAGAGTTAATCTGCACTGGGCCTTGGAGAGGGGCAGGCCTGGGTTCGAATCCTAGCTCCACTGTTTCCTAGCAGGTGGGCTTTGGGCTTGGAGGTTAAGGTCCCAGAGTCAGTTGCCCTGGCTAGAAATGGAGCGAGAGCACCCCCGCCCACCACCCTTGGGTAGCCCAGCCCATTCATGGTTCTCTGCAGGTTCTCAGAGGAGACAGCCAGCCAGGTGGTTTTTGGCCCAGTTTGTCTCCCGGCTGGGCTCAGAGGTCGCAGAGCTTGTCTTGAGGCCTGGGTACTGTGCCGTCTCCTGCCAGCAAGCCTGGAAGGCTTGGGCCGAGGACCCGACTCTGCCTGGGATGTCACCTGTGAGCTCCCTCCAGCTCAGACCAATATCACCACCTCCCTCTGACCTGGGTTGGGTGGGACGGCTGCTCCCTTGAGGCCCAACTAGGCCCTACATGGAGGGGTCAGCCCACACTGCCACTCATGGCCCTGGAAAGCCGGCCTGAGTTGCTGACCAATGTTCTCTCTACCTCCCAGAGGCTGGGCACTCACAGACCAGAGTAGGGGCCGGGCCTCCTCACCCCCAGTGCTGCTGGCTCATGGCAGGGTTGAGGGGTGGGGACAGGTGCCGGGCCCTCTCACTTCTGCACCCCATGGCCCTTTCTGACATCTTGGTGATGCATGCCATCTAGACTGGGGCATTTTGCGCCAGGGGTGGCTCAGTACACTGCTTGCATCACCCCCAACTGAATCCTTTCAAAATCCTGTGGGGTAGGACTGTTATTCTCCTTTTGTTAAAATGAGGAAACTGAGGCACAGAGAGTCTGTTGGGTCATGTAATGTATTATTTGTTTTAATATTTAATTTATGAATGAGTGAGATGGAGTCTTGCTCTGTTTCTCAGGCTGGAATGTGGTGGCACAATCATCACTTGCTGCAGCCTTAACCTGAACTCAGGAGGTCCTCCTGCCTCAGCCTCCCAAGTTTGCTGGCTCTACAGGCATGTACCACTGTGCCTGGCTTAGTTTTAAAATTTTTTTAGAGATAGCATCTCACTACGTTGCCCAGGCTGATCTTGAACTTTTGGTCTTAAGCAGTCCTCCTGCCTCGGCCTCCTGAATAGCTGACATCACAGGCATGAGCCAATGTACCTGGCTAGGTCATGCAATTTAGGTGTGATGGGCCTGGGATTCATTTTTCCTATTACACATTTTTTTTTTTTTAGTCACATAAGCAACACACTGACAATAGGAATAGAAACTGAAAATGAGAAGTGGGATTTATCCACTCTGTGAAATCAAGAGTTTTGGTTTTTCTGTGTCCTGGTTCCATCCTTATTTGTTCCAGGCATTGCCATGTGGATTTTTCACAGGATACCCTGTGACGTTAGTTTCAAGTGGCCTCAGGCTTTTTGACAGCTGCATAGTATTCCATTGTAAGGTTGTATCATAATTTATTTCACCAGTTCGTGACTGATAGGTATATTATTTTCAATCTTTTGTTATTACAAATAATGCTTCAATGACTAATCTTGTACTTATGTCATTTCATACTTGTGACAATGTTTGTACGATACATTACTCAAAGTGGATTTGGTAGGTCAAAAAGCAAATATGTCCTTCAGTGACTTTGTTAGGTATTATTAAACTACCTTCACTGGGGGTTGTACTGACTCACATTCCTGCCCAGGAGGGAATGTGAGTGACTGTTTCCAACACAGACTTATGAGACTTATGAAATGCTTTGATCTTTGCCCATCAGATAGGTAAAAATGGTTTTCCATGGTAGTTTTGTTTTTGTTTTAAAGATGGGGATTTTGCTATGTTACCCAGGCTAGACTCAAACTTCTGGGCTCAAGTGATCCGCCTGCCTCAGCCTCCCAAGTAGCTGGGACTATAGGTGCATCCCATTGTGCCTGGCTACCATGGTAGGTTTTTTTTTTTTTTTTTTTTGAGGCGGAGTCTTGCTCTGTCACCCAGGCTGGAGTGCAGTGGCACAATTTCAGCTCACTGCAAGCTCTGCCTCCCAGTTTCACGCCATTATCCTGCCTCAGCCTCCTGAGTAGCTGGGACTACAGGCACCCGCCACCACGCCCAGCTAATTTTTTGTATTTTTAGTAGAGATGGGGTTTCACCGTGTTAGCCAGGATGGTCTCGATCTCCTGACCTCATGATCCGCCCACCTCGGCCTCCCAAAGTGCTGGGATTACAGGCTTGAGCCACTGCGCCCGGCCTACCATGGTAGTTTTAATTTGTGTTTCATTACGAGTGTGGTTAGCTTCCTTCCAAATGCTGTGGGTTGGTTGTGGGTTGCTTTTTTTTTTGAGACAGAGCTTCACTCTGTCACCGAGGCTGGTTTACAGGCATGATCTTGGCTCACTGCAATCTCTGCCTCCTGAGTTCAAGCGATTCTCGTGCCCCAGCCTCCCAAGTAGCTGGGATTATAAGCATGCACCTCCACACCTGGCTAGTTTTTGTATTTTTTAATAGAAATGGGGTTTCACCATGTTGCTCAGGCTGGTCTCGAACTCCTGGCCTCATGTGATCTGCCTGACTCAGCCTACCTAAGTGCCAAGATTACAGGCGTGAGCCACCATGCCTGGCCCTTCCAAATGTTTAACAGTCATTTAGATTGCCTTTTCTATGAACTTTCTCTTCCTAGTCTTCTCCCATTTTTCTATTGGGCTATTGGTCTTCTTTTTTATTTGTGGGAGCTCTTTACATATGAAGGAGATTAGCTCCTTGTGATATGAATCACAAATGTTCCCCTAATCTGTCACGTGTCTTTTGATTGTGCTTTTGGTAATTTTTACCATGTATATTTTGTTTTTTCATGTAACTGAACTTATCAGTCTCTTCTTTATGGCTTTTGGGTTTTGTGTCAGGATAAAAAGGCCATATTCACTACAGCATCATATGAGAATTCTCCCATAGTTTCTTGCTCTCTTTGGAAATAATCCTGGTATAAGTTGTGAATCCAGCTTGCTTGCTGTCTTGTGGATGCTGCCTTTCTAAACAGAATACTAGCAGCCTAAGAGTTAAGACTCAAATGCACATCTTTCCTGTCCCCTTCAGGACAGTGGTTACTCTGGGTTGCATCTGTCCATGGGCCCGTGAAATGGATCTCTCTCTCTCTCTCTTTTTTTTTTTTTTTTTGGCAGAGCCTCACTCTGTTGCCCAGGCTGGAGTACAGTGGTGCAATCCCATCTCACTGCAACCTCTGCCTCCCGAGTTCAAGTGATTCTCATGCCTCAGCCTCGCGAGTAGCTGGGACTATAGGCACGCACCACCACCTTGGGCTCATTTTTCTATTTTTAGTGGAGACAGGGTTTCACCATGTTGGCCAGGCTGGTCTCGAACTCCTGGCCTCAAGCTATCCACCTGCCTTGGCCTCCCAAAGTGCTGGGATTACAGGTGTGAGCCACCGTGCCAGGTCTATGGAGCTCTTCTTGTACCTCCCAGCCCCATTCATGTCTTGCTGTCACTGCTGGACCCACTGTCAGGGTGGGGCCCTAGGCAATGTGGGAAGTCAGCCAGCACCCTCTTGTCCTGGGCAGGACGAGAACCACGTGAGGTCCCCCATGGCCAGCTGGACTTCCCCTTTCTGTTCTTCCTTATCAAGGGAAAAGGGATCAGAAATCTGTTAAATGTGGGCGTGAAAGTGTTTCCCTTCTGAAGGGGGAAGCTAGTGAGGGCAGTGCTTAAAGAAATGAATCACTAATTGAATTTCAAGCAAGAGTGAGGAAAAAGTAGGGCTATTTCTCCAACAGGGGAGCCTGGTTGATTGCTTAGTCAGTTGATAAACACTGTTGCCTGAACACCCGCTGTGTGCAGAGACCTAGCAGATACCCTGGTTGGGGCAGTGCTAAGGATTCTGCCTTCTGGGAGCTCATTTCCTGAGCAGAATTCCCTCTTGGTACCTGGCCTGGCACCTGGTGCACAGAAGGCATGAGTGCACATCTGCTGAAGGTATGCATGGACGAACTCTCCCTGGGCAGTCACTAACTAGCATTAGAATGGGCATGAGACATAGTGGACCTGGATTCATTATCATTGGCAGCTGGAGCCTTGGGGGTGCATTTTAAAGGGGAGATTGATCAGGGTAATGCTTAACCAAATGAATGAAGTGGAGGGGAGGATTTCAGGAACAAAGAACACTTTTTTTTTCCTTTTTTTGTTGTGTCTCTGGCAGTTTTTGGTAACAAGATGATGCTGGCCTCATAGAATGAGTTAGGGAGGAGTCCCTCTTCCTCAATTTTTTTGAATAGTTTCTGTGGGAATGGTACTAGCTCTTCTTCGTATATCTGGTAGAATTCAGCTGTGAATCCATCAGGTCCTGGCCTTTTATTGGTAGGCTATTTATTACTAATTCAATTTAGGAGCTCATTATTGATCTGTTCAGGGAATCAGTTTCTTCCTGGCTCAGTCATGGGAGGATTGTGTGTCCAGGAATTTATCCATCTCTTAGGTTTTCTAGTTTTTGTGTGTAGAGGTGTTTGTAGTAGTTTCTGATGGTTGTTTTTTATTTCTGTGGGGTCATTAGTAACATTCCTGTAGTCATTTCTAATTGTGTTTATCTGGATCTTTTCTCTTTTCTTCTTTATTAGTTTAGCTAGTGGCCTATTTTATTAATTTTTTCAAAAAAAAAAAAAACAACTCCTGGATTCGTTGATCTTTTGAATGGTTTTTTGTGTCTTGATTTTCTTCAGTTCAGCTCTGATTTTTGTCATTTCTTGTCTTCTGCTAGGCTTGGGGTTGATTTGTTTTTGCTTCTCTAGTTCTTTCAGTTGTGAAGTTAGGTTGTTAATTTGAGATCTTTCTAAGTTTTTGATTCGGACATTTAGTGCTATGAATTTCCCTCTTAACACTACCCTAGCTGTGTCCCAAAGAATCAAAGAACAACTTTCTACCCATCCCTAGAAGTAGCTCTCTGGGGCCAGGTGAGAACATCAGCCTTTTCCCTCAGTTTTTCTCCAGTTGCCTATCCTTTTCATTAACTGATTCAGCCTCCACCCCCAGCCCAGTCCCAACTAGGCCAGAGCTGGCCTCAGAGGTCTGACACAGCCCCTCCTTTGCAAGAGGGGAAACTAAGGCACAGGTCAGGCAAGAGACTTGTTTAGGGTCACAGAGCAGGTTGGTGGCTAAGCTGGGACTGGAATGCAGGTTTCTGGTCCCCAAGACTGATCAGCAGCCTGTGCCCTGGGAGTGGGAACAAAGTCAGCCTGGGGGTGCTTGGGGGCTATGGAGGGGGAGCAGGGTTGGCTGGGGGCTCATGCCGTTGGGGAATTTCAGTCTTTGCCCCTGCTCGGCAACTTTGCAGGCTGTTAGGAGATGCGGTGGGGGGCCTGCCCACTCTGCACCTGCCTCTCCCTGGACCCCATGGTTGGGCTCTGACCCTGCAGGGCTTCCTCTGACACTAAGCGTGCCTTCTTGGCCATTTGCCAATTTGTCTTGCAAGCTTGGCCTGTTGGACATCATGACCTGTGCAGACAACCTGGTTATCAGCACCCCCAGTTTACTGATGAGGAAACTGAGGCCAGAGTGTGCAGGCGACTGCTATTCACAGGCCATTGGTAGCAGAGCTGGGATTGGGTGCAGGCATCCTCCCAGAGGCCAAGCGTAGCTGGGAGAGGTGTGCTGTGGCAGGTAAGGCAGGTGCGGCAGGTGCAGCAGGTGCTTCCCGATCTTGAGGGAGGCCCTTTCTTCATCTGCCCTCATCCTTTGGCTGTGGCGCCCTCCTCCCTCACCCATGCCACTCTGCGTGCTTCCCCACCCTGGGCCTGGTGCAGGATTCTGGCTGGCTACCCTGCTCGGCCATTCACGTCACAGGTGTTTGCCAGGACCAGCTGCGGGACACACACACACAGATCCCACCACGACAGTTTGGCAAGTCAGGGGCCGGGATATTGGACCCACACTGGGAAGGCCTCTTGGTACGGGAGGTGCCTGGGAGAGCAGGGCATGGGGGCCACAGGGCTCTGGGGACAGAGAGGGCTGGGCTTGGGGGGATGGGACCTTGAATACCAGCAACATTGAATCCCTGGGTCCCACGAGGTTTACTGGGGGCCTCTTAGGTCAGGCTTGCACTGGGCAGAGCAGCTGCTGGCTTCATGGAGCTCAGGGTCTCTTGAGAGAGTTCGCGTTAATATGAGATTCCCTTGGCAAATGAAAAATCTGCCTGAGACCCAGCCTACCAGGGGAGCCGAGAGCCGGCAGGACCGGGGGCGCGAGACGGAGCATGCAGGTTTTTTGTCTGGAGCTGCGTGGCGTCCCAGGCAGGGTGTGGGCCCAGGGGCCTGAGCGGGGCCTCTTCCCTGGAGGCTTCCATGCCCCCCTCACTCCAAGGTCCCCACTTCCCCTTTTTGAGGCCAACAGGGCCCCAAAGCAGCCCTGAGCCTGCTGAGGCTCGGCCGGAGGAAGCCAGGCTGTGGTTTCTGCCAACAGTGGCCGGGTGAGGAAGTGGGTGTCCTGTCTGCATCTGTGAAAGCTGGGGGTTTCTAGAACATACTCCCTGCAAGGGCTGTGGTTGTGCTGGGGACGCTGCCAGATCAGCTGGACTGGGGAAGGATTTTCCGAGCACCCAGGGACCTGGCCCTGCAGTTGCAGTATGGAGTCCCAGCCTCTTGCTTCCAGCAGGTCTTCTGGCTGGAGAACCTGGACCCAGCCAGCCAGTATTTGATAAGGAGACCACAGTCCTGCCTTAGTTGCAGGGAAGGGATAAGGGAGTGTGTGTGGGGTTGCTCAGCAGGCTTCCTGGAGGAGGAGGCCCTCCTGGAGTTCGCTGGCCTGAACTTGCTCCTGCAAGGCAGAGGGAAGTAATTCGATGGGGTCCCCTGAGCTCCCCACCTCTTGGTCATAGCTCTGTCCTGGGCCTTGTTTGTAGGGAAGAGGTTGGTGTTTTGGGATATTATGGGATTTCTGGATGCCAGCCCCATGAGGGTGATAGGGACCCCGGATATCCTGTGTTTAAATCCCAGCTTTTTTTTTTTTTCCAGACAGGATTCTCTATCACCCAGGCAGGAGTGCAGTGGCATGATCATAGTTCAGTGAATGTAGCCTTGACCTCCTGGGTTCAAGCAATTCTCCTGCCTCAGCCTCTCAAGTAGCTTGGACTACAAGTGTATGCCACCAAGCCTGGCTAATTAAAAAAAAAATAAACAACTTTTTATAGCGATGGGGTCTCATTATATTGCCCAGGCTGGTCTTAAACTCCTGAACTCCTGGCTGGGGCTGGGCTGTGGAGCCTGGAAAGTGTGATGGAGGGATGAGCGGGGCTGTCCCCTCCAAGACCCAGCTCCTTTCTGGAGGACTGGCTGTGTCTGCAGGGGCACACTCTTACCTCTGTGCTGACTGAGACCCTTCCAGTTGACTCTGAACCCACTGAGGGGCCACGGGTGCTTGTTAGACGCAACAAACTGGGTCCAGAAGCCTGATGTGGACTTTGAGACTCTTGGTTGCGAGTGACAGAAGCTCAAACTGGCTGAAGCTGAAAGGGGCATTGCTTGTCCCATGTGGTTAAATATCTAGAGGTTGCGTAAGCTTCAGGCACAGCTGGCTCCTGTGACCCCAGGAGGTGTTGCCAGGCCCCTGTCTTGTGCCAGTTCTCCATGTTGGTGTCAGTTTCAGGTGGGCTCTCTCCTTGTGGTGGCTCGGGTGTCTGCTGACAGTGTCAGGTCACCGACAAAAGAGAACGCCTCTTTCCCTGGGTCAGCAGAAGTCCAAAGAGAGCCTTCACTTCCCAGGCCTGTGGCATTAGGGCTTGAGAGGGACTTTGCTGATTGGCCACACTGGGGTCATGTGGCCCATGAACCAGGGTACTGAGGGTCGGGAGAAGGGACATTGCACAGCAGAAGCATGAAATACCCTCCTCCCATGTGGACACCTTCCCCACAGGGGAGTCCCCTCTTCTTTAAAATGGGGCTGCTCACCCTGCTCTACCACTGGGGTGGTCGTGAGGTGAGAGTAAGTAAGGGACCCCCTGGGACTGCAGTCTCCTCAGGAAGAGGGGACGTGATACCTCTGCTCTTGGTGGCTTTGGAGTTCAGACAGGACCCATGCGGTGTGGGTGAGGGAGTGACAGGGAGGCAGGGCTTGCCTTGAGCTAAGGGAGGACTCAGGGCCAGAAAAAGTGCCCAGTGATGGAGGAGACTGCCCTGAGAGGTGGTGAGCCCCCCCGTCATGGAGGTGTGCAAGCTAACAGCAGGGTCATTCAATCCGGGAGCCCTGGATTGGATGTGTCTCAGACATGGCAGAAGGATTCCTTTATCCAGGGCCTTGTGGGGAGGCCCTCCCTGTTGCCAACTGAGTCGAGGGCTGGTGGAAGAACTGGTGATTGGACAGGAGGCCTTGAAAACTTCCCGGGCAGGGGGTGCCTCTGGGTCTGGCTTTGGCGGGGTGGCTCCTAGGGAGGAGCTGGCCTGGGGACATGCCACTGGTGGTGGGTTCCTGGGCCCCCTCTGGAGATGTGATCAGTGAGTTCATTCCCCCCAGGCCTCACGGTGCCCGGCTTGTTCCAGGAGCTGGCCAAGGTCCCTGGATGGGCTGAAGTCCTTGTGCCCATGTTGTCCACTGTCCACCTGCGCCTGCCTGCCGTTGCCCAGAAAGTGGCCTAATGAGTTCCTTGAGAGGCGTGTTTACCAGGCCTGTGTTCCCACGGGCCCTTGGGACTCTCTCAGCTGGTTCCTCCCTTTCCTCGTGGTGGCCCAGCCTGGCTTTGTGTGCCTGGAGCGGGTGTGTCCACACACTCTCACACTTGCACTTTCATGCACGTGTCTGGCCGCCTCAGCTCTGGTCTGGGGGCTTTGCCTGGGAGATGGAGCAGTTGTGGGGAGTGGCCTCAGCCCTCTGGTGTTTGGAGCTTCTCAGCCTGGCTGTCCTGGTGCACTGGTGTTTGGCAGCAGGCCAGGGGTCAGGTGGGTTTGCTGTTTGTGTGCTGTGGCATCTGGCTCAGTCCCCCGGGATGTCAGTGGGCAAGCCTGGGCTGAGGAGCCCTGGTTTGGGAGCTGGCAGACCTGGGTTTGCATCCCAGCCTATCTGTCCACCAGCTCCAGCAGTGTGATCTTAGGCAACCACTCTGCCTCTCTGGGCTCAGTTCTGCATCTGTGAGACGGTGGTGCCACCTTGGCCTTTGCCGGTTGTGAAGATGAGAGTGAATGTGTGTGCAGGTGCCGGGGGTGACAGGAACTGCTGCTGTTATTACTGCAAAGGGCTATTTTGGGGTGGGGGGTGCTGAATTGAATGTATCTCAGGCAGGGACCTTATCTTGTTTGGCAACCCCCACAGCACAGGGTTGGATGTATATGGTTAGCACACAGTAAATGCCTCTTGTGGAATACAGACTGATTAGTTTAGATTTAGAGGTTGTAAACTAGTGGGCTGCAAATATTGAAAAATTTGAAATCAGCTGCCAACATTTAAAAATCATCATTTCACGTAGAAATCAGATTTGTAGCCTGTCTGAGCACTTTGGGCACTTTGACAGCTCTTGGCCACATCCCTGAAGGGTTGCCCCTCGTTGAACAGGTGCCAAGGCCTGTAGACACCTGCCCAGGCACTGAAGGGGATGGGGCCCCCAGCAAATGACCCCTTCCTCCTTCCCCAAATATGTGGTTTTACCATTTTGTTCCTGGTGTGTGGTGATGGAATAGGAACTTCCAGAGGAAATAGAGCCTGAGGTGGCTCCTGGAATTGAGGTGGCCCCAGGGATCTCATACTAGCAGGTGCTGGTTGGGGACTTGGGGACCCTGGATATCCTGCTTTTTGCCTTTGGGGGCTGGGGGCTCACCTGGCCATCTTCCCTCCGCTGGACCAGCTGTCCTTTGAAGCTTCTGCTGGCGGCTGGCCATTTGTGCCCTGTGACTGCTCTGAGCTGTCCCGTGTCTCACAGCCTCCCTGCCCTCTGCCTCTGGCCCTGTCCTGGTTCCAATCTGAGGCAGGCCTGGAGGACACTGGGGGCGTGGACTCTTGGTCCAGGGTTGCCCCCTTCATGCAAGGTTCCTGCTGGGAATATGGCAGCTGTCCCCAAGTCCCCATTGCTGTGTGAGGGATTGCACAATTTTGGTAATTTTCCTACCTTTGGAGACTGATGGGGATCCCTGGGGAGAGAGAGCCCAGACTAGCACACAGGAGATATAAGGGCTGGCAGGCGTAGGTGTGATTCACAAGCCTTTTTGGAATCAATGAATATGCTAAGGAATGAATGGTGCTGGGGAAAGAAGGAACCCATATGGGCTGAGCATGGCAAGTGTGGGGTCAGCTCACAGTGTTGTCACAAAGGGGCCACTGTGTCCCTCTCTGAGACTCAGCTCCCTTTTCTGTGAAGCACGGCTTGCAGACATCTGAAATTTGTATCAGTGGGCTATTTAAAAAAATAAACAAGATTTTTGCTGGGTACAGTGCCTGAAAGCTTAACACTTCGGAGGCTGAGGAGGGTAGATTGCTTGAGCTTAGGAGTTCAAGACTAGCCTGGGCAACATGGCAAAACCCCATCTCTACAAAAAATACATGGCCTACTGCAGCCTAAGTCTCCCCAGGCTCAGGTAATTCTCCCACCTTAGCCTCCTGCATAGCTGAGGTCCCAGCTACGCAGGAGTCTGAGGTGGGAGGATTGCCTGAGCCCTGGGAGGTTGAGGCTGCAGCGGGCTATGATCACACCACTTCACTCCAGCCTGGGTGACAGAGTGAGACCCCATCTCAAAAAAAAAAAAAAAAAGAGAGAAAGAAAATGCAGTTTTATGTGGAGCTTACTGTAACACAGATGCAGGGGGCTACCCTGGCTGAAGCAGGCATGGGGGCCTGAGCCTATGCCCCCCCACCTTCCCTTCCCATTGGGGGCCTGATGCATGTCCCCAAATCTCAGGGCTCCTAGGATCACAGCTTGGAACCCTCTGTGCCTGGAGGCATGAGACTCACTGGAAAATGAAGTGAATGTGGTGATTGCACCAGGACCATGGGGACAGAGCAGAGCCTGGAAACAGACACCATCTGTGTGTGATCACCTGACTTATGACAGAGGTGGCTCCACTGAAATTCAGAGAGAGGATGGCCGGTTCACTGAACACTGCTGGGATAATTCAATATCCATATGGAAAAAAGAAGTGAACCTTGATCCCTACCTCACACCATACCCAGAGTGAATCGAAATGGATCAGAGACCTTTGTGTGAAAGCAAAACAGTGAAACATGCAGAGCAGAGCTGGCCTGTAGAAGCTTCTGTGATGATAGACATTCTCTGTTTATCTGTGCTGTCCAGTACAGCAGCTGCATGTAGCCATTGGGTATTTGATTTTTTTTTTTTTTTGAGATGGAGTCTCACTCTGTTGCCCAGGCTGGATGCAATGGCACGATCTCAGCTTACTGCAAAATTTGCCTCCCAGGTTCAAGCCATTCTCCTGCCTCAGCTTCCCGAGTAGCTGGGATTACAGGCACACGTCACCATGTCCGGCTAATTTTTGTATTTTTAGTGGAGGGGGGTTTTACCACGTGGGCCAGGCTGGTCTCGAACTCCTGACCTCAGGTGATCTGCCTGCCTCGACCTCTCAAAGTGCTGGGATTACAGGCATGAGCCACCATGCCTGGCTGGCTGTTGAGTATTTGAAATGTGGCTAGTGTGACTGAGGGACTGAATTTCTAATTTTATTTTAAATTAATTTAAATTTAATTTAAAATAGTGGCTGGGCATGGTGGCTCATGCCTGTTATCCCAGCACTTTGGGAGGCTGAGGCAGGAGGATTGCTTGAGCCCACGAGTTCAAAACCACCCTGGGCAGCAGGGGGAGACGCCCATCTCTACAAAAGAGAATTTAAAAATTAGCTGCACACCTGTAGTCCCAGCTACGTAGGAGGCTGAGGTGGGAGAATCACTTGAGCCCGGGAGTTTGAGGCTGCAGTGAGCTATGATCGTGCCACTGCACTCCAGCCTGGGCAACAGAGTGAGGCCCTGTCTTGAAAAAAAAAAAAAAAAGCAGCCACATGTGGCTAGTGGCTACTATCTTGGACAGTGCAGTCCTAGAAGACACAGGGGACTAGCTTTACGACAACAGGACATAAAAGTTAGGTTAGGGTTAAGATGGATAAATCAGACTTGGTGCTGTGAGGCCTGGGCCCCGCTCTCCCTGATGCTAGCCCTCCCCTGACTTGGACCATTAGGTCAAGTTCCTGTCTGCTTCGTCTCCGCAGAGCTGAGGAACTGCGTGTGGAGTCAGCCCAGTCTGGATGCACAGGAGGATGCTGGCGGCACAGTGAGTGAGGCCTGGTGCCAGAGCTGTGCGGACCCCTTGTTGGCCATGGAGCAGCAGGCCCAGAGGCCCTCTCCCCAGCCCTGCTTGCCTGCCTCGGAGAGGACAGAGGCCTAGGCCCACGGGGGAGGGTGTTGGCAGACAGATGCCCTCCAGGCCCTGGGGCCTCCTTAACGGCCCCTTAACGACACGCGTGCCAAGGGTGGAGGATGCCAGCCAAGGGGCGCTACTTCCTCAACGAGGGCGAGGAGGGCCCTGACCAAGATGCGCTCTACGAGAAGTACCAGCTCACCAGCCAGCATGGGCCGCTGCTGCTCACGCTCCTGCTGGTGGCCGCCACTGCCTGCGTGGCCCTCATCATCATTGCCTTCAGCCAGGGGGTGAGTGAGGGCAGCCCCTGGGCTTCACGTCTCGGCCCCAACCTTGGCCAAGCTGCTATCTTCTCTTAGCCTCTTCTGTAAAATGCTTATCTTCTGTAAAATGCTATGCTTTTTTGTTTGTTTTGTTTTGTTTTTGGGTTTTTTTGAGACAGAGTCTCACTCTGTCACCCAGGCTGGAGTACAGTGGCATGATCTCGGCTCACTGCAACCTCCATCTCCTGGGCTCAAGCAATTCTCCTGCCTCAGCCTTCCGAGTAGCTAGGATGACAGGTGCATGCCACCATGCCCAGCTAATTTTTGTATTTTTAGTAGAGATGGGCTTTCACCATGTTGGCCAGGCTGGTCTCGAACTCCCAACCTCAGGTGATCCACCTGCTTCGGCCCCCCAAAGTGCTGGGATTATAGACGTGAGCCACCATGCCCGGCCAATGCTCTGTCTTTTACAGCACATTTAGACTGGTAGAAGACAAGTTTCTAATTTAAAAAAATTTTTTTTGAGACTGGGCCTTGTTTTGTTGCCCAGGTTGGCCTTGAACTCCTGGGTTCAAGTAATCATCCTGGCTTATCCTCCTGAGTAGCTGGGAGTACAAGCATGCACGACCATGCCCAGCCTCTCTAACTTTAATTCAGTTTTGAAGTCTGGAGTGGTTTCAGACATTACATTAACTTGTCCAGATAAACTACTCTCATTTTTCTCCATGATGAAATTCGATTCTACTGAAGACCTGGGTCAGGGATGGCCTGTGTATCACTGCCCTCACTTCCTGTACCCATGCAGACATCATTAATCAATCCCTACATTCCACACTGAGCCTGTCTACATTCTCAGAATCCTCCTTTTGTTTTTTTTTTGTTTGTTTGTTTTTGTAGAGACATGGCCTCGCTATGTTGCCCAGGCTGGTCTTGAACTCCTGGCCTCAAGTAATCCTCCTGCCTTGGCCTCCCAAAGTGTTGGGATTACAGGTGTGAACCACTGTGCCCGGCCTCAGAATCCTTTTTAACACAGCTCTCCAGGCTGGCACCACCTATGTCATTTCCGGCCCAGGCACTTGCCTTGGTACAGCCACTAGCTGTGTTTAGCTATTGAGCATTTAAAAAGTGGGTAATGTGACTGAGGAACTGCATTTTTCAAAAAAAAGAGTTTTGCTCTTATTGCCCAGGCTGGAGTGCAATGGCACCAACTTGGCTCGCTGCAGCCTCCACCTCCTAGGTTCAAGTGATTCTCCTGCCTCAGCCTCCCGAGTAGCTGGGATTACAGGCCCATGCCACCACGCCTGGCTAATTTTTGTATTTTTAGTAAAGACAGGGTTTCACCATGTTGGCCAGGCTGGTCTCAAATTCCTGACCTCAGCTGATCCACCTGCCTCGGCCTCCCAAAGTGCTGGGATTATAGGCGTGAGCCACCATGCCCAGCCCATTTTCTTTTTAGTGAATGTAAATTTGATTAGCTGAGTTCTAGAAGAACACTCAGAAACTCCAGGGTGTTTATGTGAGTGAAGTGGCCAGGACCTAGCAGCTGCCAGTGCAGCCTGGATCCATGTGGCTACCAACCACAGGATGCTTGCTACTGTGTGCCAGCCCCCAGATCAGGCCTCTGCCCCCACGGACCTCCCGGATGCTGTGCCCGTCCTGTCCCACCTCTGTGCCATTGCCTCAGCTCCTCCCCTGTGGGATGACTTTTCCTGGTATCCCTCACCAGCCTCTGCTCACTCACTGAGGGCCAGGCGCAGTGTCCTCTTTGGGCGGCTTTACAAGGCTCTGCCTGTGAATGAGTCCTGCCCTGTGCTTGTGGTATCACCTGCGGCTGTGCACAGAGCACCGTGGGAACCCAGAGAGGAGGCAGAGGCAGATGGAGAGTGATGGCATCATGGGCGGGGCTGTGGGTGATGCTCTGGTTCCCGAGATGATGGGAAGGGGGTGGTTGAGGCAGCCTTGGCAGAGGTGACAAAGGCCAGAAGGTGAGTGGGAACCAGGTGTGGGAGGGTGCATCCACACCCTTCACGTGGAGGAAGCTGTAAGTGAGGCAGCCGGCCCGGCAGGCTTTCTGGAGGAGGTGGCTCTGCACTGGGGAAAGCCGAGGCATTCCTGTCTGTTTGCTCCACCCAGGACCCCTCCAGACACCAGGCCATTCTGGGCATGGCGTTCCTGGTGCTGGCGGTGTTTGCGGCCCTCTCTGTGCTGATGTACGTCGAGTGTCTCCTGCGGCGCTGGCTCAGGGCCTTGGCGCTGCTCACCTGGGCCTGCTTGGTGGCGCTGGGCTATGTGCTGGTGTTCGACGCATGGACAAAGGCGGCCTGTGCGTGGGAGCAGGTAACAGGAACTCTGGACTCCCTGCCAGCTGCGCCTTCAGCAGCTCCCATCCCCGTGGTTGGTGGGCATGCCACAGGCCCTTCGTGCCCCACGCTTGGCTGTGTGTCTAGGATGGCCCCAGGCTGGTTTTGTCCCTGTGAGTTCTCTGCATTGACAGGGCTGAGGTGGGGAGAGCATCCACTCGGACGCTGGGCTGCAGCACTTTTGGGTGGCTCCAGTTTGGTTGGAGATGACAGAACTTCAGCTCAAAGAGGCAAAAAGGCACAAACTGGTTCCTGTGTCAGGAAAGGCCAAGGGGTCAGTGCTGGGCTCCAGTGGGTAACTGGAACTGGGGCCTCTGGACAGCTTCGGCCCCGGGCACGCTGTCCCCAGGTGGGGGCAGAGAAGTTCACAGCGGCTCCAGGCTGCCCACCCCAGTTGAGAGAGAGGGCCCTTTCTCAACCAGCTCGACCTGCAGGCTTGAGCCACACTGGCCTGGCTGTGGTCATGGGCCCAGTCCCAGAGAGGCTGTCACCAAGCGGTAGCACACTCTGACCAGTGGGCCTGGGTCCTATGACAGCTCCTGTGGCTGGGGCAGGGTGGGGTGAGGCCCAAGGAAACCATGTGGACTGAAGGGGAGGGAGAGGGCAGCACTCCCAGAGGGGTGGACGCAGGACCAGCCGGTGGGGATGGTGGGGCAGCTCTGGGGGTGGAGGGAGGGCGGGTGGGGCCGCATTGCTGGAGGCAGCTGGTGAGAGGGTGCCTCAGCCTCCCGGTAATCATTTCTGCTGAGCGAGAACCACGTGGCAGGGGCACCAGGTGGGGGCTCCCTGGATCACGCGGGGCATGGAGCCTCCCACCTAGGGTGGCCACAGGCAGTGGATCAGCACAGGAAACCATGAACCTTGTGGCCGGGCCCACCCTAGAAACACATTATGGCTTTTCTTGTTCCCTTGTATGTCTGCCCACGCAGGGGGTGGCGAGGGAGCCAACCTAAGGATACGCACTGGGTGGGCTGCTGTGGTGCAGGGTTCCGGGGGCTGTACGGCCTGGGGCAGCATCTTGGGGCACCGGGCTCACCAGGCTGCATCCACAGGTGCCCTTCTTCCTGTTCATTGTCTTCGTGGTGTACACACTACTGCCCTTCAGCATGCGGGGCGCTGTCGCCGTTGGGGCCGTCTCCACTGCCTCCCACCTCCTGGTGCTCGGTTCTTTGATGGGAGGCTTCACGACACCCAGTGTCCGGGTGGGGCTGCAGGTGAGGGATGGGCTAAGGCCTCTGGGGGAGGTTTTGTGGTCTGGGTCTAAGGGCAGATGGGGGGGCCCCCTCTGGGTGAATCAGACCCGAAGGCCCCGGAGCCGTGTTTGCAGACAGCCCGCTCCAAGGCCGGGCCCTCTCCACGTCTGCTCGGAAGCTGGGCTCCAGGCGTGGCCCTGCCCTCTGGCCTTTGCTTTGCTGGCCTAGGGCTCCCCTGTGGCTCAGCCCTCAGGGTCGTGACCTCAGGCCTTGCCTCCCGGTTCAGGGACACTGTCGTGGGGTGAGTCCCATTGCCGAAGTTTCCCCTCGAAGGCCCTGTCCTGGCGGGGCTTGGGGGAGTACCCCAGGGCACTGCCTTGTGTCTTTGTGTTGAATGAGTGAATCTTCTGTTCATAATTATTGGGTGTTTAGAGAAGTGTTTTCCCTCTGACCAGGCCTGGTGTCCTCTCCAGGCAGAGGCTGGCCCTCCACACAGCCAGCTGGGCGCTGTGCCCTCTGGGACTGCCCTTAGCACGCATGCCCCTCGGGCCCTGGGCTCTGTGAGGTGGTCTCTTCTGCCTCCCTGGGTGTCCTGGTCTTGCAGTCCTAGTGACTCACTAGGAGACTAGCTCCTGTCTGGGCCTCAGTTTCCCTGTCTGCCCCAGGAAGAGTGCCATTCTCAGTGGGTTGAAGGTCAGGGAATGGGAAGAGGTGCCATCACTAGTCCGCCTAGGGGTCTGGTGCCTCGGGAGGGCATGGGCCAGGCCACATAATGAGCCAAACCCCTGTCTACCCGCAGCTGCTGGCCAACGCAGTCATCTTCCTGTGTGGGAACCTGACAGGCGCCTTCCACAAGCACCAAATGCAGGATGCATCCCGGGACCTCTTCACCTACACTGTGAAGTGCATCCAGATCCGCCGGAAGCTGCGCATCGAGAAGCGCCAGCAGGTGGGACCCGGCCCCCACTCCTCACCCTGTACACCCCTGTCCTCTTCCTCTTTCTGTTGGACATGAGACACTCATGCTGCCATGTGCATGAGGTGCATGGCCAGACACCCATGCAGGTCTCACCTCGGTGAGTCCTGGGCTCCAGCAGGGTAACCATAGCCTGCTGACCCTTGACTCTGCCTTCCTCTGTGTGGTTTCAGTCCTGGGCACGCAGTCCCCAGGTGGCGGCAGAGAAGGCCGTAGTGGCTCCAGGCTGCTCACCCATCAGCTTAGCCTCCCCAGCTGAAAGAGCCCTTTCTCAGTCACCCTGAGTCCCGGGGGCTGCTGGGTACATGGGAGGTAGATGCTCAGTTGGGTTGGTGGAGGACAAGAGCAGAGATGGGGACATTGTGGGCAGGGCAGGCAGGCAGGGAGGATGGGGGCCAAGGAGGCCAGGTCTGGGACCTGATGCTACCCTGCCTGTCCCCCGCTGGTCCCTCCGCCGGTCGCTTTGCTGGTCCCTCTGCTGGTCTGCCCACCCACACCCAGGAGAACCTGCTGCTGTCAGTGCTTCCGGCCCACATCTCCATGGGCATGAAGCTGGCCATCATCGAACGGCTCAAGGAGCATGGTGACCGTCGCTGCATGCCTGACAACAACTTCCACAGCCTCTACGTCAAGAGGCACCAGAATGTCAGGTGGGCGGTGAGACGTGTGATTAGCATATCCCGGGGACTGGGCCCACCGTTCCACCGGCCCCCAGGCGGCCTCCCCGCCCTATCTGGAGGCTCAGACCCCTGCCCATATAGGGATTGGGAGAGGGCCCCATGGTTCCAGGTCAATCTGGGGCCCTCCCTGGGTCTCAGAACCCCCACTTGTGGGCAGGATCAGATCAGGGCTCTTAAATTAGAGAATTTAGATTGGTATTGAAAGATCTAGCACACCCCCAAAACTGTAAAACTGTGTGAGCAAACATAGCTTTTGTGAAGGAAGGGGTCCTTTCAGATGGTTCTCAAGGGAGCACAGGACCCCCAGAATGAGGTAAAGCCCCCCGGCCTTGGTGCCCAAGAGTGCCCCGGTTCTGACACCTGTCTTTGGCTGATTTGCAGGGAACCACAAAATTTTACTTGAATGCACTGACCTGAGTTTGTCAAGTGTCGATGTGGGTGCTGGGTGCCGTTGAGTGTAGATGTGGGTCCCAGGAGACCCCCTGGGTCCTCTGCCTGCAGCGCCAGCATTACATCCAAGGCTGGCCCGCTGCCTTTTCTCTGGGCTGTGGATGGTCCATGAGCTTAAGGACTTTGGAGCAGGGAGAACTGGTGCAGATGCCAGCTCTTGGCTTCCCAGCAAGTCTCAATGTCCTGGAGCCTCAGTTTGTGCATCTGTAGAACGGGAGTTCGGCAAGGGCTGTGTGAGGACTCGATGCCTGTAAAGTGCTGGGTGTGGAGGTTGGCTTGAGGGAGCATGGAGCTGCCTCTCACCAGGGAGTTCTGAAGTCTGTGCTGTGGTGAACATTGGATGGGAAAGGGGAAGGCTCCGGGCTGCCTGCAGGAGTGCCCTTCGGCTGTCTGCAGTGATAGGGCCTGGGGTGGGGCCGAGGGCTCCTGTAGGCTCTGAATTTTGCTCCCTTCTGCTTTAACGTGAAGCCCCTGGAACTTTAATCTGTCTCTATGGCTGGGCGCGACTCTCCCATCCCTATGGAGGCTGAGGAAGGACGGGGGTGAATGGGCTCAGGCCTGGCAGGCTCCTGGGGCTCCAGACAGTCCTGCGTGCTCCTGCTGCTGCTGTCTAGGAGCCTGGCTCTGACACTCCCTCCCACCCTGCCCCATCCCCAGCATCCTCTATGCGGACATCGTGGGCTTCACGCAGCTGGCCAGCGACTGTTCTCCCAAGGAGCTGGTGGTGGTGCTGAATGAGCTCTTTGGCAAGTTCGACCAGATCGCCAAGGTGAGCCCGCTGGCCTACAATGGGCAAAGCCAGGCCCCTCCCCTGCCTATTACACCCCAGGGGTGTCCTGTGTTCAGTGCCCTGCTGGAATTGGGATGGGGAGGCGTGGCTGAATTTTAGCATCCAGCCAGCAAACACAAGCGCCCCATGGTAAAGGTGGGGGTGAGTGGTGGCCACGGCAGCCAGGATCCTGTGCCCCCAGAGTGACAGGCCAGTGGGGAGACTGACAGTGCACACTGGGCGATATACTGGGGCTCTGGAGCTCAGATGGGGGCTCAGGAGGAGGAGATGGCTCCATCCTCACTGGCAAGGCTAGCAGCCTCCACTCACCTGGTAGCTCAGGAGGACTGTGGAATGCCCAGCCTCACCCAGAAGCTGCTTTTCACAGGATCTGAGGTGAATCATGTGCACATTAAACTTTTACGTTTTGTTTGTTTGTTTTTGTGAGATGGAGTCTCATTCTGTCATGAAGGCTGGAGTGCAGTGGTGCCATCACTGCTCACTGCAGCCTCGACCTGCCAGGCTCAAGTGATTCTCATGCCTCAGCCTCCTGAGTAGCTGGGACTACAGGCATGCACCACCACGCCTGGCTAATTTTTTTTTTTTTTTTTTTTTTTTTTTTTTGTAGCAATGGGGTTTCGCCATGTAGGCCAGGCTGGTCTCGAACTCCTGACCTCAAGTGATCATCCCCTCTTGGCCTCCCAAGTGCTGGGATTACAGCCGTGGGCCACCACTCCTGGCCCACCTTAAAGTCTGAGATACTTGAAAAAATATCTGAGGAGGAAAGGGAACAGTGTTCTTAGCAGGGGGAACAGCATAGACAAAGCCTGGAGTAGAAAGAAAGCCCCGTGTGTCCATGGGGTGAACGTGCTCAGTGTGCGTGTGAGGTGTGAGGGGGACAAGGGCACAAGGTCTGACATGCAAGGACATGAGGGCTGAGGCGAGGACCAGGATGCTGAGGAGCTCGACACGTGCCAGGCAGGGAGGGGGTAAGGCAAGCAACATTTCCATTAATGGACCAAATGGTCCTGAGAGAGGGTAAGTGCCAGGCCCTGAGTCTGGGTGGGGCCTTGGGCCTACATGGTATGTGCTTTGAAGAAGAGAAGTGTGGGGGCCAGGAAGCCTGGGGAGCACCTAGCCCAGCCTCAGGTGATCAGGGCAGGCTTCCTGGAAGTGGTGGCCATTAAATAGAGACTGAAGTGTAAGATTTAAGGTGGTGGCTCCCTATCCTGGCTGTACATGCAAATCACATGGAAAGCTTAAATAAAACACCAGTGCCCATGTCCACACCCATCAGAGTTCTGTTTTGTTTTGTTTTTGAGACAGAGTCTTGCTCTGTCACCTAGCGTGAAGTGCAATGGCATAATCATGGCTCACAGCAGCCTCAACCTGCCTGGGCTCAGGCGTCCTCCCACTTCAGCCTCCCGAGCAGCTGTGACTACAGGTGTGCACCACAACCCCAGGCTAATTTTTTTGTATTTTGTGGAGATGGGGTTTTGCTACATTGTCTAGGCTGGTCTTGAATTCCTACGCTCAAGTGATCCACCCACCTCAGCCTCCCAAAGTGCTAGGATTACAGGCATGCACCATCATGCCCTGCCCCATCAGAATTTTTTTTTTTTTTTTGAGACGGAGTCTTGCTCTGTTGCCCAGGCTGGAGTGCAGTGGTGTGATCTCTGCTCACTGCAAGCTCCGCCTCCCGGGTTCACACCATTCTGCCTCACCCTCCTGAGTAGCTGGGACTACAGGCGCCTGCCACCACGCCTGGCTAATTTTTTGTATTTTTAGTAGAGACGGGGTTTCACCATGTTAGCCAGGATGGTCTTGATTTCCTGACCTTGTGATCCGCCTGCCTCGACCTCTCAAAGTGCTGGGATTACAGGTGTGAGCCACTGCGCCTGGCCAGAATTTGTAAGAGCCCCGCAGGTGTCTCTGTGGGCAGAGAATCAATGGTCTAGAACTTGATGGGAGGCAAGTTATGACTTCACACTGGGAAGAATTTTTCATGATCAGAGCTACTCAATCCCAGGAGGGACTGGAAGTGGGCTCCCTGTTGCAGGGGGTAACCAAGCTTCTACAGGATTGCACTGGTCAGGGATGCTCTGGAAAACTGTCCCATCCTGGGGATTGTGGACTGAGTGACTCAGAGGGCCTGTCTAGCCTGGAACCTTCCTTCAGGATCTGCATGGCTTCTGAACCAGCAGCTGGGAGCCCCAGAGGTTGGGCCTCATGTGAGGCAGGGGCCCTGGGCTCGGGCCACAGCTGGCCCTTTCCTTACCATAAAGCCCACACAGAGGGTCCCTTGCCCTTGGACACAGTCTTCCCTCTCCAGCAGGCCCAGGAGGCGTGGCCCTATTGCACAGATGGGGAAAGGGAGGCCATGGCAGGTGCCAGCTTCCCAGTCAGAGCATCTAATCTCTGGGCAGAGTTGGGCAGGGCTGGTCCCAGCCTTTTCTCCTATCAACAATCAGATTCCAGAAGTGTAAGCTCTTTCCAAGAGCCAGGGCCTCCTCTCTCAGAGGCATACAAGTCACACCTCCGCACAAGACCCAGCTCCCCAACTCCAAGTGTCAGAGACACAGGGGACTGTCAGCCGGTGGAGCAGCCGGGGGAATGTGGCCTCTCCTACATCCCCGAGAGCTGGGCTGGGTCCATGGGCAGTCCTGTGCCTGGTCCGAGAGGAGATCAGGGTAGCTGGAGCCTAGTATCCAGGTCTGCCAAGATTGCCTGCTTTCTAGGAAAGCCACTGTCCTCTTGTCCTTGCAGTCACTCAGAACTCACTCAGCATGTGCCAGATGGGGCCCAGCAGGAAACATCTGGCACACGCTGAAACTGAGTAATTGGCGGAGGGCACAGGCCAGGGATGGTTCCCAGGCTGGGCAGGTGCAGGGGACCTGGAGGCAGGGCTGGTGCTGTGTCTGGGGCCTGGGTCTGTGATGGCTGATGGGCACAGAGTAGGGACGAGGACAGGATAGGCTCGAGTCCTGGAGACAGATGGTGTTCCAGGAGCAGGCCTAGCCCTCGTGAGCCTGCAGGACAGAGCCCTCTTAGCTCCCTCCTGGCCAGAAGCCAGAGCACAGGGCCACCTGCTGGGGCGTCCAGTCCGAGGGTCAGCTGAGTGGGGTAGAGGGTGGGGAGGGGAGAGCAGAGGCAGATGGCGCTCCTTCTTCAGCTCCCCTAAAGCCCCACCCATGAGGCCTCGGTGCATGTGGCCACCCTTGCTGAGGGCTTAAGGAGGGTCTGGTGACGCAGCAGTGCCTCAGATGAACCTCAGAGGGCTCTCGGGGGTCCCCTTCTCTCCCTGGGCCTTTTCCTATGAGTCCCCACCCTCGCCGCTCTCCTACTCTGCCCTCCCCATTCCCTCTTTCCTCTCTGCATTGATATCTTTCCTCCCCACCCCTAAGCCCTGTCAGCACAGCCACTGCTTGGGTGACCTTGAAACCTGCTGATCCCTTGGTGTGTACACCTGTGACCTCTGTCCTCACCCCCCACTCCTGCAGCCTCCTGGCTACCTCGCAGTCTCTTCCCCAGCTTTGTGGCCCCAGGGCTCCTGTGAGTCCTTGAGTACTCTTCCTGCAGAGACTGGCATGGCCGGCTCTCTCGGTTCCTCGGGGTCTTAGCTCAAATGTTTCTGATTCCAACTCTGAGAGGTCTTCGCTGGCCTCCTGGGAACATCACTTCCCTCCTGTGCCTTGGTTTTCTCCTTAGCCCCCATCACAGCTGGGCACACTGTTTTGTTTTTGTCTTTCTAGTTTAGTGCCCACCCCTCCTGCCTACGTGCAAGCTCCGTGGCTGCAGAGATTTGCATCTATTTTGTTCACTGCTGTGTCCCCTTGCCTGGCCTGGGGCCGGGTACTCAGTAGGCACTCAAACATTACCTGGGCAAATGAAACCAAGGCAGACCCCTCCCCGAGGCCCTTAGGAACACTCGTGTTCACCTCTGGTGCTTGCCTGGGGGTTCCTCCTGGGGAGGCCCCCATGTCGCTAAGCCTTTTGCCAGGCCCAGAAGTGGCTCCTGGTGACTGGACCCCAGGAGGCAAGCCCCCAGCCAGGAGAGAGCCGGGTGCACCCTGGAGGGTGGGGGGAGGCGGCTGTCGTGAGAGGTCCCAGCCCCACATCTTCCAGTGACCAGGCCCTTCCCTCACCCTGCAGGCCAACGAGTGCATGCGAATCAAGATCCTCGGCGACTGCTACTACTGTGTATCGGGCCTGCCCGTGTCGCTGCCTACCCACGCCCGGAACTGCGTGAAGATGGGGCTGGACATGTGCCAGGCCATCAAGTAGGTCCTGGGCGGGCCCAGGCCCTGGGTCCTGCCCTGTGGCGGACCCTCCTGGGCATGGTAGGGGATGTGTCATTCTCATGTCACAGATGGGGAAACTGAGGCTCGGGGGGTTGGGGGTGAAAGCAGCTTGCCTGGACCACCCAGCCTGCTGGAGGATTCAGACTTCATCTGTTTGCGTCCCTCCCTGTGGTGCTGCCTGTGACTCTGAGTCCCAGAAAGCATCTCCGGAGCTCAGAGCTGGGTGATGTGAGGTCAGGGCGGTGGGCTCCGCTCCCCTCAAGGATGGGGTCTTAGCAACAGCAGGAGGCTTCAGGGTAGGCAGCCGGGGGACCTTTCCGACCCAGGGGTCGACTCCAAGGCTCCATCTGCTTCCTGCTCCCCAGTGAAGATCCTGGAGTCAGGCTTGGTCCTGAGGCTGCGGGGAGACCCCCCGCTCCCCTCTAGGTCCCCTGTGGCTCTGAGCAGCTGGGGTCTGTGGGAGGAATTTGCCGAGAGGGCTGTATGGGGAGAGGGCCAGGCAGGCCCAGCCAGGCTGACCAGTGTGGGGCAGAGCAGGGCCCGGTGGGGCTGCCCGTCCTGGATATCAGGCCGTGTTCCAGCCTGTCCTTCTCCTGAAGTCCTGCCATAGGTGGCTGGTGTTGCCAGAAAGAAGCCTGGGCAGAGCTGGAGGGGCCTGGCCTGCACCACTGCCTGTGTGACCTCAGGCTGGCCCCTGCCCTGTAACAGGCGGAGGTTGTACAGGCCCTCGTGCACCTCTGGTTCCGACCCTGGAAGGCTTGGTCAGTGCCCAGCCTTGTTGGTGGACACGTGGTGCCGCTTGTCATGGGGACTCAGGCTCTGTTCCTGTCTTGGGCGTCCCCTGTGCCCCAAGGAAGCTCTCCCGTGGGGCTCTGCTCCTGTGCTCAGTGGTGCTAACAACTCCCAGGGCCCCTGCTTCCCAGGGATTGGGGGGGCATAGAAGGTGCCCATGGTCTGGGCCCCTGTGTTCCTTGTCTATGCTAGGTTTTGGGTGGTTCCTGGACCCCCTCTGTAGACGCCAGTAAACTTTATTTATTTATTTATTTATTTGAGATGGAGTCTCGCTGTGTTGCCCAGAGCGTATCTCGGTTCACCACAACCTCTGCCTCCTGGGTTCAAGCGATTCTCCTGTCTCAGCCTCCCAAGTAGCTGGGACTACAGGCGCCTGCTACCATGCCCGGCTAATTTTTATATTTTTAGTAGAGTCAGGGTTTTGCCATATTGGCCAGGGTGGTCTCAAAACTCCTGACCTCAGGTGATCTGCCTGCCTCAGCCTCCCACAGTGCTGGGATTACAGGCATGAGCCACCACGCCCGGCCCCCAGTAAACTTTTAAAACCCAGCCGGTGCTGCTGGGCAGGGAAAACACCCAGTGATGGTATTTTAGGTCCATCAACATGGGCTGTAGTGACTAGTTGGAATTCCTCCTCCCTCCTACCTAGTCCTTGAGGTCAGCTGTGGCCACACCTACTTGTATGCTCCTGGGGATGGGGCACTCAGCTCTTCCTGAAGAGGCAGCCCCATCAGGCTGAGAACATTCTCTCCCGTGGGCTGAGCGCCTGCCCTGTTCCCACATGCTGCCCTGTACCCACCCCACACCTGGGAGCTTCAGCCTGTCCCAGGGCTTAGGCAGGGCTGGGGTGACTGGGCCACTCTGCCCCAGGCAGGTGCGGGAGGCCACGGGCGTGGACATCAACATGCGTGTGGGCATACACTCGGGGAATGTGCTGTGCGGGGTCATCGGGCTGCGCAAGTGGCAGTATGACGTGTGGTCCCACGACGTGTCCCTGGCCAACCGGATGGAGGCAGCCGGAGTACCCGGGTGAGGCTGGGCTGGGTAGCCGCAGGGACAGAGGCCTGGGGCTGGCTGTGGATGGAGGGTTCTGCGGTTGGGGGTGGGGGTCAGGTGTGGAGGGAGAGATGAATGTAGAAAAGCTGGCCTGGGGCCCAGGCCTGCCTGCTGTGCATCCCTGGGTGGATGCCAGCCCTCTCTGGGCCCCAAGGCTCTGCCTGACTTGGGTCTCCCGTAGCCGGGTGCACATCACGGAGGCCACGCTAAAGCACCTGGACAAGGCGTACGAGGTGGAGGATGGGCACGGGCAGCAGCGGGACCCCTACCTCAAGGAGATGAACATCCGCACCTACCTGGTCATCGACCCCCGGGTACGAGGGCTCAGAGGCCGCAGCTGGGGGGGACCCGGAGGGACTGGAGGGGCCCTGGAGAGCCTGGCCCGCACCTTGGAGGAAACCCCCATGTGGAGGGAGAGGTGGGGAAGGGCCCTGCCTGGGCAGGAGTGAGCTCCCTGTTCCCAGGCACATTCTAGGCACCGAGTAGCCACTCCCTGGGCCTCCATTCTTTTCTATGTGATGGGAAAACAGCGCCTGCCTCACCAGAAGGAGCTAATCCGAGCGAGGCCTTCACAGTGCGCCTGGCACGTCACAGCATTCTATGTATTCTCGTCACTCTTGGTTTATTTTCCATGAGGTGGTTATTAATCTCCCAGATTTCCGAGAGACACACTTTCAAAACAAGCTTTGGATGAAACTCAGGAAAGCAGGGAGTGGCCTGGGAGCCACTGGGCAGGAGCCTCTGAGTGTCCTGGGTGCTGACTGCAGGTCCCCTGGTGGCTCCAGGACCCCACGGTGGAGGAGGCAGTTCCACTGCCCTGGCCAGGTGGGGCCCGCCTTGGCCTGTCTGCTGCCCGACCCTGGCCTGCTTCAGGGAGTCCGGCACGTCTGGCCACTTCTCTGTGAATCATCCATGAGGCTTGCTCAAGAATGTCGGCCCAGCCAGCGAGTGGCTCCTTTCACTCTGGTCCTCGCTATGCCTTGGGGCTGGCCCGACTGCCAGACCCTGGGGGACCAAGGGCTGGCCTGTGAGCCTCCCTACACATCTGCTGGCCTCACTCTGCCCCCAGCACCCCCAGTGCTGCACCATCCATACTGAGCCAGCATCTGGGAAAACCCCTGCCGGTACCTGTGTCCCATTCCACCACCCTCCTAGAATAGGGCCCTGATCCTCGCCCTGTACCCCGGCCCTGGCCCCGCCCCTCCAAGCCCCTTCCCCTGCTCTCCTGTCCCCCTCACCCCACCTGGTCTCCTCCTGCCCTTCCACTACCAGGGTGGTGGCACCCGCAGGTCCCTGCACTCAAAACACTCCTCCCTCCGTCCCTAATGCCCTTGCTTGTTTATCCATTTTCCTTGTCTGTTGTCAGCATGAGTGCCATGCCGGGGGGCTCCTCCTCTCCAGGCTGCAGCCCCCCACCCCGTGCTGAGATGGATGCCCGGCTCGAAGCTAGTGCTCAGATAGCCCTTGAATGAGTGAAGCAGAGCTCCTCACCCAGGAGGCTCCAAAATCCACCCCCGCAGGCTGCCAGGTTGAGCAGGGAAAACTGCAGGCTGCCTGGGCCGACTTGAATTTCAGATAACTGTAAATCATGTTTCGCATAAGTGTTGCACGCAGTACTCAACTGGACAGTTGTATTTATTTGGCGGCCCCACCTTCCCCCCACCCCACCCTACCCCACCCTCTTTTTTGTTTAACTTCATTTATCCACGCAGTTGAAAGTTCAAAAGGTGTGAAGGGCGTGTTGTAGAAAGACTCCTTGTCCCCAGCCGGCACATCTCAGAGGGGACCTGTGCAGTGAGTTTCTTGTATTCCCTCCACAGGGATTTTCACGGACACCGAGTGAACTGCGAGTCCCCCCACCCTTCTTGCTAAGGTGGCAGTGGCGGGCCCCATGGTCGCGCACCCTGCATTTTTCCTACCTTGGGGACATCCCTCCTGTGTGCAGGGTGCTCGTCTGTAGCTCCTGTTTTTGACATGGAGGTGGATTTTCTGCACTGGCTTCTATGGGCTCTGCCTTACGCCATTGCTGTGTGGCCTGGCTGGGGCAAGGTGGGCTCCTGTGGACTGGATGGTGGCTGCAGCTGCCCCCGTGGGGCTCATACCAATGCCATGCCCATTCCGAGTAGGCATGTGTTTGCTCAGAACTGAGGAATCTGATTTTTGTTTCTGCTTTTTATTTGTTTCTCAGGGGGCTGGGGTGTCTGGATTCTCTGCTAAGTGCCAGTGACCTTGAACTTGAGTGGCTAGGTGCTGTGTAGGCAGAGTTGTCACAATGGAGGAGGGGACAGAGAAACGCATCCACCCCCACCAGGTTGCTCACCACAGGGCCAGCGCGCTCTTCCTGCTCTGGGACACTCACCGAGGCTGAATTCCACGTGGCTCCCGTGGCTAGGCAGATAGATGCAGCTAAGGGCTTAAAAATGTTTCTATCCCAAAAGGAGGTGAGAGGTTTCCAGGAAAGTTGCGCTGTGGCTTATCGAGTGCTTGTAGCTGTGGAGGCTTGTCCATGGGGTGTTTGTGGGGCCCTAGGAGACAGGACTTCCGGAGGCAGAGGAATGTTTCAGGGGCTAAGGAGAGACTCAGCAGACCTGGAGCCCGCTTAAGCTCATCTCTGGTGGCCTTGTGGGTCTTTCTCTTCCCTGTCCCTTTTCCAGTCCTGTCTGGCCACCCCAACTGGCGAAGGCCTCAGGCATGTGTTCTTGGATCGGGGTGGGGGTCTCAGGTCTGTGGCATGAGTGGGGGCGGGTAGGGCTGGCCGTGCATTCAGGGCCTGGCTGAACTACTGAGTGTCCAGCATGAGGCTGGGTCTCGCAGGCACGTGGCAGGTCATGGCCCTGTGCCATCTGCGGTTGGGGGCCACACAAGTGGAACTCCCTGGATCGCTGCCCTGGGGGTTGGCTGGCCTCTGGCTTGGCCATTTCTCGGGGCGGCTAGCACCCCTCTTCCTCCTGGCTGCTTCTCACAGGAAGGAGCGAATGCGTGCCGGCCACACGTGGGAGGGCAGGGTAGGATGCCTGTGGCTTTCCCAGGCGCCTCCTGGGGAGGAGCTGATGGGTGCTCAGGCCCCAGGGACTCTCTGGTTCCAAGGAGCCTCAAGGGCAGTGGGGCCTCGGGCTTGGGACCCAAGCCCTGCCTCTCTCCCTGGGGAGGCAGAGCAGGGTATGGGGTTGGGTACAGTGGTGGGTACTTGCTAGCCTCTTCTCGGCCTGGGGAAAGGCCAGGGCACCGAGCTGGGACCCCATATGGCCTGGCCTCAGAGTGCACCAGGCTTTGGCTGGCTAGTCCCCAAGGGCAGCCGCTCTCCAAGGGGACTGCGGGTTGAGCAACTTCTTTGCTGTTTATTTTTTCACGGGCTCAGGGCGGCGTCACACTTCAGGGAGAGCTGGATGGGGATGGCGGCCCCTTCCTGGGCCGAGAGGGGAGGAGGTGGCACAGGCCCATGTCCATGTCTGCCCGCAGAGCCAGCAGCCACCCCCGCCCAGCCAACACCTCCCCAGGCCCAAGGGGGACGCGGCCCTGAAGATGCGGGCGTCAGTGCGCATGACCCGGTACCTCGAGTCCTGGGGGGCGGCACGGCCCTTTGCACATCTCAACCACCGTGAGAGCGTGAGCAGTGGTGAGACCCACGTCCCCAACGGGCGGAGGCCTAAGGTAGGTCCCCCTCCCACCCAGAAAGCCAGGGATTGGGGCCCCAAGCCAGGAGCAGGAGAGTGAGTGCTGAAGATCTCCTGCCCTCTCAGCCTCACTGTCCCCATCTGTAAAATGGCCACAGCCTCTGCCCCACCTCCTGGGGCTGGAGAGGAAGCAAAGACATTTGGAGAATACTCCGGGATGGCCAGGAACATCCCTGTCCTCCTTGATGCCTGGACCACGCTCAGCTATAGTCAGGATGTCTGTGGCTTGGACGACCCCGACACCTTGTCCTGTGTATCAAGTGCCGGAGGGGCTGAACCTGGCCCAGCAGTGGCCTTCAGGGCCCAGTGTTCTGGGGAATGACTGTATCCTTTCCTCCCTTCCCTTTCAGAGCGTTCCCCAGCGCCACCGCCGGACCCCAGACAGGTGCGTGCCCTGCCCTCCTGGCCAAGTCCTGCTGCAGCCACCTCCTCCAAGCAGGCTGCCCTGAGCAGCCTCTGTCCAGTGGGCAGCTCCGCAAGGCCCAGCCCAGGACCTCTGTGAAGTTGGCCAGGGCTTGGGTCAAAGCATTTCTAGGAACCAGAGTTTCCTGGCCCCTGGCCCTTCTGCATGGCCACATGATGGAGCACCTGTTGTATGGTGCCCTGGCGGGGTCAGTGGAGTCGGTGGAAGGGAAGGAGATGACTGTGGGTGTCCTGGTCCCCATGCCAATCCCGGGGGTGTAGCCGAAGATGCCTTAGACTGGGGCTCGGGTCTGCCCTCTGCCTCTGGCTTGGCTGCTGGCCAGCTGGGCCATGCTGGGCCATGCTGGGTCCTCACTCGCCCTCTCTGGGCCTCAGTGGGACCCACCCATTCCTTCACCATCCCACCTGAGGTTCTGGGACCCCACTGGTGTCTACGTCCACACCCTCCTCTGGGAGAGTTGGAGGTGGTCGCTGTGCTGATGCAGTTGTGGGTATCTGATTCCAGAAGCATGTCCCCCAAGGGGCGGTCGGAGGATGACTCGTACGATGACGAGATGCTGTCAGCCATTGAGGGGCTCAGCTCCACGAGGTGAGGTCTGAGACCTCTGTCCACCCCCCTCTCCTCTCCCCCTCGGATAGGGGTCCCCTATATGGGCAGGCCCATCTCATACCCCATGCCTGGTGGCCCAGCCTTGTTCCTTCCCCCTGCCTGCTGCCACCTCCTGAGGGAATGGACCCCTTCCCAGCCCCCATCTCACCGCAGCTGCCCCCGCCCACAGGCCCTGCTGCTCCAAGTCCGATGACTTCTACACCTTTGGGTCCATCTTCCTGGAGAAGGGCTTTGAGCGCGAGGTGAGGGCCCCCAGCAGCCTCCTCCGCAGAGGGACGGGGTCTCCAGGCCTGGGGTAGGGTGGGGGACGCAGGTCATGGGGCAGCCTGCGTTCCCAAGACCGGCTAGGGGAGGGGCACTGAGAATCCACAGCTGCTCCTGGGCGGGGGGCAGGGGCGGGGCCAGTGCAGCACCAGCCTGGCTCTCTCCTGTCGGCTTCATTCCATGACCCAAATGCACCATCAGAGATTTGCCTCCATGGGTCTGCAAGACTTTTGCTCCGTCCAGTGCCAAAGCCTTAGCAGATCCTGGCATGGATGCCTCAGGCTGATGGCACCGGCCTTGCAATGAGACGAGAACCCAAAGCTCAGTTATCAGTGTCCTGTCTTGCTGCTATGAGCTTTTTGTACTGATAACGACCATTTCTTTACTGAGCGCCTTCTGGGTTCTGGCAGCATCCTCGGCACCCACATTATATAATTTAACCGTCACAACGGCCAGCCCAGGGGTGCTGCTATACCACTTCACAGAGAGGAAACTGGCTCTCAGAGGCTTCAGAGCCTGTCCCCAGCTTCAGGTGTGGCTCCCTGAGTTGGGGGCTTCCTAGGTGAGGTCACGAGGAAACCTGCTGGCCAAGTGACCTGGCAGGGTGTGGCCAGTGTGGCCAGGGCCGCCGAGCCTGCTTTCCTTCCCTGCAGCAGGAACCCTTCTGGGGCTGTGATCCTGCGATGGTGCCTGGGTGGGAGTGGGGGTGGGGGGCGGGATGGTCTCCCTACCTGCCAGCTTCTTGGTTTGAGGTGAGGACAGCCCCGGAAGCTCAGACTTGGCTCCTGTCCATGTACTTGGGGCCATGAGCTCTGCAGGGACCTTGGAAAGAGAGAGACGGGTGGTGTAGGGCAGGGGAAGGCATTGTCTTCAAACAGGAAAAAGCTGAGAATGGAAACAGGCGAAACTTACCAAGTGTAACATCACCTGGAACTGAAGGAGGGTGGGAAGGTTTTAATTATTTTAAAAATAGAGATGGGGACTCACTATGTTGCCCAGGCTGGTCTCAAACTACTGGGCTCAAGTGAACCTCCTTCCTCGGCTCCCAAAGTGCTGGGATTACAAGCGTGAGCCACTGTCCCAGCAGGGAGGTGTTTTTTTTAAAGCTGATTCACTGGAGGCAGGGTGGGCAAGTGGCACTGCTGGTGGCCACCCCTCACAGTCCCTGCTGCCCCCAGTACCGCCTGGCACCCATCCCCCGGGCCCGCCACGACTTTGCCTGCGCCAGCCTGATCTTCGTCTGCATCCTGCTCGTCCATGTCCTGCTCATGCCCAGGTCAGTTGCAGGGAGGGGTGTGGGGGTCCGGCCTGCTGGGATCCAGGCTGGAAGGTGACTATGAACCTGCAAGGAGCTGTGTGATTTGGGCTGGAAGGGGTCGGCTGCTGGGGTCCTAGCAACTGGACCAGGGGCTGTGGCAGCACACCTTGAGTTACCAACACTTCTTTTTAATAGAATGTGTGTTTTCTGCCACAGGCCTCCCTACTCCCTAACGTCTCTCTCCTCAGCCACCTGTCATATGTGTGGCCTGCATGCATTTTGGTTGACAGCCCTTGCCTTAGGTGTTTGGAGTGCTAGGAGGATAGACTCTGAAAACTGTAGGCGCCATCCTTTTTCTCTTATATATAGGGAAATTGGGGCACAGAGGATTAATGATTTATCCAAAACTCACTGAGATTCATGCTTCTGGCTCTAGGGCCCTGCTGGTGGGGTATAGGGATGAGGGTGAAGTCAGAGGGAAGGGGGATCTAAGGTCAGCTACTTGGTGCTTTCTAGAAGAGCAGTTAGGCCGAAGCATCGACCAGGATTGTGGTTTTGGCTATGCTTACTAAAGACATAATAGGGAGGCTGTGCGTGGTGACTCACGCCTGTAATCCCAGCACTTTGGGAGGCTGCGGGGCGAATCACTCGAGGTCAGGGGTTTGAGACCAGCCTGGCCAACATGGTGAAACCCCGTCTCTACCAAAAATACAAAAATTAGCTGGGCGTGGTGGCTGGCGCCTGTAATCCCAGCTACTCGGGAGGCTGAGGCAGGAGAATGGTGTGAACCTGGGAGGCGGAGGTTGCAGTGAGCCGAGATCATGCCACTGCACTCCAGCCTGGGTGACAGAGTGAGACTCCATCTCAAAAAAAAAAAAAAAAAAAAACGAAGAAAGATGTAATAGGGAATGCGTTTTTACAGTTTTTTCTGAGTCTAAAGGCTGCAGAGACATTGCTCATTTCTTATACACTTGGACCAAAAAGAGTGATATGGTCTTGACCTCAATCTTCATAATCTAGCTGGGCCCTGTGTATTGCCCATGGGGCAGCTGGGCCACAGTTTTCACAGGTCCCCTTTGCTGTGGGCAGAATACCAGGTAGGGTGGGGACAGGTGGCTGTGAGCCAGAGGATTGGTGGGGGCGGTGGTCCTGGGCAGAAGGCCCTAGGCAGAACTGAGGTTCTTCCCTCCTCTCCAGGACGGCGGCACTGGGTGTGTCCTTCGGGCTGGTGGCCTGTGTACTGGGGCTGGTGCTGGGCCTGTGCTTTGCCACCAAGTTCTCGGTAAGTGGGGAGCTCTGGCCCCGCGGGCCCTCCCTCCCTGCCTCAGGACACCTGCCTAGGAGCCCTCCCTGGTGAGCTTGGCTGGGCTGAGCCCCTGCTCTGGTCAAGGTTGGGTGCCCATCTCTCCTGCCTCGGGGACAATTTCCTGAGTGCCCTGGAGGCTTCTCCCGAGGATACCCCTCCCCAGGCTGCCAGCGACCAGCCCTCCTTGCCCAGGCTGTTGGCTCTGGGTGACTTGACCCTGTTACCCCACAGAGGTGCTGCCCAGCTCGGGGGACGCTCTGCACTATCTCTGAGAGGGTGGAGACACAGCCCCTGCTGAGGCTGACCCTGGCCGTCCTGACCATCGGCAGCCTGCTCACTGTGGCCATCATCAACCTGGTGGGTCCCGTGGTGGGGAGGCAGGCCTCCGGGGTAGAGGGAGACCTCCAGATTTGGGACGCCTACAATGTGGCCTTAAAAGCTGCCTCTGGTTGTCCTCTCCCCCGAGCTCAGCAGGTGGATGTGGGGGGTTCCCCTTTGTACACTCAGGGCTCCTCACCTTTGGGTTCTCAAATGCGGACTTTGGGGGCCCAGAGAGCTTGTGTGGCCAGCTCCAGGAGGATGTGATGCCTTGAGCCACCACATCCTGACATCCCATTCATTCTTCACGGCCCTTCTGAGACTCAGTTTCCCCTCTCAGGGATGAACCCTTGCTCCTCTGCTGGGGCTCAGAGGCTCAGTGCTGCAGAAAGCAGCCTGCGGGACACTTGTCCACCTCTCTCCCAGACCCCGCATCCTGGGCTAGGGCCTCTCCCTCACCTCTCTGCCCCGGACCCTGGGTTTTTGGAATGTGTTCCTGTGACCACCTCCCTCAGGGTCACCTGGGGAGGCTGAAAATGTTGGTCCCGGCCCCTCCCCCTGGCTGCTGCCGCTCTGGGGGTGTCTGCACCCTCATCTCCTAGCCCCTCTGCCCTCTGAACCTGACGGCTGCTGTGGGGAGTCGGCACGGCGGCTTGAGCCGTGCTCAGAGCTGATCCCAACGTGAAACCTCAGGCTGCTGTGATACTCATGGTTGCCTGGGGCCCACCTTGCATGGCTTGGGCAGGTTCCAGCGTTCTTGTCCCTGGACTGATGGGGACCTGTCTCCTCTACAGCCCCTGATGCCTTTCCAAGTTCCAGAGCTGCCTGTTGGCAATGAGACAGGCCTACTGGCCGCGAGCAGCAAGACAAGAGCCCTGTGTGAGCCCCTCCCGGTGAGTGCGCCGGGCCCGGCTCCGTGGCCTCATTCAGAGTGGGGCTGCTGCTGCCAGAGGTGTAGTTTGGACCCTCAAAGCATGGGTGCTGACCCCTGAGAGCACAGCATGTGGAGGCTGAGAACAGCCTCTCCTGCAGAGCTGGGAAAGCAGGGTCCCATGGGCCCAGCTGGCCTCTGGCCCAAGGGAGTGAGGAGTCCTGGCCTTGGCAGGCTTGGTCTAGGCTGTGTGGGTAGGCAGGGAGTGAGGGGAGCATCTGGCCTTGTGCGGGTCTCTGGTCAGGGCACTTCCTCTCTGACAGGCCTGTCACTATTTTATACACGAGTATGCACAGCTCAGGGAGGGGCTTCATTAGGTGATGGCGCCAGGGCAGGCCCAGACAGGCTGATGGCAGAGGTCAAGGTCTCTGCCTGGAGGGCCTTGCAGACAGCAGACTCTGCAGCTTCAGAGGCTGGCAGTGCAGTGAGCTGGGCTCTAAAAGGCAGAAAGGTTCTGGGACAAGGGACAGCATGGGAAAAAGCCGAGGCGTGTGTTGGGAGCAGTGGGGTTTTGGGTGGGTTGTCTCCTGGAGAGGGAGTGGGGAGAACTGGGAGATGGAGCCGGGGGCAGGCTTGATCCAGACTGGGAGGTGCAGGAATGCCGGGGTGTGAAGAGCGTGGTCTTTATTCTGGGGGCTGGGGAGCCACAGCACAATCTTGAGCAGGGCAGAGGTCCTTTGGGAGGGTAAGCTCACAAAAACTCAGGGAGGCAGCTTGGATGCATGCACGCTCCGGCCTTGACCTTGACTGTGGTCTGTTGTATCCACAGCACCTGCATACTGTTTTTTCCCGTTTAAATGAGCTCACTTCATAAGAAATAAAACTACAGTGAAAACAACACTGGACACTCTTAGGTCTCATTGTTTTTTGTTGAGAAGGGAGGTGGTAAGGCAAGAGCGTGATGCTGAGGTGCAGGGAGTGGGGCTCTGTGGTATGTGCTGGGCTGGAGGCGAGAGTACGTGGTGGGGTGGCCCTGTCCTGAGTGACACCCTGCCCCCTCAGTACTACACCTGCAGCTGTGTCCTGGGCTTCATCGCCTGCTCGGTCTTCCTGAGGATGAGCCTGGAGCCAAAGGTTGTGCTGCTGACAGTGGCCCTGGTGGCCTACCTGGTGCTCTTCAACCTCTCCCCATGCTGGCAGTGGGACTGCTGCGGCCAAGGCCTGGGCAACCTCACCAAGCCCAACGGCACCACCAGGTGGGGTCCCGCCCGTCCCCGTCCCCATCCCCATGGTGGCCTGTTCATCTGGTGCCTGCCTGCTCGCACCAAGGGGCTTCTGTGTTCATGGGGAGTGGGCACCTTGCAGGGCGGGGCTGGCAGATGGTGTCCAGCGCTCAGAGCCGAGGAATTCACTGGCAGGTTCTTTAGGAAGTCCCTAGTCTGACAGAGGCCACCGGGTCATCCTGTTTCCAGGCCAGTCTAGTGGTGGGGAGGGAAGGAGGCTGCAGCTCTAGCTCTGTGCCTCTCAAGGCCACATCCTGGGTCTCGAGTTCTGGAAGGAGCAGTTGCTTCCATCTCTTCCTGGACAGGTGGTGATACCTGAGGCTGGCAGGGCTGGGGTGTGTGGTTCTAGGGGTTCTGGGTCCCAAGTGGATTAAGGAGCGGACCTGGCCCCCCTAAACAAAAAAGCTGGAAGCCTGGGACCCAGAACAGAACCTGCTCCTGTGGGTCTGCCCCGCACCTGCAAAATCCTTATGCCACCCATCCACCCCACCCCGCCTGCCACTGACCCTGGCTCACCAGTTCTGGGCTCCCTTCAGGCCCTCATCACAGCTGATTCTGGTCATTCAGGGGTGAGATCAGAGGTCTTCCCCACAAGGGCTCCCCCATCTCCCTGCCCACCTCTCCCCTCCCCCCTTTATAATACCCCAAAGTTGTCTTGTTTTCTACCCACCCCATTAGAATCAATTTTCCCCTTTCCCCTGGGTGTGCGTGGCACCTGGAGAGCATGACTCAGTGGGTTGGAGTGGTGAGTGCTGGGAGTGACTTGGGCCTCCCTTCGCATTCAGTGGCACCCCTAGCTGTTCCTGGAAGGACCTGAAGACCATGACCAATTTCTACCTGGTCCTGTTCTACATCACCCTGCTTACACTCTCCAGACAGGTAAGGAGGCTGGCCCCCCCCCCCCCCCCAAGCTCTGCCCACTTTTCCTCACCTCCATCTGGAGATGGGGTGGGGTGGGGTGGGCTCAGGTGGAGTAGCAGAAAAGACTAGAGTCCTGCCAGGAAAGCACTGGTCCCCTGGCCAGAGGCTCCAAGGACGCCAGGGACAGACAGACCTGGCTAGGAGATGCACAGCAGCACGGCTCCCACTTGCCTGTGGACGGGGCGCTTATGTTGCTGCCGTTTGCAGATTGACTATTACTGCCGCTTGGACTGCCTATGGAAGAAGAAGTTCAAGAAGGAGCACGAGGAGTTTGAGACCATGGAGAACGTGAACCGCCTTCTTCTGGAGAACGTCCTGCCAGCCCACGTGGCTGCCCACTTTATCGGTGACAAGTTAAACGAGGTGTGCTGAGAAGGGGCTGGGGCGGGGGCAGGGAGGCGGACGGTCCAGGCGCAGTCCGTAGGGTGAAGGTGTGGAGCTGGAGTGCATGCTGAGCTTGGCTTCCTCAGGTCCTGGCCTCACCGGGATGCCCAGGCGACAATGTATGGCATCAGCTGTGAGAGCATGGGCCTGGGGTCAGGGACCTGGGCTCAAGTGTGGTCGTGAACAAGGCACCTTGCTTTCCCAGGCCTTGGTCTTCACCTCTGTAAAATGGGCTGACAGCCCTTCCCCACAGGCTTGTGGCGAGGATGAAATGTGTGTTCAGGGGTTTGTGATCTGGACATTCTGTGTTGATGAAAATGTCTGTACTTCTACTAGTTATGTGTAGCAAGTTTTCTAGATAGGAAACGGAGGCCCAGTGAGAATGAAGACCTCCCGTTACCCTCCACTACTGCAGAGGTTCTCACCCCATGTGTACATGGAAACACCCATGGTGCTTCTGTGAGCAAAAACCAACCTGAGCCTGACCCTCCCTGGCCACCCAATTCTTAATCACCCGGTAACAGCCACCAGATGAAACTCATGCAGCCCGCCCCCCTCCCCACTCCCCGAAAGCTGGGCTGGGCAGTTCAGCAGTGCCATCTGCTCCTGAGGCCTTGCCACTCTTCCTGTCCCCTCAAGAGGTGAAGTGGTGTAAGGTCCGGTTTCTTCCCATCCAGGACTGGTACCATCAGTCCTATGACTGCGTCTGTGTCATGTTTGCCTCCGTGCCGGACTTCAAAGTGTTCTACACAGAGTGCGATGTCAACAAAGAAGGGCTGGAGTGCCTACGCCTGCTCAATGAGATCATTGCCGACTTCGACGAGGTACAGCCTCTAGCCCAGCCTTGCGCAGCAGCCCCCACCCATGCTGGAGAGGGAAGGGCGGTGGCACCTGCCATCCTAAAACCCAATTTAAAAATGTGACACAGAGCTGGGCAAGGTGGTCTATAATCCCAGCACTTTGGGAGGTCAAGGTGGGTGGATCACTTGAGGCTAGGAGTTCGAGACCAGCCTGGCCAACATGGCGAAACCCTGTCTCTACTGAAAATACAAAAAATTACAAGCTGGGCTTGGGGCGCACACCTGTAATCCCAGCTACTTGGGAGGCTGAGGCAGGAGAATCGCTTGAACCTGGGAGGCGGTTGCAGTGAGCTGGGATCACGCCACTGCACTACAGCCTGGGCAACAGTACACAACTCTGTCTCAAACAACAACAACAACAACAAAAAAAAAACGACGTGGCCCGCCTGGGGGGAACATACATTACACAGAATATAAAGGTACACATTTCTTTTTCATTCTGTTTTATGCAGCAAATAATTCGTTGGCATCTTCTCTGTGATGGGCAGCTTGCTAAGATTAGACTCAGGCCCCTTAGCTTCATTTCCAACTAAGCCCACGCTATCAACCAAGCCAAACAGAGGAAATCAGTTTGGGTTGAATTCTTTGCTGGAGACAAAGAATCTACATTCCTGTGTAGATAATGCTGTGTTTGCTCTGTGCAGACACAGATGGAAGGGAAGAGGGAGACAGTGTGGGGACGGAGACAACAGGAAGAGCAGGAGCCGCCAAGGGCCATGTCCTCACCATGCTTAGTCATGCGCTCAGCTGGCAGGGCAGCCATGAGACGTGTGTGCGAGAGGCGGCGATGGGTGGAGGGAACCCCACACCCTTCCTGAGAAGCAGGGGCAGCCTGGCTGCGGCTATGGAGTGGCGGCTGCTTCACCGCTTCCTTCTTGCCTGCAGCTCCTACTGAAGCCCAAGTTCAGCGGCGTGGAGAAGATCAAGACCATCGGCAGCACGTACATGGCAGCTGCAGGGCTCAGCGTCGCCTCAGGGCACGAGAACCAGGTACTCAAGCCCAAGAGGTGAAATTCAGCTGACTGTCCTCACTTAAAGGTGACCTGTCACCTTACTTAAAGGGTGTGCCCTTATCTCGTCCTGGGGGAGGGGCACAGGTACTTGTAGGGCTCAGCCAGGATTTTAGTGGTGGGGATCCTCAACAAGAGTGGCGCGCCAGGGCCCACTAGGTCTGGGGGCTCTGGAGATGCAAGGATCTGACCCACAGCCTGTCCCGCAGGAGCTGGAGCGGCAGCATGCCCACATTGGTGTCATGGTGGAGTTCAGCATCGCCCTGATGAGTAAGCTGGACGGCATCAACAGGCACTCCTTCAACTCCTTCCGCCTCCGCGTCGGTGAGCCCGGGTGATGGAGCGGGGTGGGGAGCCCCTGCCTCTAGGCCAGTCCACCCAGTCTGTGTGGCACAGCTGCACCTCGCCATCTATTATGAAAGGTTTTAGAAATCCCTCTGATCTGACAAGCTCAGCAGTTGGACAATTATTCTGATGTTTTGCATATAGTTAGCATATAGTTACCATTGAGAGTTTTAATAATACGTAACTACAGAAAATGGAGAACCAAAATTATTGTCTGTAAACAGGTGACCTTAAAATATAGAGAAGGAAGCAAAGTTACTAAACCTAAATAGTTGCGGGCCTGCGCTCAAAGCCAGGCCTTTGTTAATACTTTTAACAAAGTATTCTTTGTTAAAAGAGAGATTAGCAGATACAAGTGTTAACATCAAACCCAGACTTCTGAGTCTGAAAAAGAGCTGGCCGGGGAATGCCCTCCTCATACCCCAAGCCCGACTGCAACGCAGTGACTCTGGGAAGCAACCCAGCCTTCACTCTAGTTGTTTTGTCCCCGCATCCTGTGCTGGGGTATGGATTCTCTGGCCTCCTCTAAGGGCAGAAGCTTGAGGCTTTGCCTGCACGCTTGGGTAACTGTAAACATCATCTTCAGGCATAAACCATGGGCCTGTGATTGCTGGAGTGATTGGGGCCCGAAAACCTCAGTATGACATCTGGGGAAACACTGTCAATGTGGCCAGCCGAATGGAAAGCACTGGAGAACTTGGGAAAATCCAGGTAAAGACCTATTGGGGAAGCAGTTGACTAAGGGGAAAAGATCTTCCCCAGAGGTGAGGGGACTTGGACTTAAGAGCTGCTGTCTCACCCAGCAGCCATGGTTCTAGCTATCACACTCTCCAGGGAAGGCAGACTGCATGCCTGGGCAGTCTCTATCTGTCCCTACCATGACAGGTGTTCTTCCCGCCTCTGAAGACAACAGGTCTCTCTTCCTTTTCAGGTTACCGAGGAGACCTGCACCATCCTCCAGGGCCTCGGGTACTCTTGTGAATGCCGTGGCCTGATCAACGTCAAAGGCAAAGGCGAGCTGAGGACTTACTTTGTCTGTACGGACACTGCCAAGTTTCAGGGGCTGGGGCTGAACTGAGGGCTCCTGCTGGATTCCGAAAAGGCCGGGAAGCCAGTCTCCTTCCCTGAAGCAAGCCCAGGAGAAGACTCTCCGCCCCACGCCAATCCCAAAGGCATGCAGATGGCTGTGCATGTTGGCTTCTTTGGACCTGCACTGGAGGATTTCTCAGACACATGCACCAGATTCTGGCTCGAAGCAGCCACTGAGCCATAATGCGCAGGGGAGGCCAGAAGCTCTGTGCCTGGTCTGTAACAGTTTCCAGGCCAGCTGGAGAATGTTCACTGGTTCGGGGCTGACTTTGAGATCTTTGTTCCCTGAGGTGCCAGGCAGGCAACTTTAGCACATGATGAAAACAGACTTCCACCTCAGTGGCCTGTGGGCACGCACAAGTGAGGTCTGTTTTTCTAGACACCAAGGGGGAGTAAGCTGAGCTGTCTAGCACGGATTGGAGACTCCCTCTCCCTGGTGGGCCTGGCAATGACAGCATTTCTCACAGAGGCATTCTGGTAAATGAAGCTGAAAGGGGTGTTTTACATCTGTAAACGGTTTCAAACAGGTAGAGAGAAAAACACCACAATTAACACTGTTACTTTTTGCCTTGTCTGGCATGTTTGTTTTAAATGAATACATTAATGGGGTTTTTATCCTTTTGAATGACTTTTCAGACACTAGACATAAATCTCTTCCCTCCAGTGTATGCTCTGCCTTTTTAACCACTGACATGTAAGGAGGACTACTGTCTAGCATCAGCTTATGGGGTCAGCTGGCTGTGGGGATAGAGTCCTGAGGAATGTGGTCACAGCAAGAAGGCGGGGAGCAGCAGAGCCTTGCCTTTGAATGAGGCAGCTTGTGAGGCAAGCATTCTGGAGAGAGGTGCTTTGAAAGTAAGGTGCGGCCTTTCACCTCTTCCTTGATTACTCACACATCTTTGCGTTCTCCCCTGCCGTCCTTCAACTGTATCTTACTTTTCTTACCAGAAAGGAATGGAGTCTGTTTAGAGACAACTTGGACAACCTGTGAGTGCATCTCTTCTTTCCTTTAGTCTTCACAGCTAACTCTGGAGAGCTTCAAAACTAGAAGGATCTACTCCGCATGGGTGCATGCAGAGGCTCCTGGATCTGGGAAGCCCGCCCCCTCACAAATGCTGAGCCGTTCTTGCTCTGAAACTGCGTGAGTCAAGGCAAATGCAAAAAGCCAGGTTTTGGGGATGTGTCTTACTGTGCTTCAACTTCCCAAGGAATTGAAAGTCAACCTAACTGTAACAACAGGGTGAGAAATGACCAAACTGCCCGTGACTTTTTCTGAATGGACTTCATAACCGGAAGACTTAACCGGTGGCCTCATCACCAGAGCATCGCCAGGATTTCTAATGCACTCAGTTTCCCTACATAGCAGGGATTCTTAGCTAGGTGTCCCCATGAACCCCGTAAAGTTCTACACAAAGTCTTGCATACAGGAGCCTTTACAAGATGATTATACAGGGTTGCAGATTGGGTGACTGACCAGACTTGTTGGGGTCCTGGGATGAGTTGCCCCGGGCTGCAAATTAAGAGTACAGCTAAGTGCGGGGGTGGCGGTGGAGGGAACGAAAATTGAACCTGTCTGCCTGTGCTGTGTCGTGTGGCTTTATCAGCCCGAGGAAGGGCAGGTGTATTCTAATTTGCACAAAGGTGCTGGGTAGACTAGTGGCAGCTCTCATGTGCTGCACATAAGTGGAATCAGTATGAATAGAAGAACTTGCTGTATAAAGGAATTTCATGGCAACAATGCTGGTAAGGGCAATTAGCCTCGCTTAAGTTGCCTTTTTTACACACCAAAACTTTTTACATGAAGGGCTGGTTTCACATGAATACTATACTGAAATCTGTGCTCTCAAGATCTAGCAGTGACCAGGGCTGCCCGGCGGGGGCTCTCCTGGCAAGTCAGGAAGGTTTCTGTTGCTAATATAACATAGAAACACATTAGTGCACTGGGCCTCTCTGAGGTCAGCATATTTGTACTCTTGGAATATTTGTTTTTTTCTTCAGTAACAACAGAAACCCCAGTTGGGAGTTTAACAAATAACTGACTACCACTCACTCATGCATTTTTATTTCCAATTAAAGCAAAGCACTGTGCTGTGCTCAGATAATAATAGTTTGTAAGTAAAAGTTTTTAGTTTTCAGTGTTCAGGTTATAGAATATAACTGACCATAAAAATTACCTGCAGGTATTTTCTTTTTATGAACTTGTTTTTAAATTACCAAGTAATTACTGGTGTCATTTTGTTTTATGACAGACACACGTATCTAACAAACAAACAAACAGTGACCTTCTCCATGGGTCAAGGACTTCCTTACAATTTCTCCTGAGTTAACTTTTGTGAAAATAATACCTAAGGTTTTCTGGCTTATTGAGGAAATTTCCTAACAAACAAACAAACAAACAAACAGAAGAGAAGATCATTAACCACTGTATACTTTGTGTATATAATAGGTCAGTGTAAAGAAATATGATTTGAGGTGGTGCATGCAAGTAACTAGGGTTTATTCTATATAATGAATATTTATAGATCTGTAACATTTGTTTCAAAATGCTGTTTCATTTTTATAAAGTACCAGTGTTTAGCTGCTTTTTATACATTAAATTAGCAATTTGAAAAACTCAAATATCTGAAGGTATTTTATTTTCGTGGTCCTCATGAACTCACTAGAGATTAAAAGTAGACTCAAACAACTTGAAAATTTGACTCTTTTAGCATAAGATTTTAAGTCTTTTGAGGGAATTAATTTTCCTTTACCCTATTTGTTCTTCCTAAATACTAATTAATTTTCAAAGTCAGGAAAATAATAGAAATCAAATGGCTTCCTGCCTGGGTGATTTATAGAAGGATTGTATAAGGGCCTTCAAACTTAATTTGTTCACTGAACAAGGCTATCTATCTATCTATCTCCATCCTGATTTTTTTCCCTTGTGTATAACAGGTTCTATACCGATTCAGCAAAATCACCATTTATCTCAGCTTGCTGATAAAAGGGGGCCATGAATCTTGTGGTCTCCTACTTAGAGTTCAACTCCTTGGGTACTTGACCTTTGTATTTCAGATAAACAGTAAGTAAAGTAGAAATGTCACCTTTTGGTAATCTGGTAATTCCCTGATCTATTCAAGGATGACTTAGTTTATCTTATTTGGCTTATTACTTTGCTATAGTACTAAGTAACTCCTCTTTCTTTAAAAAACGGAAAAAACCAAAAAAGAACACTAGCCATGTGACAGTGCTATAAAACTCCCAGTGTGCTTTTGTCAGGGGTGGGTGGGAGGTGCCTAATTACCCATACAAGGGCATCATTCCCACTGGGTATGCAGGGGCAGAACCACAGTAGTAAATTCTAAAATTATTTCAAGTATGTTCGTATAACGGAAAATCTCACTGGATGGGGCCGTTTTAAGAACGCTTCTTAGTGATGATCCTGTCTGTGGGACATAAGGAAGAAGCATTGGAAGGCACTATTTTGAAAGAATGCTGCACAGGTATGGCAACAGCCCCAAGCACATTCCTTCCTCACGAGTCCCAGGTCCAGCTTTATTACCTAATACAAGTCCAACCTCTGGAACATCCAAATTCGCTGTTCCAAAGTTTAATTAAAAACACAATTTACAAATATTTAATATCTTCTGAAAAGCATTTCTAAGTTAAGAATGAAAAAGTATGTACATAATATATAATCAAATACCAGGCAGCCTCAACTTCCACCAGGTCCACACTCAGCAACATCCGTCTTTTTAGGTTCTTCAGTGTCTGAAAGAAAAAGACATCACTTAATTCAACATTGTTTTTACCTTTTAATTAAAAAGGGGACATGAAAGTCAAGCTGCCATCCAGAAGCATAACTGCTGAGAGCCCTTCTTCACCACATCCAAGGCTGAAGACTACGCGCATTATCAGGTGATCATTGTGGCTCTTCTGCACACAGGAAATCTTTATTAATTCTTTAGACAAGATAAAAAGAAAACTAAGAGTAGTTTATACATTAAAAACAGATAAATGTTCCTTTTACAGTTGACCCTTCTTATCCATGGGTTCCACATCTGCAGATTCAACCAACTGCCAATTAAAAATATTTGGGGAAAAAACCCAATTAAAAAAATACAACAAACAATGAAAAAAATATAAAAAATACAGTCTATTAACTACATTCTATGAAGTATATAAGTAGAGATGATTTGAAGTATACTGGAGGTTGTGTGTAGGGTATAGGCAAATACCTTTTATGTTAGGGACTTGAGCATCTACAGATTTTGCTATCTTTGTGGGGTAAATACCAAATCCGAGGTCCTGATACCAATCTCGGGCAGACACTGAGGGATGACTATAGTCACCATAGCTTTCTGCTTTCCCAGAGAAAACAGGGCACGTACCTTCTGTCAAATCCACAAAGTTGTTTTCCATGACGGGGGAAGGAATGGAAATCCCCATTGCTTTTCGAACTCCATACGTGCTTACGATATCACCTGGAGTTACTTGCTGTGCAAGTTCTTTAAGATTATTGGTCACTTGTTCAGCTAAAAAGAAAAACAAAGTTCCAGATACTAAAGCATGGTTCCTTT